>NC_000014.9:51429894-51732925 GCF_000001405.40 Homo sapiens
TTCCTCTTGATTGCCCTGACTCAGTCTAGATTTATACCCACCACCTTGGGGCAAAAAGTTATGTCTACATCACTAGTAACATCCTCAGGCACTTGACTTTCTGAGGATGTACGCCCATTTTAAATGCATGAAGCTCAAGAAGAAAGAAAAAGAAATAAAATTGAATTCAACATGCATTCTTTCATTCCATAAGATTCAGTAGAGGCTTTGTGTTCCATGTGATTATGCCAGGCAAAAGATGTTCAATGCCATGGGCTGTTCCGGGGAATGAGAGATAGAGTAATGAAATTCATGACATGTAAGTTTGGATTTACAAGTCAACAACAAATCCCTCTGTGAGTTTTCAGAATTTATCCACCTCAACGTTAAAAGCCGAAAGAAAGAGTTCTTTGTGTGTAAAGTGAAACCATACTCCATCCTAAGTCTTTAAATATAGTTGCTCACTTCCTTCAGCTCCTGTTAAGTACTGCTGACCTTTCCCAAAGTATTCTTTTCTGGCCTCCACTAATAGCAGAAGATCTAACCCACTGCTGTTAACAATACACCTTACAGGATTTTGAAAGCTGAAAGTAGTAGCTCCACGCAAATTGGAGTTGTTTTTTTTAATTCCTTTATTTTGAAAGTTTAGGCATAATCTGGGGTAGAAGTTCATGTGTTCGTGGTAGTTAAAAAGTCAAGGTCAAACTCTACATGCCACAGGGAATCATAAAAAAAAAAACAAAAAACAACAAAAAAAACCCTCTGTTCTTCTCCCCGCTTAAATCAGAACCAAAGAATTCCCCAGTGAGAACATATCTCTCATCTTTCACTCAGAACAAAAAGCAGCAGTACAAAACATGAACTGCATGGTGTTTGCTACCCTTGGGTGGCAGCTGCTAGCATGAGCATTACCATTTGTATTCAAGGGATCTTTTATTCCCAGTTGCATGAGCCGAGCCACAGGGCTTGCAAGAATGCTTGGGATGCTTCTTATGGACTTAGGACACAAAGAATCTGTGGTGTGGCTCTGAAATGGGAACCGCTAAAGACAGAAGAACTGAAAGGGATATTTAATATGTTAGTAAGGACATTGCTATTCATGTATGGAGTATGTATGTGTGCAGAAGACTGTGTGTGTGTGTTTATGAGGATATGTATATGCTGATTTTAAAGTCTCTCTGTTTTTAGACAATTGAGGTTATTGTTTTCTATATATACCCAGAAGAGTGTCAAAATGCCTTAATGGGCAGTGAGCCATCATACCTGTGGATGGCCAAGTTCAACAAGGCAATTGCAGAATTAGAGAAGGGGACTGTGTTTTTCTTATTAATGGTTAAGCCATTGCCCCGATAAGAGATTTTCAAAGTTTGCAAACAGGAAACTGGTCACCCAAGCTGGAAGTCCTTCTAAAATAGACTCCTTATTTCAGTCAGTATTGAGTAATTTTAGTATGCCAGTGGCTCTAACAGAAATTGTTTTCCATAAAACATGCAAATTGATATGTTTTCAACTCATTCTATCTCTCCTAAAAAGACTCCAGAAAAGTCACCCACAGTACTACCCGGTACAGAAAGGGAAAAGTTTGAAACATTTTTGTTTACATCAAAGTCAGGGAAACCATTTCATACTCTGAATGTTCTTGAGATGATTAATGCCTGCATTGACAGCACCTCCTTCTTAACCAATGTTGCAGTGAAAGTGAACTTGAGTTTATAGTTCGTGGTCCATAACTGAAACATCATAGATTTAGGTATACAGAAATAGAGCTGGTAATACAAACAAGACCTTGAATTTTACCTGAAGTTGGTGATAGACTCCCCTTAGCTATTTTCCCTTTATTTATTTTTTCCAAATTATAGATGAATTTATGAGCAGTTTAGGGTAAAGGGGACCCTAAGGATAGATCAATTTTCCTTAATCCCATGTAACTAACAAATAGAGGTCATATGCAAGTAGAGCAGCTTTTAGGTGTCAGGCTAAAAGAGTTCTTGATGAGATTGCTCATGTGGAAAGAAAGTATCCCTTTTAAAGTCACCCACTTTGCAAGGGTACCATTGAGCTGTGTGAGCTAAATAAGGCTTGTACAGTTACTGCATTACTTCCCTTCCAGCCCTGGAGACTACAAGCAAAGGAAGATACTTCCTTATTTAATTTGATAATGGTACTAAATTAAACAAATAACACATAACGACAAGCTCTTTTGAGTTAGAGAATCAAAAGAAGACAAGATGTATTAATAGCAGAAAACATTGAATTAAGATACAGTAATGACTCTGTTGTTCAGATTGATCCAGTTCTTTATTTACATTATTGAAAAGATAGAGAGTAGCGGAAATGCTGCCTTTGGTGACAGTTCAACCTCAAGGGATCAAATCCAGCTTCATTCTGGTCTGACTATATACATGGAAGTGATGCCTAATGTAAGGCTCCCCTGGCAGTACTTGTAATTTACAAGATTGATTTTTTTTTTCCTCTGAAGAGCTGTTAAATGTGATTAATTCAACTGAAACTCAGGAAAATTCCCTTTTTCTTTTGCAAACAGGTAGAGGAATTCACAGTGGTCTGGAACACAGAATCATCAGTCATAAGGTCAGTCCCCTGCTTTGACCTTTGCCAAATGGTGAGTTGATTGACTTTTCCCAGTATGAAACATGAGGACCAATGCCTGACACTCAAATGTGAAGATACCCAGGGCCCATGTTAATTGTTAACTTTGTGATTTCTACACCAAACACAGGGCTTACTTTTAAGCATCTGCAGAAAATGTTTTTTATTGTCACAGGAAACCTAAAAATAACCGTAACCCTGAATACTCAGACCATTGAGCTTGGTTAAGACACCAACCAAACTGCAGTACTGAGGTCACGGACCACCTCTGGGAGGAATAGAATTCTGTCTGCCCTGGGTGCTGGGTGTATGAATAGGGCTGAGAAAGCAGGCAAGTCTAAGGTCTCCATGGAGCTCAATCCAGGGGGCAGGGCCTATCCTGGGAGCCAGATGTGAAAGTTTCCTGTCCATTTCTGTTGCTGGCTTTGCTTTCGTGAGCAGACAATTCACAGCAAATGAAATAGAAATGGCCCTTAAACATGAAACTTGTTCACACTCACTCATAATTAGAGGAATACAATTAAAACAACACTGAGATACGATTTCTTGCCTGTCAGGCTGGCAAAAATTAATAAATTTTACAACACATTCTGTTACATGCATTTCTGGTAGGATGTCAAGCTGGTACAACCTTTTAAAAGTGAAATTTGACATTACTTTACAAAGCTACATGTGCGTTTACTGTTTGACTCAGAAATCTCATTTTAGAAATCTAGCCCAAAATTCACTTCCAATGATATGACAGTACATATATACAAGATTGTTCATTGAAGCATGATTTGTAATTGCAAAATATTGGAATCAGTCTAAATGCCTACAGATAGAAGAATGATTGAATAAAACCATGGTTCATTTATACATGGAGTACTATATATCTGTAAAAAAAATGAGGAAAATCTCTCTGAAATAATAGGTAGTGATTTTCCCGGACATACTTTTAAGTGAGAAAAGTAAAATGCAAAGAATATGTGTAGTATACTATGCTTGATGTGAGAAAAAATGGAATACTAAAAGCTCATATCATACTAAATACATATCTGCTCATTTGTGCCTAAGTATGCTATGCCTATTTACATATAGCTTCACTAACGGAACGTGTTGTAAAATTTATTAATTTTTGCTAACCCGACGGGGAATAATATACAGAAAAAATAAGCCAGGAGTAACGAGATTGGTTACCTACAGAGGGTAGATGGAAACAGGGTGGAAAGAATGGGAAATGAGAACAGAGTGGTAGAAGCAAGGTGTGAGCAGTACTTTTCTGAATATGCCTTTACTATATAGCGCTGACTCTTAGAACTATGGGAATGTCCCCCTCTCCCATTATAATTAATTAAATTCAACCCAGATGCTGGGGGAACCCCAAATAGAACACAACAGTAAGAAAAGTAGCATTGGAAATAGTATTTTGACTATATACTATAGCACCAAAGACTACTGTATGCAAGTATTATAAAACGAACTGTACGCAAATATCTTAATCTATTTGGTAAATACTCATAGGGATATGCTTTAGCAATTCTGAAGCTACATATCTACTAGGACTGAACAAATAAATAAAAACATTGTGAATAATGAGAGCCCCATTTCTCAAGTAGAAGAAATAAGTTAAAAATAAGGAAGGGGGAGGAAGCTAGAATAAACCCTATAGTGTTAGAATAGGAGGTATCAGCGTAAACTCATGATTTTTATTATGTACACAGGTGGCATAAAGAAGTAAATGTAGATGTATATATACATATGTAATATACAGACACATATTTTCTATACCTCATGACATCCCAGTAGCAATGAGCATGTCTACCACCTATATTTTGGTTGTTAAATGCCATTCTTCAATAAAAGGAACCAGGGTTCCTTGTAGAATTGGTTGACTCCAGGATTGAGCCAGTGAAATGATAAGATTAGTCTGGAACATCTTGTGATGCCAGAAGGTAAGGAAGTACTCAAAAACTGATGGGGACATGCTGAAAGAATGTAAGAAACTTGAAGGGGTTCCTTTTGTAGTAAAAATTGGGACAATTTGAGCAACAACAATTAAAAAATTGTAATAAGTATCTATGGCTCTAAATTGACATGAGTAATTGAGAAAGGACAATTCTTTCTTACAGTAGGATTCTGATTAATAAATGTAGAGGAAATTATTTAAATAAAAATTATTCTTAGGCAAATAGCAATAAATGTTCAGATAAGAACCATCATTGGGCACTAAAATTAATGAAGAAATAAGACTATTTGCATAGTCTTAAATTTTCTCCTAATTATTACAAAGGGAAAAAAATGTCTTTTTGGTAGAAAAACCTGGCATGCATCACCTTACCCAAGTCATCAAAGTTAATATCACCTAATATTGTGTATTTCTTGATATGGGACACTGAGAAGGGCACAACATCTCCTCTACGTTATTCTTGCAAAAAAGTATAATCATGAGAAATTATCAGATCAAAGTCTAGGGAGATTTTTCAAAATAACTGGCTAGTAGGCTTCAAAAGTGTCACTGTTGTGGGAGACAAAAAAGACTAAGGTGCTGTCTGTCACAAATTAGAGAACACTTAGGACACATGACAACCGAATACAATGTGGAATCCTGGATCGTACCAGTAAAAAAGACATTAGTGGGAAAACTGGCAAAATTATTTCAACAGCGTCTACGGATTAGTTAGTGGTATTGTATCAATGTCAATTTCCTGGTTTTGATCATCTTACTAAGACTATATAAGATGTGGTCAAGAAAACTGGGTAAAGCATATCAGGGATCTCTGAACTTTGCAGCTTTTCTCTAAGTCCAAAATTATTTCAAAATTTAAAAATTAGGCTGGGCATAGTGGCTCATGCCTATAATCCTAGCACTTTGGAAGGCTGAGGTGGGAGGATCACTTGAGCCCAAGAGTTCGAGACCAGCCTGGCCTGGGCAACATGGCGAAATCCCATCTCTATTTAAAAAAAAAAAAAAAGAAACGAAGTGTAAACATTAAAAAGAAATAACTGGTAAAGAGGAACAAAGGGAAGTACAAGTAAACATTTGCTTTTTATTAGAAACCTTAAGAGTCCAAGTCTTGAATTTTTACTACTGAAAACAGTACAAACTACAGATGATCATGGTTACTTTAACTTAAATCATATTCAAAACTATTACTAAATAGTGCTAACTAGAACCTGGGAAGGGTAGAGGGAAGGGGAGATAAGGAAAGGATTTTTTAACCAATATGAAATTACAGCTAGATAAGAGGAGTAAGTTCTAGTGTTCTATAGCACTGTGGGGTGATGATAGTTATTATTTATTTAATATTTTAAAATGGCTACAAGAGAGAACTTTGAATGTTCTCAACACAAAAAATGTTTGAGGTGACACTAATTACCTTGATTTGATCATTGTGCATTGTATACAGGTATTGAAATATCACACTGTACTCCATAAATATGTACAATTATTAAATGTCAACTAAAAAAGATTATTCATATTAAGAAAATGCTCTTAAAAAATGACCCTGAGTTTTTTGCCTGCTTCCTGATGAGCGAGGAGACCTGTGGTCTGGTTCTTGGACTTCCTTAGCCACATGGCCCCCAAACACCTGTCTCCACTCCCACCTCAAGTGAAGAAACCAAGACCACCTCCTGCCCTGAGACCAGAGAAGACATTGACTTCTGCAGGCTTACTGAAGAAGGGAGAAGAAGAGCAAGAAGCAATTGAACACATTGATAAAGTACGAAATGAAATAGACAGACTTAATGAACAAGCCAGTGAGGAGATTTTGAAAGTAGAACAGAAATATAACAAACTCCGTAAATAATTTTCTCAGAAGAGGTCAGAATTGATTGCCAAAATCCCAGATTTTTGGGTAACAACATTTGTTAACCATCCAAAAGTGTCTGCACTGCTTGGGGAGGAGGACGAAGAGGCAGTGCATTACTTGACCAGAGTCGAAGTGATGGAATTTGATGACATTAAATCAAATTGCTGAATAGATTTTTATTTTGATGAAAATCCTTACTTTGGAAATAAAATTCTCTCCAAAGAATTTCATCTGAATGAGAGAGGTGATCCATCTTCAAAGTCCACTGAAATCAAATGGAAATCTGGAAAGGATTTGACAAAACATTCAAGTTAAACACAGAATAAAGCCAGCAGGAAGAAGCAGCATGCGGAACTAGAGAGTTTTTTACCTGGTTTACTGACCATTCTGATGTAGGGGCTAATGAGTTAGGAGAGGTCATCAAAGATGATATTTGGCCAAACCTATTACAGTACTACTTGGTTTCCGATATGGATGATGAAGAAGGAGAAGGAGAAGATGATGATGAAGATGAAGAAGGAGAAGGAGAAGATGATGATGAAGATGAAGAAGGAGAAGGAGAAGATGATGATGAAGAAGAGGAGAAAGGATTAGAAGGTATTGATGAAGAAGGGGATGAGGATGAAGGTGAAGAAGAAGAAGATGATGATGAAGGGGAGGGAGAGGAGGATGAAGGAGAAGATGACTAACAGAACACTGATGGATTCCAACCTTCTTTTTTAAATTATTATACTTAAGTTCTGGGATACATGTGCACAACGTGCAAGTTTGTTACATAGGTATACATTGCCATGTTGGTTTGCTGCACCCATCAACTCATCATTTACATTAGGTATTTCTCCTAATGCTATCCCTCCCCCGGGCCCCCACCCCCCGACAGGCCCCGGTGTGTGATGTTCCCTGCCCTGTTTCCATGTGTTCTCATTGTTCGACTCCCACCTATGAGTGAGAACATGCAGTGTTTGGTTATCTGTCCTTGTGATAGTTTGCTGAGAATGACGGTTTCCAACTTCATCCATGTTCCTGCAAAGAGTCTGTCTCCTTTTGGGATGGAGTCTCGCTCTGTCGCCCAAGCTGGAGTGCAGTGGCGCGATCTCGGCTCACTGCAACCTCCGCCTGCCGGGTTCAAGCGATTCTCCTGCCTCAGCCTCCCGAGTAGCTGGGACTACAGGCAAGCACCACCACACCCGGCTAATTTTTTGTATTTTTAGTAGAGACGGGATTTCACCGTGTTAGCCAGGATGGCCTCAATCTCCTGAACTTGTGATCCGCCCGCCTCGGCCTCTCAAAGTGCTGGGATTACAGGCGTGAGCCACCGCTCCCGGCCCCAACTTTCTTTTTTAAAAAATTTTCTCCAATCCCTGGGAGCAAGTTGCAGTCTTCCTTTTTCCCTTTTTTTTCCTCTTGTGCTCAGTCGCCCTGTTCTTGAGATCTCTTTTCTCTACACCATGGTTCTCAACTTATTTTGGGAGAAATACCTTGAGCAGAATACAATGGAAAAAGTGTCTCTACCCCTTTCTGTTCAAAATTCATTTTTATCCTTTCCTGTCTGAACAAAAACTGTACAGAATCAACACCACTGAACTCTGTGGGAAAAAAGAAAAACCTGTTCCCTTTGCTCTGCTGGAAGCTGGAAGTTGTGAGGCCTCTGTGTAGCAGTGCACAGAATTCTAGCTTCTTTTCTCCTTTCTCTGTACCTTGGGCTCAGAGAGTACACCATGTCTCTATGTGAATATGCACAGTTAGCATTTCCCAACATGCATCTGTCTACTTTCTCTTGTTTAAAAAAAGACAAAAACACTTTAAAAAATGGAGTTATAGAAGGTGCAAAGGGTGGGTTGGAGATGTTTGGGTTAAGTGGGCATTTTGACAGCATGGCTTCTGCTTTGGCATGTTCAATTGTGATATTTGACAGACATCCTTACAGTTTAAGATGACACTTTTAAAATAAATTCTCTCTGAATGATGACTTGAGCCCTGCCACTCAATGGGAGAATCAGCAGAACCTGTAGGATCTTATTTGGAATTGACATTCTCTATCGTAATTTTGTTCCTGTTTATTTTTAAATTTTCTTTTTGTTTCACTGGAAGGAAAGGAAAGATGATGCTCAGTTTTAAAGGTTAAAAGTGTACAAGTTGCTTTGTTACGATACAACTAAATGTGTACACAAAGGATTTGATGCTTTTCTCTCAGCATAGATATGCTTACTATGACCTTCCAAGTTTGACTTGTATAACATCACTGTCAAACTTTGTCACCCTAACTTCATATTTTTTGATACACACTTTACAGGAAAACCTCAGGGCTATGTGGATTTAGTAATGGGATTTGAATCATTCTGTTAATATCTCCCTAGCTGGGAAACATGGGTACCATTCGCCATTGGTTTCTGATAATATTCACATCATTTGGGATACCAGAATGCTCAATACTCAGTTCTCAGAACGTTGTGCCCTTGATTTTTAATCTCCAGGTGGCAGTTTTTAAAATTTGCCTTTTACCGGGATATAAAGTAATAGTGCCTGCCACTACCATCAAATAGACCTGGTGCTTTAATGCCAAGCTATATATAGGGCAGTTGCTGGCATGTCTTCACTGGCTATGTAAAATGTGGCCAAGAAGATGGGCTCTCAGAGTAAGAAGTCTGTGTTAATTAGGAGTAACTGTCCCAGCTCTCTGGTGTAAAGTTGTTCAAATATGACTATATAAATCTGGGTGGGGTAATGGACTCAGCTCTGTCTGCTCAATGCCATTTTGCAGAGAAGAAGCGTAATGCGGAAGCTTTTTAATGTTGTTAAAGTATAATAGCTGAAATTAAATGCCACTTTTTCAGAGGAGAATTAATGGACAATCTGGTGAAATTCAAAGCTTTTTGATGTATAAAACTTGATAAATGGAACTATCCCACCAACAGGCAAAAGTGTAACAACCTATGTAGATGGATAGTATGTAATTTCTGTATAGGTCTCTGTTTAGTAAATACATCACTGTATAGGAATCAGGAATCTTGCTCCAGTGAAAGAACATAAAGATTTTTTGGGGGAAAGAATGACTCTAAGAGATTGGCTCATTTTTCCTCACCTGGTGAAGCACAGCTAGAAATAAGAGATAAGCCAAAGAGACATTTTATGCATATGTCTCAAACTCTATGCATGCAAGGCTCTTTGCTTTATTCCAAGTAGGTACGTCAGTCTTTATTCTGAGCCTTTTCTTTCTTAATTCATGTAAAACTCTGTCAAGGTTGGCTTTGGGTTTTTAGTTCAGAAGAGAGTAATACTGCATCAGACTATTAGGAAGGCAGGTCCACAGTAAGTGACCCACTAACGTGTTCACTAGGTCACACGGTTTTGTAAAATTTCCAAAGGTAAGATATCTTAACCACAATTGGTTCAGACTGCCTGCTGCCACTCTGACTTGCCCTCCAGCACACATCACCTCATGTCAGATGGCATTGAAGAGGCTGTAGGCGTTTTTTGAGCTCTAGCTAAGTAGAAGTCAATTAGGGTTTGTTGGAATATATATGTATATTTTATAGTTACTTCTGTGTATTATTAAATTATTGCTAGCGTAACCAGAGTAGGAATGTCTTCCAGGAATATGCCCACTGTCCAATTTGGTATCTAATTTTGTATTTGTAATTTTGTATTTTTTTTTAAGAGTCCCTCCTCCCAACAACCAACAATTGTCTGAGCTTCAGTTCCCTAAAATTTCGGATCCACCCTTGGCATTATGCTAATGTATGAAGAACAGCCAGTTAGAAATGTTAAAACAAAGAATTCAGCAGGAAAACAAACCCTTGTTAATTAGTGTAAACAAAAGATAAGAAAGCGCAGCGCCCTTGATCTATTTAGCATGTGGATAAAGAGCTAACAAACTTCAGCAGATCCTGAGGCCACCACTGTGGTAAAGCATGTGTAATAATTGATGTTAGTAGTAATGATCTTGAGTCATGAAGGAAAGCTTAAACTGTTGAATATACTCGTTAAAAATACAGAGAAATTTATAATTCATCTTAGGAATATTTTCTACAAATGTTTAAAATAGAAATGTTGGTGCTTACACATTCAAATTTTCAATGATCCAGAAACATACCCAAGAACAATTAATTATCCAAGGGTTTAGCTGGCCTGGGTTTTATTCTGGTTTGGTTATGTAAAGCTGGAATGGTGGGTTATGATCTTTATTCCAAAAATCAGAGTAGTGTGCTGGACCAATCAGTTGAATCCAACTTCCCTTGTCCTAACTGCACACGTTTAGCACATTTCTCAAAGAATTGTCACCAGTGAGGTAGGCTACCCTTAGAAAGTGCTGGAGAACTGAGAATTCTGCTAAAGGTGTTTGTGAAGGCAGAATAGTGTCAAGGATGGGCTATAGGACATAGAGCCAAGCAAATGTACTTATACTTGCTTAAAGAGAGAGAGAGAGAAGAGGAGAGAGAGAGAGAGAAGCAATAGTTGCCAACATTTATTGAATACTTACAACGTGTCAAGCACTGTGCAAAATATTGCTTCATATAAATCATGTGTCTGAATTAATCAGCCTAACAACTCAATCAAGAAGCTATTTATTAGTCCCATTCTTCAGAGTAGGACATTAAGGCTAAGAAAAGTTAAGAGATTTGTCCAAGATCAGAGAGCTTCCTAACCCTGGCACTATTAAGATTTGGGGCTGTATAATCCAAGGGAAAGTTCTGCAACTTTTAGATGTTTAGAACATCTTTGGCCTCTATGCCTTTACCCACTTGATACCTGTTGTGGCAAATAAAAATATCTTCAGATATTGCCAAATGCCTCCTTGGGATGTGGAATCATCTTTGGCTGAGAACTGTTTACCAGCAGGCATGGAGTCACTGCTATAAACCCAACCTCCACTGGTGCTCCTTCTGCAGCCAGAGGGCGGGACCTCCTCTCTGTTATATGGACACATTGTATGCTAAGTATCAGGCAGCCTTGCCAAATGCTCCACAACCTGGAACTGGACACAGGGAGGCTTTCGGGCCCTGCCCACAGTTCCAGGCCCTGACACTTCTATCAGGCAATTGCTGGGCCACCCCTTTTGGAGAACTCCATATCCTACCAGAAATCTATAGAGGCTTGTGGCTATTCTTATGCCTTCCCTCAGTTAGGTCCCACTTTCACTCTGCTTAGCATCCAATCCTCAGAAACTGAGGTTGAGAGTTGTGGCTGTATCCTACTTTCACTAAAGAAGGTGGGATTGTAAATTTTTTAATTTTCCATTCTTTTAAACTTTTATATGTCTTTTGGGAGGGGAATTGAACCAAAATACTTCTATTCTGTGATCCTTACTAGGAGCCTTGGTCCAGTTTTAGTTCCTGTGTCTCAAATCTGTGAAAGAGAGGGAGAGACAGATGGACAGAGAGAATGCAGGTGTCTAAATGTAAACCCATGCGTGTAGAGTTTTAACATTAGCTACGCTTCTTCCTAAATTGACGTTGGGATGAAGCTCCAAGAAGGTACATAGAGCTCTTCTTAGAACTATAGAATTTCAGAAAAACATTTAAAAAATCTTGTTGTGGGAATAATATAATGATGCAAAATTCCTTTGAAAATTACTGTAAATATGCAGTGACATTAAATGTGCTTGAAAATTATATACTACTTAATGACATAATTAATCTTTTATATCTGTTAACCGAGATGAATACAAAAATATGCTGTCTTCTTTATTCAAACACCTGAAAAGTCAAGTTTCTTGACAAGCCTTACAGGCTTGTTATCATCCGTGTGTGTGCTCAAAACTTCGTACCATCAGACAGCCCAGGGGAGTGCCAGCAGTTGCAGTGTAAGGACCGTTTTTATCTAGCTTATTCTGTGAAGCACATTAAATGTTTCTCATATATTTCAAAATCTTAAAAGCATTTGTGGATGACAGTGACTTTAACAATTCTGAGAGTAGAAAGTGCTCAGTGGTTTTGAGCATTGGGGGATTCAATCTAGGTTAGGGATCCCTTCTCCCCTCCTCCGCTCTCTCTTGTCCTTTCTTTGCCTCCCTAATCTTCCCTCCTCCTTTCTCTTTCTCTTCTCTCCTTTCCTTTCTCTTCTCTCATTCTCTTTCTCTCACATATACACATGTACTCCCACCCCTCTTTTTTCGAAGGTTTTAAATTCCATCCCTTGATGAATAATTTTAGTAATTGCCCAGTGATAGTGCTAATTAAATTAGACCTCCAGAGGGAAGGCTACTCTTGAGTCTAAATGGCCTTGTGAGTTTTCCTATCTCTACTTCTATTCTAGCAAACTTCTAGAAAGCCTCTGCCTTGCTTGTCTTTAGTTTTACTATCTTCTGCTTATTAAGTATTTATCTCTTACCCTGCTCCCCACATATTATAAGCTCCTCAGGGCAGAAACTATGCCTTTTAAATGGATGCTATTCTAGTGACTACTCAGGAAATGTTTGTTGACATATTTGACATGTTGAGTCTCCCAGGTCTATGGCTGCTAATGAGACATTGCTGGTCACTTCTTCCTCCTCTTGGGCAGCCCCCTTTAGGATAACTATATGCCAGACCTCTTTAGTATAACCATTTTGGTACAAAACATGTTGAAGCTTTATGTTCCATTCCACCTCAGAAGAACAGCAAGAAAACAAACAGAGTGACGTACCATTTTCTCAAGAAACCATGGAGTGCAAAATAGCAGAAATCACCAGTGCCTGGCCTTATGCCTGCATGCTTTCTGAGCTTGGATTCCTGGTGCATAAATCACTGCATGACTCTGGCTTCCCCATACTTGAGGTTGTGAAGGCACCAGGATGGGGAAAAACCCTGCAGGATTTTAATCTTACGTGCATCATCCATAGGCTTCTCCCCCTTCTTGCCACTACTGGCTCAGGACACACACATAGTTCAATGAAATAAAACATATTTGTTCCCTATCTTTCAAACAGTCTTTTCCAATCTAATGTATCAAAGACATTCAAAAGTTTGAGCAAAGGCTGTTCTTTCTCTGACTTTGTTTCATCATGGGCAAGTCTGCTAAGGAAAACAGCACATGCTAGCCAGAAGAACTTGAAAAAGTCCAAGATGTATAGATTTCTCATTTCTGTCCCCAAAATCTTTCTATTTATATTCTCTGAGTGTCAAAATGGATATGACTCAGCTGTGATCCACCAAAAGATGAGGCAGCGTGTTAATTCAACCCTCACTCTCTCTATCAGCATATGGCAAGGTTTATGGCTGCCAAAAAATGCACAAGCTCTTGCCCCCAAATATGAATGAGCAAAACACCCTGTGCTTTATGAAACCAAAGGCTGCATCTCCACCAGCTTGCACTGGATATGCAGTCTTTCTGGGCCTGACCGGGCTGAAGGTACAAATGATGCACAGGATGAGGAGTTGGTCTTTCCCATGCGGGGTTTGTGCCATACTCTTCTCTCTGAAAGTCTGCCTTGCTGCAGCCTCCATCCCCATCTTCCAAGAGAAATCGTACAAAAGATCTCTCTCCCCAAGTCCTTCTGAAGTAGTCTCTCCTTTAAAAAACAACCAGGACATTGTTTCCTGAGCATTTGCCAGGAATGCCAGAACAAGGCTTATCTCCACCAATAGAGAAATAACAAACATCATTCCTTTTCAGAAAACATGGCATGTATACATGCATATTTGGGGTAAAGGTAGGGAGAATGAATTATCCCTTTCAAGCAAGTTGTGAGTTTTTTTTTTTTTTTCCTCTCGTTGTCCAGGCTGGAGTGCAATGGTGCAATCTTGGCTCACTGCAACCTCCACCTCCCAGGTTCAAGTGATTCTTCCGCTTCAGCCTCCCAAGTAGCTGGGATTACAGGCAACTGACACCAAGCCTGGCTAATTTTTGTATTTTTAGTTGAGACAGGGTTTTGCCATGTTGACCAGGCTGGTCTCGAACTCCTGACCTTAGGTGATCCACCCGCCTTGGCCTCCCAAAGTGCCGGGATTACAGGCGTGAGCCACCACGCCCAGCAGTGGGTTTTTATCTAACAGAGTAAGTTTTTCCTGGTGAGTGCTGGCCCCACTGGCAAGAGGCTTAATGGTAATTTTGTTGCCATCAGATGCTGAGATTAGCTCCTGAGCTTTGTCTCTTGAGGACTACCTGGGTCTGGGAGGTGAAGATGAGAACTGGCATGTGGTTGCGCTGAGAGTTGTTTGTACAGGGTTGCCATGATATGAAACTGGGGTTACACTGCCATTCATTTTTTTCTCTCCTGTTTTCCCTGGACAGTCTGTAACGAATCCATTGTTAGCAATGTGTGTGTTCAGTCGTTTAGTAAAATTCCAGCCTATTCTTGTGGTGCTGATGAAAACTGAGAGAGAGCAAGGGAATTTGGACTTCTGACTCATCTCTTTTAAGCACTTTGAAGGCTCTGTCTGCCTTGAATGGTGATGGCAGGTGAGGTCGAGAGCCAGCTTCTTCTTGGCTCTGGCAAGAAGTCACGGAGCCCTATACCCTTAGAGTTTTATTCTTCAGATGTCTAAATTGTTTTTCTAAACTGCTTTAGCGAGAAACCCTGTGCAACTGATAGGGGGCGGAGGCATCTGTGTGCTTGAGAGCTCCTTGTTGTCGATGTTGGTGTCTAGAGAACCCACATCCCAGTCCATTCCCATCTGGCCCGAGATGAAGCAGCTCCTCAGAGCTGTTCCTTTTAAGTTCTTCCCCCACCTCCTACCTAATGCACTGTACTTGAAAACTTATTCAATGATATAATACTATAATGATCATTGAAATGCCTCAGGAGCCTGGAAATGGCTCAACTTTGATCAACTATTAATTTTTTTATTTGTTCAATGGACCCAGGAAGAAAGAGAGGGTCTGCTGCCATCCAGTTGACCACCAAAACCTCAGTGAATCTTGGCATAGATTTGCTCCCTGCCAAGAGAAGCTGGACTATTGCCTGAAGCAGCAAGAGATGAATGGTTCCTTCTGTAGGTCCTGGCATGAAAACATCTCATTGTTCTATCCTGGTCTATAGGGGCTGCGACTGGGCCCCCCTCAGAGACCTCAAGCACACCAGCCTCCAGGAGAGTCGCCTGCCAGCTTCCCAAGTCTGAAGAGAACATTCCTCCCTCTTTCCTGATGTCATCAAAGCCAGTGGTTGGGTCTGGGTTGAGGAGTCTCGGTTTTTCCTCTTTTGTGACCTCAAAAATAAGTCCCCAGGTTTCCTAGTCCATGAGAAGAAGAGTGGAAGAAAAACCCCTGAAACAGAAGTGCAATTTTTTTTTTTTTTACAAACAAATCTCCATGATCATAAAGTTATACAATGTTAAAGCTAGATGATCAAGTAGCCAAACCGCCTGGCTTTGCAGTTGAGGAAACTGAGGTCCAAAAGGATTAGGAGACATGCTTAAAGATTTGATACCTGCTAACACCTCATCAGAGACACCTTACAATATCAAATGTAATAGGGAAAAAGTGAGAAAAGAATACCTTCCTAAGTGACATCATCTCCCCAAGTGCTACTCATCTTTGTGCCCTCAGCAGTTAGCACAGAGAAGGCTCTGTAAATGCTTTCAATGAGTATGAAAAAGTACCTAGCACAAGACTGTCTTATGTTGTAATTTTGCGTTTACCCATAATTAGCTCAATAAATATGTATTAAATTATTATGACAGCTAATGCTTCTTGCGTATACTACATAGCATGTTACATACCAGGTATTTTGCATGTATTGTAGGTATTTGCATACCTGTGTTGTAGATAACATCACTATCTCCGTTTCACAAATAAGGAGGCAGAAGCGTCGAGAGGTTTGGTACTTACCACTGTCACAGAACTGACAGTGATGGAGTTAAGATTCAAGCTCAGGGTGACTGGCTGCAGAGCCCATTCTTAGCTTCTACACTGTCTTGCAGAAATTAGTTGTATGCCTAGCACTGTGCTGGAGTTGTAGAAGATAGTCAGTTTTCTTAAGAAGTTTACATTTTCTGGGAAAAACATGATCTGCATCGCAGCAGAGCTTTGAGCTGGGGCAGTGGTAGAAGGAACCAGAGGAGTGACCGCGATGGTTTTCCCTGTGTTCTGGCTTCTCCTTTTCATCTTTGGGAAAATTTACCCTATAAATACTGAGAAAGTAGAGATAAGCTTGAAGATTCATAAGAGACTGCTGCTGCCCAAGAGTATATGAGGGAGCAAAGAAGGAAAATACATTGGCCCCAGAGGAGGGTAGTCCTTCTCTCTTGTGTAGACACACACACACACACACACACACACGGAAGTTGAGGTTGCCTGTATTGGGTTCTGGATTTCATAGTTTTCTAAGTCAGTCACACGTCCAGAGAAAGATGAGTTGGATGATTTGGAAACCAGACAATATGGTTGTCATTTTAGTTATTCTTTCAGAAGTAATTTAGTGAATGTCCATCATGTAGCCACTAGTACTCCAGACCTTGTGAATATTGGCAATGATCAATAAGAAATGGTCTTTGCCCTCAAGGTACTCTTGTGCATCACTAGTGAAGTTTACAGTGCAGTGAAATAAAACCTGTGATTGGGGTGAGGGCAGGTACTTTGCCAAATCCTGACCATATTAAAATGATTAGGGTGCAGTCATTTAAGGGGAAGACTGAAGCTCTTTTCCTTGGAGAAGACAGACATAGGAAGAAATGAGAGTTGACATCTTGGAGAGGAGATCCATCATGACGACCTAGGCTGTGAGCCTCTAGGTCCTGGGAGAGCTTGGGCAGGATGGGGATGGGCTTTGGTCACAGATGTTGTACAGGAAATTCCACAATGGCTGTGAGGAAGTACTGAATGACCTCAAAGATTCTTGGAGACTTCAATACTTTATAATACTCTGTCCCGATATGAGTGGGCAAATGCAGGCAGAGGTGTAGGACTCACAAGGAATCCTTTACAGCTCCTAACTCCTTGCATTTCCATGGCATGGAGTAGAAAAGCGTAAATGAGCAGAGGGCCTGCAGGGGTGCGGGGAGCAACAGCAAGGCCACTCTGGGGTGCGGGGAGATGTGGAGGGACTTGTAAAATGGTGTTTGACCTTCTCAGGCTTAGAATTCTACTAGGTCCCTGATGCCCTTGGAAAACACATTGATTGAATTCTGGAAGAGCTTTATCAGCCTTGAAGCTCCCATTTAGCTTACCTGTGTGCTGCCTGCTCCACTCATGGGAATCAGTGTTCTTCTATACAGTCCAGTGCACAAGCCTGAACACCAGGAAGACGTCGTACTTATGGGATGCAGTTATCAGAGGCATTCTATTGCCTGAACATACCATAGTATGTCCATGTGGACCTCTAGGCCTTTGCTCAGACTGCACCATCTGGAGCACCTCCCCTCAGGGCAGCAGTTACAAATGTGCAGACTGTGCCTTATGTAAGGCCACCAAGCTGAAGAGTCTGGAAGAATTGGCGTCTCGCCTACAGCCCACACTCTGGGCACCTTGGGTGGAACTGTGTTGGATTTGAGGTAGAGCCTTTTCCTCATTTAAACAAAGGGATCCTACCACTGGCTGCAGTCCTGTCTCCTCACTCCCCAGCTGTCTCAATCCTACTCACATCTGTTCCATTCCCCACCCCTCAACACCACCATCCATGCACGATTAATGCTCCTCCCTTAGCTTTCTCAAAGCACCTTACTTATAACTTTAAATCCCTATCATGGCCAAAATTATTTTCTTATTGCTTTGACGTCATATGATTCTAGCTTGGCAGTTATGTACTGTCTTGAAGATACTACTCCCCTGTCTTTTCTGGCTTAATGCTATCACAGAGAAGCTTGTATTGTTCTAATTGCTATTCCTTTGTAGGAAATGTGTCTTTTCTCTTTGGATACTTTTAAGATAATCTCTGTGTTTGGTGTTCACAGTCTCACCATGATGGATTGTTTGCAAATTTCCTTGTAGTTAATATATTTGGGATTTTTTGGAATTCCTAATGTTTGAGAAATCCTCAGTTATTATCTCTTTGAATATTATTTCTTGATCATTCTCTTTATCATCTCCTTCTGGATTTCCAATTATATAGATAGCATTCATTCTTACTGTATTCTCCATATGTCTTTAACCATTATAGCAAATATTTCCATTGCTTTATCTGTCTGGGTTGCATTCTGGATAATTTATTTGCATTCATGTTCCAGTTCACTAATCTATATTTAGGTGTGCATGTGTCTAATTCCATACATTAAAGTTGTAAGCTCCTTACAGTGAGGGACTGCATCTATTTCATCTTGGTTTCATGACTAGTACACAGCCGGTGATAAATAGTGTTTGCTGAAATGAATTTGTTGGCATGTCTGAGAAGCAATTGTTAAGCTGATCTTCCTGTGTAATCCGAGGTAGAAATATATGCTGAAATATAAGTTAGTTACCCATTGGCAAGGAAAGAGGGACCATGGTCATTTAGCGCTTACAGTAATGGCATATGGAACTGGTTGGCTTGTACTGCTCTGTCTGTAGTTCAAGGGCAGGTTAGGTCAGGCAGAAGCATGTGACACGTGTGTTCAAAAACCATGGCCAAGCCAGGGTCTCTCTTCTTCAAATAAAACTCCTAAATACCATCCCACTTATGCAATAAAACTTGGGGCAGGAAATGAAACATTTGAATTGGATACCTCCCCCAGCTCGTCGTGGGTATAATCTTGACATTCTCTCTCACTTAAAAATGCATGAAGGAAGGTTACCACCAAGGAAAAGGAGTTTGGTAAGCCTCAAAAAGCTTGTTCAGACTAGTCATGGTACCTCATCTCAGGCACCAGGTAAATGGGACAAGGGTAGGCAAACAATGCCTGCAGTCTGCCTTTAGAAAAACCTGATGCTGCTTGTAATCATGCAGCCCATCATGTTTCATTAAAATAGAGATTCATCTCTGCTGTTGTTACAGAGCAGATGTCTGACCCTCAGTTGCTGTACCCAGCTGCTGGTGGCCACAGTCATGCACAGGCAGGGTCACAGTCCAGAAAAGATATGCATGACTTCAGAGGGAGTTTCCTGGAGTGTTTTTGGCAAGAGGGAAAGGGATAGTGGGAAGGCCAAGCTCTCCCTGTGGCAGTCAGTGTCTGGCATTTAGCCATTCTTCAGTGGGAGGTTCTTCAGGAGAAACATGAAAATCAGTCTTCAGGGTAGTTCAACAAAAGAGCATGGTGGTGATTTTGAGATTCCACCCAATGAGAAAGGAATCTCAGTGCACAGTGGATTTTCCCATCACAGCTTATGGGATTATCAGGCTAATCTGCACCTTCTCTTGTCTGTCAGTGCTGCTGCAGAACAGTTCCAAAGCCACAAAGAAGGAGCTGGCCCACTGTTCCAGAGAAGGCCATCTGAAACAGCAGGAGGCCCTGGAGTCCCTCTTTGGCAATTCTGAATTGAGTATGTTGGGTGGTATCTGTAGTGATCCCAAAGAGTGTCACCAAATTCTCTCAATTAAATTAATTTTAATTAACTTTATTATTAATAAAAAATTATCAAAAAGCATATAGTAGCAGTATCTGATAGAGCCAAACATTCAAGAGTGACTGTGGAAGCCTGGAAGTCAGGAAGCTTGGCTGAATTAAATCCAATAAAACACAAACCCACAGCTGATGGTTCCTGGGTCCCACAGGAACCCCCCAGCTCTTGGGTCCACATAGGGGAACAGATGGCAGCACCAGTAGGTCATACTCTGATTTCCTCTGCCTAGAAATCTGCTCCTTTATCACAGCTGGGGATTTCAGCTATTCCTGATGGCAGCGATTTCCATCTGGGCCTGTGGTGAAAAATAAACTTTTCCTGAACCATTAAAATTCATAAAGCTGTTAACAGTTAAGATGTAAAAAGCTCTTGAGATGTCTCTGTGCATGTGATTGTTGTCTGTTTACTGTGAAAACAATCATACCTGTGGCAAAAATTCAATATACTTATAAAATTGAATCTCTCGTGTCAAGATCCTGTGACTTACTGCCACAGAGGTAAGAAGAAAATGAGATAGCAGTGAGGAAAGTGCTAGTTTGAAGATGATAATATCACTACCATCTTCTCTTAGAGCTCTTCAGGGAAAATGTAGGAAAGAAAATTTAAGATAAAATTCTTTGAGTTTCAAAAATTGAGGATAGGAATTACAGCATGAAAATTTAGATATTAGATAGAAATCTAGACAGAAAACCAGACCAGAATTTTTTGGGCAGTGTGGGTTTCTTGTTTACCCTAAACATTCTGGGGCAACCAAGTTGGTCTCTAAACCATCAGTTCACTATTTAAGGAAAAACAAATGCCTAGAAGCTCTTCCAAATGAAGCTCATTCAAAAGATTCTGCCAGCAGTTCCCCACCAGGGTCGAGGAGAGATGCAGGCTCCCAGTGAGATGTGGGCTAAGATGGTAACAGGTGCTCTCTCATGAGGTCAGCTACCACACAAAATAGGAATCTAACGTTTCCAGATATTTAGTTTTCTCAAGAGAATCTAGAATTTGGGATTTTTGTATGAGATCTCATGATTTTTAAACATTGATATATAAAAAAATAAAAAGCCATCATTTGGGCCAAACAAACCATGACTATGGGCTAGATTTGACCTGCTGGCCATCAGTTTGCACCTCAAATAGATAGATAAATTCCACAAATGTTTGTTGAGGTCTGTTTTATGCCAGGCATTGTCCTAGATGCTATGGACACAGAGGCAAGGAGAATGCTGTGTGTACTCCTGTGAACTTGGCAGCCCAGAGGAAAAGACTGACCTGTAAGGAGATCATCTGAGTGCACTGTGGAGGGTGATTTGGGTAACAGCTAACCCACCTGCAGAGTGGGCATGTCACAGAAGACCTCCTGCAGGTAATGACGTGGAGGAGTTGAGTCTTGAACCTCAGTTGAATCTTGAGGAATTTACCAGGTGACAAAGGGAGATGAGATAGAGATAGGACATGCCAGGAAAAGGTCACAGCAAGAGCTGAGGATAAGCAGTCTGGCCTGTGTAGATACCTACATAAAGCTCAATGCATGACACAGGTGAGGCCAGGGATAGGTGGACCATTGATATAGTTTGATATTTGTTCCTCCAAATCTCATGTTGAAATTTGATCCTCAATGTTGGAGGTGAGGCCTAGTGGGAGGTATATGGGTCGTGGGGACAGATATCTCATGAAGGGCTTTGTGCCATCCCAGCAGCAATGACTGAATTCTCACTCTATGCATATGTATATATATGTATGATAGAGTCTTGGTCTGTTACCCAGGCTGGAGTGCAGTGGTGTGAAGTCAGCTCACTGCAGCCTACACCTCTTGGGTTCAATTGATTCTCCTGCCTCAACCTCGCAAGCAGCTGAGACTTCAGACATGTGCCACCATGCCTGGGTAATTTTTTTTGTATATTTTTTTAGTAGACACAGGATTTTGCCATGTTGGCCAGGCTGGTCTTTAACTCCTGACCTCAAGTGATCTGCCCACCTCAGCCTCCCAAAGTGCTGGAGTTACAGGCGTGAGCCATCACACTTGGTCTCTCACTCTATTTAGTTCGCACAAGAGCTAATTGTTTAAAAGAGCTTGGCACCTCCCCCACTTCCTCTCTTGCCATGTGATGCCAGCTCCACTTTTCCTTTTGCCATGACTGGGATCTTCCTGAGGTCTTAACCAGAAGCAGATGCTTGTGCCATTTTTCCCGTACAACCTGCAGAATGGTGAGTTAAATAAATCTCTTTTCTTTATAAACTGCCCAGCTTTGGGTATCCCTTTATAGCAATGCAAAACAGATTAAGACACCCGTGGAGGACTTTGACATATCAACTTGTTTGGGCTTTATCCCAAGCAATGGGATGCCCATGGAATGCTTTAAGCAGGGCAGAGATGGGGTGAGATTGGTGTTTTAAAACTATTCTTTCAGCAGTTGAATACAGCATACATTGAAAAGGGATGAAAACTGACAGTAGAGAGAATACTCAGCAGGCTAGGGTAGCAAAACTGGCAAGAGATGATCAGAGCATGAGCGAGGGTTGGAAAGAAAAATGGGAATTTAATAACTATTTAGGAAATTAAATTAGCTGGACAGGCAGATGGAAGAAGAGGATGAAGGGGGCCGAGTCAAAGGTGACTAAGGTTCTAGGCCCAATGATGAGTGGATGGTGGCTAGAGAGACCATCTCCATTTGCCTGGATTGTGACAGTTTTAAGATTGAGAGTCCCACATCCTCAGAAGCCCTTCAGTCCTGGGAAAATGGGAATGGTTGGTCACTCTAGTGATGGTTTTCAAACTAACATGAGGAATAGTAGAAGAAGCTGTAAGTTTGGGATGTTGAGGAGATAATAAGTTTGATTTGGAGCATATTGACTGAGGTGCCAGTGGGCAACTAAGTTAGGATATCAAGAAGGCACTTGGAATGAGTCTATAGCTCAAGAACAGGAGGACTTTGACTTGGATAGAGTATATTTGGGAGCCACCAGCATAAACAGAAGTGGGTTAAGTCACCCAAGGAGTAGCATAAAAAGAGAAGTGAATCAAGAATTAAATGCTGCAGAATGAAACATTGGAAACTTCCATGTTTAAGGAGCATATCTAGAAAGAAGGGCCAGTGGAACAGGCTGAGATGGAACAGTCAGAGTGTAAGAAGGAAAGGCTGAAGACAGGGTGTTAGAAGGCATACGAGTAGAGTGTCTCAAAGCATGAGCAGTCATTAGGGTCAACGGCAAGGAAGATGTCCAGTACTTTGAGGAGAGAAGACGATGTCTCATCATCGGTAATCTTTGCAGAAACCCTCTCAGTGGTTTGATTGTGGGAGCCAGGTTGCTTCCAGGGAGAACGGAATGTGACTTGAGAAAATGGAGACAGTGAGTTCAGTCTAATCATCTGAGAAGCTTGAGGAAAAGGGAACAAGAGAGATAAAGCAAGAACCTGATGACCATGTAAAGTTAAGGGGCAGTAATTTAAGATGAGTGAGAACTGAACAAGCTTATAAACTGACAGGAAAAGCTGGTAAAAAAAAAAATAGAGAATTAAAGATGTGGTGCCCAAGAGAGGTGATTAATGCATCAGGGACCCTGGGGAGATAAAATGATAAGAGATGGATTCAAAACCAGAGAGGAGGATGTTGGCTTTGAGTCGGGGGCTGGCAGGGAGGATCCAACATACTCTGGGACTGTGGGAGGGAGGACAGGTTAGGGTGAGGTAGGGGAAGGAGCAAGAACAGCCTGAAATGGGAAGCTGTGAAGCAAAGAGCTGTGGTTAATGTCAGGCGGAGAAGACTGAGAAATGAGGAGATATTGATGGAAATGGTGGACATGAAGACACCCTCAGCCGCTACTTTTAAGAAGAATGATAATAGTCCAAGATTCAGAGTACTTTAAGGTACAGTGGATATACAGTTTTTGGAAAACTTTAGTAAATAGATATTTTGGAAGTGACTGACTGCATGCTATTTGATTGAGGGGATTATCAAATTATTCTCTTTAGAATTGAAGGACCTAAGTGATTAGCTTTGTCTCACACATGCATGCACACATACATACACGCATATGTGTGCACACACACAGACACACTCACCCCTTATATGTAAACAAGGTACAACCTGCTCAGACTCCAAAACAGGCATTAAAATACTAAAAGTATTGCTTTTAGACACAGTTAGGCTTGTTTTTAGACACAGTTAGTTTTTGCTAGGTGGGAGGCTGGTGTATAAATACAGAAAGGCAACGTCAAGCCATTTTTTTCCAATTAAAATTGTATACTCAGTTAGGTTGAGTTTAGAAATCACAGAGGAGCCATTCAAAGCCCACTGGAGACACATGCTTTAAGAGGAAATTACCAAAGGCGATGAAGCAGGGCTCTGCTCCGTGCCAGTCAGTGGGTGAAGCCACAGCAGCACAATGCCTACCAGAGAGAGCCGATGCCCCGCCAGCAGCCAGCAGGGAGGCCTCTATACGCTGCCTCCGTGAGTCATTCATTGAGAACAGCCTAATGCCTCCCTTGGCACAGGGAAATGCCATGGCATTTCATTAGCTCTGCTTATTTTGGTCAACAACTAGGAGCGGAGCCACGTACACAATGCTTTCCAGGGTATGTACTTTACCTTCTGGCTTTTAAAATGTTTTTAAACATAACTTTGCTCTGGCATAAAAGCAATGTATGTCCTTTGTAAACATTTTGGTCAATGCAGAAAAAATAGAACAAAGACCAAATTACCACTTCAGTGTCAACCACAGTTAACATTTTGGTGCATTTCCTTCTTGCCTTTCCTATGATGGGTTTCAGGATGAAGAGGACTGAGCTCTTCCCTCCTGAGAAGAGCAGATAATTCCAGGACAGGAAAAATTTCCTGGCAGATGAACCAAAATATCTGAGTTTGAATCACAGTCCCACCACTGCTTAGCCTATGGGTTTGGCAGCTGCCAACCTTCCTGAGGCTGCTTCCTGGTTTATGAGATGTTGGAATCTATTGTCAACCTCTAGTGCCTCTTCCAGCAGTCTGGTGTCATAGGCCTGTGATATTCTGCCTCCTCAGAAAGATGTGCTTTTGTTCACGAATTCTTCTTGAGCAGTTACAGCTCTTACTCCAAAACCCAGAGTCTTTGGAGCTGTGACTACAGGACTGCAAAGGAAGGGTCTTGGAATGATGTGATTACTCTCCATTCCCTTTGTTAGGTCCTATAATTAAAAAAAAAAATGAATGCACTGAATGAGGATGCATTTCAATGAAGAGCATATGTCAGAGGATCTAATGGCACAGGATTTATGATCATCCCATGAATTGAGCAAAGACAGTAGTTTGGTTCATTCTAGCGAATAATTAAATGTAAAGAATCAGGAGTTTTAAAAACCTGTTAAATAAACCTGGTTCAGAATTTCCCAAACTGTGTTCTCAGGACAAATAGGTAGTCTGTTGAGAGAGAGAGAGAGAGTGAGAGCGAGCCAGTGAGCAGTAGTCAAGTAAATTTAGAAAAGATGAGGTTAAATCAAGTGTAACAGTTTCTTTACTATAGGACTTCTTAGGACATTAAATATACTTAAATGCACCGGGAATCCCAAGGGGGATATAGAGTATGCCTCCTAAGCTAACCTGATTATGAAACTATTTTGTCAAGGCATACTAATTCACATCCCAAGAATTTAATTTTCCATAGAACACAGTTTGAGCAATACTGTTCTAGCTCCTTCTAGCAGTTCCCAAGGAAGTGATTTTCTTAAGGCACCATTATGGATCTTTCAATCATTATTCCTGACTGCTCTTGTCATTGTGGTGATATCTTGAGCTGAGTTTTTAAAGCCTATAAACTTCTTGACCTTGGATACTGTATTTATGGGTTTTGTAAATTCTTGCATTTGTCGGGCAGTTTTTATTTCCTCAAATATATAGTTGTCAGTGTTAACCTGTCCCGGACACTGAAGCAGCATTTTTAGCTCTGAGTTTTGCCATCATCAGTCTGTGTGATCTTGGGTGAGTCGCTTAACTTCTTTTGGTAGAGTCAGGTGACCTGGGCTAGGGTCCAAGAGCAGGAGAACACTGGGCAGAGAACAGCTTCAAACTCAGGGTTAATAGTCATAGAATTTAGGAAATTTGGAGGCAAAGCAAACGTCTGGGAATGAGAGGAGACAGCATAGAATTCTGGTATGGGGAGGAGGCAGTAAAGGGAGAGGTAAGGGAATTGGAACTCTCCATTGCCGAGGGCAGGCCTCCCTCTAAAAGCCAGATAGATGCAAAGATGGGGGAAGGTGAAGTTCAAGGTCAGCAGAGGCCTAGTCTTCAGGGGTAAGATTAAGGATTAAAATTTAGGAGAAGGTCTTGGACCTGTGCCTGATCTCCCTGTTATTTTCAGGCAGTGGGTGGGTGAAGCCTGCAGGATCAAAGGAGAGGAGCAGTTCCTTGCATCCAGACGCGGATAAAGTCTTAGGAAGCACTGGGCTTGAGGGGGCTCTGGGTGGGTGTTTGTTTCTGGCTGAATCATCATCCTGTGGGAATATTTCTTTTTCTCTTTTTTTCTTTTAAATTTTTTTTATTATACTTTAAGTTCTGGGATACATTCTGCAGAACTTGCAACATTGTTACATAGGTATACATGTGCCATGGTGGTTTGTTGCCCTTATCAACCCATCACCTACATTAGGTATTTCTCATAATGCCATCCCTCCCCTAGCCCCTCGCCCCCTGACAGGCCCCAGTGTGTGATGTTCCCCTCCCTGTGTCCATGTGTTCTCGTTGTTCAACTCCCAATTATGAGTGAGAACATATGGTGTTTGGTTTTCTGTTCTTGTGTTAGTTTGCTGAGAATGATGGTTTCTAGCTTCATCCATGTCCCTGCAAAGGACATGAACTCATCCTTTTTTTACAGCTGCATAGTATTCCATGGTGTATATATGCCACATTTTCTTTATCCAGTCTATCATTGATGGGCATTTCTCTAATGACCAGTGATGATGAACTTTTTTTTCATTTGTTTGTTGGCTGCATAAATGTCTTCTTCTGAGAAGTGTCTGTTCATATCCAGCAATGCTCCAAAACTGAAATCAGTATATTGAAGAGAGATCTCCACTCCCGCATTTATGCAGCACTACTCACAATAGCCAAGATACAGAATCAACTTAAGTGTCCATCAATGGAAAATGGATAAAGAAAATGTGGCATATATACACAATGGAGTACTACTGAGCCAGAAAAAGGATGAAATTCTGTTCTTTGCAGAAACATGGATGACCCTGGAGGACATTAAGTAAAATAAGCTAGGCATCAAAAGATAAATACTGCATGTTCACAGTGATATATGGAATCTAAAAAAGTTGATCTCATACAAGTAGAATGGTGGTTACTAGAGGCTAGGGAGAGCAAGAGAGAGGAAAATGAGGAAATATTGGCCCATAGGCAAAAAGTTACAGTTAGGCAGAAGGAATATATTCTAGTGCACAGCAGTGTGACTATGGTTAATAATGTTGTATTGTGTATTTCAAAATAGCCAGAAGAGAGAATTTAGAATATTCTCACCACAAAGAAATAATAAATGTATGATATGATGAATATGTTAAATCCCCTAATTTGATTATTACACAATGTAAACATGTATCAAAGCATCACAATATATCCCATCCACATGTACAATTATTGTGTCAGTTAAAAACAAAATTAAAAAGAGAATTGAAAACATAGGCAATAACAAATAAAAGCTGGAAATCATCAAGTATATGATGACTAGAAAAAAAAACAACAAAACAAGAAGAAAAACGAACCAATGACAGAAGGGTGGGTGCTGTGGTTGATGAAGCATTTTTATAAAAAGTAGATATGGGAAGCTACGAGTCCCTGTGATTTCAGGTCCTTGCTTTGTAATCTTATTTTCCATTTGAAGCTAATGATGTGGCAAAGAGTTAGAGAAATGTCCCCCATTTTTCCTGCAGATGATCCTCCTGAACATCCACCATTCCTAAATATTACACCTGAGCTGTGCTTTCTAAGATGCCCCAGTTATACAAGTGTTAGGTGTAGGTTCCAGGTATTAGAAACTGAGCAGGTCACATGGTAGCACTTCGCTGTAATTGGGTGAAGGGTCTAATCAATAGGTCAGAGAATATTATTTATGGGAACTTTCAGTAGAGCAAAATGATTGGCTTATAAAAAGCATATTGCATGGAGCACCTTGAGAGAGTATGTGTTAGGAGGCTGTGACGGTGTGTTTTCATCTTTGCATTCCTAGCACCTATTGCATGAATGCCTTAACATAGAATGGATGTTTACTAATGGGGAACACATGGATCAAATCATTAATATTTAGTGAATCCTGGTAGTAGAAGAGGATCTTGAGAACTCAACCTGTGCCTGCTCTGAGATCAGCTTGGGTTCTGACATGATTGTTTGTTTATTAACCTTTTTAAGGTGCCTTGGAATGTGGGCCAGATAAAGGAGGTAAAAAGCAGACTTGCATTCCATGTGAATAACTTGATTCCTTTGTTTCCAAAATTCAGTGGTTCACTCTTTAACCTATGTGGCTTTGTATGTTGTCATTTTTAATGATTTTTGAAGAGTAGAAGAGAGTTGTGTTGATATGATACGAGAGATCAATACCAGTTATTAACTGTTCCTTTTTCTTGCATGGCCCCTTTCCCATCTCCTCTCACCCCTACCCCAATCTCTTATCAGTCCAAGGAAATGTTTGCCCAATGACTGATTAGATTTTCACAGTAAATTGCATTTTTGGGAGATGATCCTGATAGCATGTTCACAGCTTCCATGGAAGGTTTTGAGGTTATGTGTCTTATCTTCAAGCTGTTCAGTGTCTTTATGCAGCATTTTATCTCCAAGGGTTTTTGTTGTGTTTTAAATGGGTTAAGTCCTTTGAAGTTTGATAGACAGTCCTTTCTGGGTCTTCCTAAATTCAGTGAATTCCTCAATACTATCTCTACAGACCATTAGTGATGCAGTTCCAGAACCAATTGGCTGTTTGATTATTTATAACTAGGAAAACTAGAAGATAAGCAAAGTGAAAATGAAGAATTGAAAGGGCACCTGGACTGTGTTCTAGTCTGCAACCTGATTATTTTGGTTGGACTGGTGTTGGGGTGAGCAAAGGGTGAATCATGGTGTCCAGTCATTTCCAGTATGACCAACTGTGGATTTTGCTTCACAAGCCATGATGTACTCTAGGTCTTAGTGATGAGACGTCTGCAGCTGCTTAAGCTGTGTAGAGGGCTGGTGATGGAAATGAAGGAGGGTACTTACTAAAACACTCAAGTTCACTGGTACTGGAAGCAAGGCTGTGACTTAGTGGCTTGGGCTGCCAGAAAGAATGAGAGAGCTTCCTCGAATTAGCAGAGATGGCAGAGGTTGTCTGGACTAACAACCCCATCCCTCCTCCTTCGTATCTGTCAGAAGCGTACGGAGCATCGGAGATGCACACGGCAGCGTAGTGAAGTGCTGAACGGTGCTAGCAGCTAGTTAAATAGTTCTCCCCTTAGATTGACCCTTAGATCTATTTACCTATAACTGAAATCCACTGGTTTTACTTCTGTTCTCTGTAGCAACAAAGCGCAAAAATCACTTTCTCTGACAAGGTCTCATGCTGTTCAGTCATTTGCTATTTTTTCTAACTCTTCTAATCTCTCAAAGATGACCATTGGTGTCTCTGAAATTCCTGTAGGCCCTGGAATCCAATTCACATGGGCCTGGATTCTTGAGGCCACTTGAAATGACTAGGCCCTCCCTCACTAACTTCTTGCCTATCCGGCACTGAAATTTCCTCTTTACATGGTTTGTTCAAAACCCTCTTTAGGTTAAGCACCAGATTTTCTTTTGACTAGCACAGAGGTAGAACAGTCACTGGGGATTTCTGCTTTCTCTCTTCCCTTTCCCAAGCAATACTCTTTGCTTTTCTCCTTGTTTCAATTATACCTTAAAAAAGCTGACGCTGGCGACGCCTGTAATCCCAGCACTTTGAGAGGCCGAGGTGGGCGGATCACGAGGTCAGGAGATTGAGACCATCCTGGCTAACATGGCGAAACCCCGTCTCCACTAAAAATACAAAAAAATAGCCGGGCGTGGTGGCGGGTGCCTGTAGTCCCAGCTGCTCGGGAGGCTGAGGCAGGAGAATGGTGTGAACCCGGGAGGCGGAGCTTGCAGTGAGCCAAGATCATGCCAAGGCACTCCAGCCTGGGCGACAGAGCAAGACTCCATTTCAAAAAAAAAAAAAAAAAAAAAGCTGACGCATACAGCTGACTTAAAATTACTGACTCTCTTTTTTTTTTTTTTTTTTTTACAAACTTCGGCTATGGCTAATCTTTTGGCCTTCCTGATACTATTGTGATAAGTTCTTGCTAAACGAAGTAAAACGGTACTCTTTATTTAATTACTATTTCCGTTAATACAATCTTGCATCCCAGTTTTGTCACTTGATATCATATCATGAAATCTTTCCAAGTCATTAGAATTTATTCATGTATAATGTGTTTATTCATTCAACAAATATTTATTGAACAGCTGCTATATGCCAGAAATTATAACATGTGTTGGGAATATGTTGGAGAAAACAGTTAGAAACAGGGCCTTGTATTAGAAATACATTAAATAATTACACAGATGTTTATTTAGTCAAGGAAACACACATGAACCACGAGAGGGAACTGTTGGGGGAACTTGACCTTGTCTGGTATGTAAGAAAGAGGAGCTTCCCTGAGGAGCATGGAACATAATTTGCTCTACATTCTTCCCATTCAGGGACTTTGCATTGTTTCTAGTCTTTGGTTATTTTCAATATACCTACAATTAACACTTATGTGCATGCATGCTTTTATTTCCATAAAATAGATTCCTAAAAGTATAATTACTGACTCCCTCTGTGCATAAGTAATGTTTCCTTAAGGTAGTTTCCTAAAAATATAATTACAGGGTCAAGGACGTGAACATTTTATGGCTCTTGATACATATTTTTTAAAGCTTTCTAAAAAATCAGCAGAGTTTTAAAGCTAGCAAAGGGTCTTGGACCACCACATCTCAAACCACCTTCATAGAAACATCAGGTTGATTTCAAGAAATCAGTTAAATTATTAGTAAGAGCAAGTGATATGTTTCCTGTACATGTTCTCAACTGGAACTAATCAAGGTGTAGTCCTCTGGAGTAGATCCTGAAGATGTTGATTAGTGGTCTGTGAAAAGTACAAAGATTGAGAACTAAGCATTTTAAAACTGTGGTAATAAGATAAAGTGATTTTATGTTAAAAAATCTGGATATGTATATTGTATGTTCCTTTTTCATTTTTCTTTTAGTAATTTATTTCTGTAAACATTAGAAGTATTGGCTTATGACGGAGTGAGAGGAAAAAACAAGTCCTTCCCTACATATAGTTTATATAAAAGATAGTGGAAACCCCTTGGTCAAATTTGCTTTTATAGATCCAAAGAGCCACAAAGGGAAACCAATGGGATTAGCAGATTTTGACTACAGACATGTGTACTTGAGTTAAGCCACACAAGAGCTGTGTATATCTTTCCCAGAAAGATAAAGCACACCTATTACAACAAATGAGACATGTGCTATTTAAAGAATTTCTGTGAGAAATTTCTCAGTCCAGGAATTACAGTTGTCTGCAGTTTAATTTTTGCTCTTAGACTACAGCAAGGTACTTGACCATTGAACTTGCCTATGATCAGACAAGAGAATGATGATTAGATGCTACCACTGCCAGTTATTTCTTCCAGAGGAAGTAATAAAAGGTGCCAAAAAATTTCCACCTCTGAAACCTTCCACCAATTGTGTCCATAAAGTTTAGCTATAAGTTAAAGGCTACTTCCTTTGTGTTCCTATTCCCAATAACAGAGATCAGAACTATTCAGACATTTGATAGGAAGAAGAAATCTCACCAGTCAAATGCTGAAACCACTATGAATAATACCTGAATGTCAATTAGGACTATACTGAATAAAAAATACAAGGAGTTACTGGTCTTTTGATGTCCTTCAAAAATTAAAAAACTTAGCTCAGAGAAAGGCCTCATCCATAATATTGGTGAGGGCCCCAACAGGTGAGAACCATGTTTTCCTAAAAACTCTGCCTGCCACCAATTTGCTGGTCAATGTAAGAATCAAGCAATTTTCTTTGCTCATTTTGAATAGAGATGGAAGGTAGTGATGAATTGGAGAGAGTAGATTCTGAGGTCAGACTGCCTGGGTTTAAATCCTAGAGTCTACATGTTACTAGCCAGCTGGTGGGTGTTACTTCTGTCTCAGTATCTCAGTTTTCTCACCCACATATTGGAGATAACAGTAAAGAGAAAATGCATGCAAGGTGCTTAGCACACAGCAGGCACTCAATAAATGTTAGCTGTTCTTATTCTTGTAATAAAACTTATCAGAAGAAATTCCTTAGGAAGGGAGAAAGGGAGGGAGGGAAGGAGGAAGAGAGGAAGGAAGGAAAGAAAGAAGGAAGCAAGGAAAGAAGGAAGAAAAGAAAGAAAGAAGGAAGGAAAGAGAAGAAACATCTTTTAAAAAGCAGTGGGACTAATTTTTCCTGTGAGATGTTGGAGAAGAGTGTGGGATTGGATCCAGTGGACTCTGGCTCTGGTCCTGGCTTTGCCATTTACTAAGTGTGTGATCCAGTCATGTGACATTGCTGAGCCTGAGATCCTCTTCTCTTTTGTAAATGGGATGATGTCAATAATACCTGCCTCGGGGGGTTGTGAATACAAATGAGTGGATGTATGGGAGATGCTGTGTACGTGGTAAGAAATTATATGGGTGTGGTTCACCTGCTCCCAACTCTTCCTTTGGTGAGACTGTGCTTCCTGCTTGTGCCTGCTTGAACTGGCTCCTGGTGTAGGCAGGCCCTTGCTGAGTTTAGGACTCGGGCTTTCCCCTTCTTCTGGGCTTCTGTGCAGCAATTATTCACTGAGACCAAATGGGTAGACCCCACCTTTCTGGTTCCTGGTAATCAAGAGGTGAGGGTTCCTGCTGGATATTAGTGTATGTGTCTCCAGAATTGCTCCATCAGAATCCTGTACCTGTAGATAAGGAAAGGCTTGGTCTTGGGCCATTCTGCATTTGTTCATAAGATTAAGCTTCTTTGGAAGTTGAATTGTGAAGACCCATAAGATCAAGTGTCAAAATAAAATAAAGAGAAGGGAGGAAGAAAATAAGGGAGGAAGAGAGAGAGAGAGAGAGAGATAAAGGGAGAGAGAGAAAGGGAGAAGGGTGACTCACAGATGAAGAAATGAACTAAAAACCCAGAGGCTGAGAGTTCTAATCCTCTCTGTGCCACAACTTGTTATGTGACATTAAGCAAGTAACTGAATCACTTGGTGGCTTCATTTCCTTGTCTGTACAATGTGGTATGACAGTACTAACCACCCTTGCTAGATTGTTATAAAAATAAAATAAGCATTTGCCATGTATAGATATTCCAGCTATACACTCCTTCCTTGACTCTGTGGTTTGAGGAAGGTTGAAAACATGAAAAGGACAACTTTCCCTATCGCATTCAACCAGGTTAACTAGAAAAGAATATTTTGCTCTTCTTGTCATGAATTTTCTCAATTTCACTCAGGTAGCCATTCACTAAGTAGCATTAATCTACTGACTGAAAGTATTTGCTTTTTCTGGCCCTAAAGGACATGCTGTTTTCAAATCAAGAATTGGTCAAGTCTGTGATATAAAGTGGCATAGTATTTGCATATTACCTATGCACATCCTCCCATATGCTTTAAATCATCTCTAGATTACTTATAATACCTACACATCACTTAATTTGTATGGATTCAGTGTAGTACTTGGTGCATAGCAAATTCAAGTTTTGCTTTTTGGAACTTTGTGGAATTTTTCCCCCAGAAAATTTTCAATTTGCAGTTGGTTAAATCCATGGATTCAGAACCCATGAATATGGAGGGCCAATTGTAAATGCCCAGAACATATCCACAGGAAAGGCCCTGGGAAGCTCTAGAGAGCACAGAACAGGAAGTAGAATTGGCAAGGCCAGAACCTCTTAGGAACTGTCTTACTTAAAACAGGTTCCAGTGAGCACGCTACATGCAGACAGGCTCCAGTGCCTCTGACACCTGGCACTCTACCAGACACATTGTAGGCCTTCATGGAAGATGTATTGAGTACTTACCCACAACAGTTTTTTGCATGTCAATATTAAAATACAGTTATAAATGTTTTCCTGAGTTTTTCTTTTCTGTTTTTGGGGGTGATGGAGGGGACAGGGTCTTACTCCATTGCTCAGGCTGGAGTGCAGTGGCATGATCACCACTCCCTGCAGCCTTAGCCTCCTGAGCTCAGATAATTCTCCCACCTCAGTCTCTCTGGTAGGTGGGACTACAGGCGTGCACTACCATGTGTGGCTAGTTCGTTTTAGAGACGGGGTTTCGCTATGTTGCCCAGGCTGGTTTCCAATTGCTAGGCTCAAGCTATCCTCCTACCTTGGCCACCCAAAGTGTGGGGATTACAGGTGTGAGCCACTGCACTGGTCTGAGGTTTTAAAGAGTGCAGTTGTACTCATATTTATCTCTGCTCCAACCTAAAACTCAACTCTAAAGATAGTGAAGGAATAAAATATTCCAGCACAATGAGAACAGCAAAAGAAACAGCAGAGGAGGTGGTGTGGGGAGAGAGAGCATCAGGAAGAAGAGCTAATGGGTGCTGGGCTTAATATCTAGGTGATGGGATGATCTGTGCAGCAAACCACCATGGCACACATTTACCTATGTAAGAAACCTGCACATCCTGCACAGGTACCCCTGAACTTAAAAGGTGAAGGAAAAAAAAAAATCAGAGGAGAGGTAATAAATTTCTGGAAGACAAAAAACAGATGAAGTGGTCCCTAACTTAGAACAGAGCAGAATGTATGCTAAAGCCAACTAACTCGTGCAGGAGAACTCTCCAGTTATTTCTCCAGGTATTTCTGAAGGCGGGGATGGGGTAGAGCTGAGAACAGGAGAACTGGGTTAGCAAAAACTACCGCCACTCGTGCCCTGTTACTCTGGGCAACAAGAAAACTGGCCTTCTCCATAATAGTGAAAGATGGATACCCACTGCAGGAGGTGTTGTCCGAGGGGCTCAGTTCTGGGACTTCCAGACAGAACGTAGAGTGGTAGTGAGGTCAGGGGTCTGTAAACAGGAAGGAAGAGCTGCATACTCAATGGTGAGGTCTCTTACCCATCTTGGCCCCCAGAATGCTGCCAGCCAGGTATATATACCTGAAGCAGGGGGCTGGAGGGTTGCTCTGTAGGGGAACGGACAAGCCCAAGAGAAATTGCATGCAGAAACTGAAATTTAGGAGCCCTCCAGCATTAAAAACTGGATCTCTGCTAGATCAACAATCTATGAAATAATTCAAGGGAATTATGAAGCTCATTCCCTGCCACATATACAGGCTTCCAATCAGCCAAGAACCACCAGAAATTAAAAGAATGGCTCTTAATATCAAAAAAGGAACCAAAATAACAACAAAAAGGAAAAACAGATAATGCAAGGGACAGGTGGAAAATAGAAAGAAAAATGTAATGAACATTCTTAGAAAATTAACACAGATATTATGTCATGAGACAAAAAACGATAATGCTATTTTTAGGTTTACTAGAATGATTGTTTCTGTTTGTGTTTAGTTTTACTAATAAGTTTACTGAAAAAAATTTTATTGAGCCATAACTCATGAACAATAAACTGCATATATTTAAAATGTACCATTAGATGAGTTTTGACATTTGTATGCATGCAAGCAACCACCATAACAATCAAGGAAGTGTACATTTCTATCAGTCTCAAAAGAGCCCTTCTAAACCTTCACAGCCCCTCCAACCTCCCTCCCCCCGCCATCTCTAGGTAACCATAGTTTGTTTTCTGCAACTACAAATTGATTTGCAATTTATAGAATTCTAAATAAGTAGAATTTAAATAAGCATAGTCATCATGCTCAGTTAAAGAAGCCAGACAAAAAAAGAGTTTTCATTATATAATTCCATTGAGTATCATCCATGGTGTTGCATGTATCAAGAGTTTGTTCCTTTTTGTTGCTGGGTAGTATTCTATTGCATGGATATACCACTATTTGTGCAGTCACGTGATGATGGACATTTAGGTTGTTTCTCATTTTGGGCAAATATAAAATAAAGTTGCAATGAACATGTGCAAGTCTTTGTGCAAACATGTTTTCTTTTTTTTTTTATTGGCAAATACTGTATCTAAGAAGAGAATGGCTAGTTGGTCAGTAGGTGTATATTTAGCTTTTCAAGAAATAATCAAACTGCTCTCCAAAGTGGTTGTACCATTTAATCTTCTACCAGCAGTACATGAGAGTTCCAATTGCTCCATATCCTCACCAGAATTAATATAATCAGTCTTTTAAATTTTAGTTATTCTAATGGCTGTATAAAATTTCACTGTCGTTTTAATATTCATTATCCTGATGAATAACAATCTTGAACATCTTTCTACATGTTTATCAGGCACTTGTACATTTCATGAAGTGTTCGAATACTTTACCCATTAAAAATGGGTCACTTTATTGCTCTATAGGAATGATTTATATATTCTGGATACAAGTCTTTTATATAGATTGCAAATATTTTCTTGCATTTACATTTATTAATTGTGTCTTTTAAAGAGCAAAAACTTAATTTTGGAAAAGTTGAGTTCATCCATTTGTTTCTTTTGTAATTCATGCTTTTTGAGTCCTGAGAATCCTTTGCATCCTCCAAGATCACAAAAGTTTTCTCCTATATATTCTTTGAAAGTTTAATAGTTGAGGTTTACCTTTAGCTTTATGATCCAGTATTTTAAGTTAGCATTTGTGTATTATGTGAGATGAAAATTGATATTCATTTTTTCTATATGAATACGTAGTTGATCCAGTACCATTTGTTGAAAAGCCATTTCTTTCCCCATTGAATCATTTTGGCACTTTGTCATAAATTAATTGGTTATATATGTATAGGTGTATTTCTGAATTCTCTATTCTATTTATTGATGTATGTATCTTTTTACCAGTACAAAATTGTTGTTAATATTACTGTAGCTTTATAAATTTTAAAAGAAAGCTAAGTACTCCAACTTTGTCCTCTTCTAAAACTGCCTTATTCTAGATTCTTTGCAATTTCATGTAAGTTCTATATGAAGCTTATCAATTTCTATAAAACAACTTGCTGGGATTTTGATAAGGATTACATAGACTCTAAAAATCAATTTGGGGATAATTGCTATCATAACCATGTTGAGTCTTCCAATTCATTAATGTGGGATATCTTTCTATTTTAGCCTCCTTTAATTTTTGTCAGCCATGATTTGCAGCTTTTAGTGTAAAAGTCTCAAAAATATTCTGGTAGATTTATTCCTTTTTTTTTTTAATACTTATTGATCATTCTTGGGTGTTTCTCGTAGAGGGGGATTTGGCAGGGTCATAGGACAATAGTGGAGGGAAGGTCAGCAGATAAACATGTGAACAAAGGTCTCTGGTTTTCCTAGGCAGAGGGCCCTGCCGCCTTCCGCAGTGTTTGTGTCCCTGGGTACTTGAGATTAGGGAGTGGCGATGACTCTTAAGGAGCATGCTGCCTTCAAGCATCTGTTTAACAAAGCACATCTTGCACCGCCCTTAATCCATTTAACCCTTAGTGGACACAGCACATGTTTCAGAGAGCACGGGGTTGGGGGCAAGGCCATAGATTAACAGCATCCCAAGGCAGAAGAATTTTTCTTATTACGGAACAAAATGGAGTCTCCTATGTCTACTTCTTTCCACACAGACATAGCAACAATCCGATCTCTCTTTCTTTTCCCCACACTTCCTCCCTTTCTGTTTGACAAAACTGCCATCGTCATCATGGCCTGTTCTCAATGAGCTGTTGGGTACACCTCCCAGACGGGGTAGCGGCCAGGCAGAGGGGCTCCTCACTTCCCAGAAGGGGCGGCCGGGCAGAGGCGCCCCCAACCTCCCGGACGGGGCGGCTGCCGGGCGGAGGGGCTCCTCACTTCCCAGACTGGGCGGCCGGTCAGAGACGCTCCTCACCTCCCAGATGGGGTGGTGGCGGGGCAGAGACACTCCTCAGTTCCCAGATGGGGTCGCGGCCTGGCAGAGGTGCTCCCCACATCCCAGACGATGGGTGGCCGGGCAGAGACGCTCCTCACTTCCTAGACGGGATGACGGCCAGGAAGAGGCGCTCCTCACTTCCCAGACTGGGCGGCCGGGCAGAGGGGCTCCTCACATCCCAGACGATGGGCGGCTGGGCAGAGACGCTCCTCACTTCTTAGACGGGATGGCGGCCGGGTAGAGGCTGCAATCTCGGTACTCTGGGAGGCCAAGGCAGGCGGCTGGGAGGTGGAGGTTGTAGCGAGCCGAGATCACGCCACTGCACTCCAGCCTGGGCAACATTGAGCACTGAGTGAGCGAGACTCAGTCTGCAATCCCGGCACCTCGGGAGGCCTAGGCTGGCAGATCACTCGCGGTCAGGAGCTGGAGACCAGCCCGGCCAATACGGCGAAACCCCGTCTCCACCAAAAAAATACAAAAACCAGTCAGGCATGGCGGCGCGCGCCTGCAATCCCAGGCACTCGGCAGGCTGAGGCAGGAGAATCAGGCAGGGAGGTTGCAGTGAGCGGAGATGGTGGCAGTACAGTCCAGCCTCGGCTCGGCATCAGAGGGAGACGGTGCAAAGGGGAGACAGAGATGGGAGAGGGGGAGGGGGAGGGAGAGGGGGAGGGGGAGGGAGCAGATTTATTCCTATTTTATATTTTTATTTGGTGCTACTAAAACTTTTTCTAAATTTATTTTAAAATTTTTGCTACTTGTGTATAAAAATGTAAGTGTTGTATTTGCATACTGTATCCTGTGACTTTGCTAAATTCACTTATTTTTTCTAATAAGCATTTTCTAGATTCTTGGGAATTTTCTATGAAAATTGAAAATAAGAACAGTTTTACTTCTTTCATAATTTTCCTTTTTCTTAAAAAATTTGACATTGTTTTTAGAACCTCCAATACAATGTTGAATAGAAGAGAAGGGAAGTATTCTTGCTTTGTTCCCAAACCCGGGGGTGGGCAGGGGGACAATTCAGTCTTTTGTCATTAAGCATGATGTTAGCTGTAGATGTTTTTGTCAATGATCTTTATCAGTTTGAGGAAATTCTCTGCTACTCTCAATTTACTCGAGTTTCTTTTTGCTTGCTTTCATTTCCTTCCTTCCTTTCTTTATTATGAATAGGTGATAAATTTTGCGAATGCTTTTTCTACATCTATTGAAACAGTCATATGGGTTTTCTTCTTTATTGTGTTAATATGGTGAATTACATTTGGTTTTTTTGTTTGTTTGTTTTGTTTGTTTGTTTGTTTGAGATGGTGTTTTGCTCTGTTGCCCAGGCTGGAGTGCAGTGGCACGATCTCGGCTCACTGCAAGCTTTGCCTCCCAGGTTCACACCATTCTCCTGCCTCAGCCTCCCGAGTAGCTGGGACTACAGGCCCCTGCCACCACGCCCGGCTAATTTTTTGTATTTTTAGTAGAGACGGGGTTTCACCGTGTTAGCCAGGATAGTCTCGATTTCCTGACTTTGTGATCCGCCGCCTAGGCCTCCCAAAGTGCTGGGATTACAGGCGTGAGCCACTGCGCCCAGCCTACATTTGTTTTTTGTTTTTTATTTTTATTTATTTATTTATTTTTTATTGTTAAATCAATCTTGCATTTCTGGAATAAAATGTGCTTTGTCATGGCTGGGCCCTATGGCTCACGCCTGTAATCCCAGCACTTTGGGAGGCCGAGGCGGGCGGATCACGAGGTCAGCAGATCGAGACAATCCTGGCTAACACGGTGAAACCCCATCTCTACTAAAAATACAAAAACTTAGCCGAGCGTGGTGGCAGGCCCCTGTAGTCCCAGCTACTCGGGAGGCTGAGGCAGGAGAATGGCGTGAACCCGGGAGGCGGAGCTTGCAGTGAGCCAAGATAGCGCCACTGCACTCCAGCCTGGGCGACAGAGCGAGACTCCATTTCAAAAAGAAAAAAAAAAAAAAAAAAAAAGCTACTTTGCCATGATATGTTATTTTAATATTTCTGGATTTAATTTGCCAACATTTTATTAAGAATTTTTGTCTATCATGAGAAATACTTTATTTTTTTTTCCGTGATGTCTTTGTCAGATTTTGGTATTAGGGTTGTAAAATTGGTTGCAGCATGTCCTGTATTCTTTTTATATTCTGAAAATGTTTGTGTAAGATTGCTGTTATTTCTTTTATGAATGTTTGATTCACCTTTCTATGGAAATCATTTGCACCTAGAGTTTTATTTGGGGGAAGGTTTTGGATAACAAATTGACAGAGACAGACTCCGTCTCAAAAAAAAGAAGTTAATACTTACATAGACACAGGGCTATTCAGATGTTCTGTTTCTTCTGGGATCAATTAAGTTGTATTTTCCAAGATTTTTTATTTAATCTAAAAACTTTGTTTATAACATAAAGTTTTTCATTTTTTTAAAATTTAAAATGCTCATAGAATCTATAATGATAACCCCCTTTTCATTCCTTAGTGATTTGTGTTTCTCTTTCTCTCTGTGTTTCAATTAATCTAGCTAGGGGTTTGTCAATTTTTTAAATCTTTTTTAAAAAATCAGCTTTTGGGCGGGGCATGGTGGCTCACGCCTCTAATCCCAGCACTTCGGGAGGCCAAGGTGGGCAGATCACAAGGTCGAGAGTTCCAAACAAGGCTGGCCGATATGGTGAAACCCTGTCTCTACTAAAAATACAAAAATTAGCTGGCGCAGTGGCAGCTACTTGGGAGGCTGAGGGAGGAGAATTGCTTGAACCCGGGAGGCGGAGGTTGCAGTGAGCCGAGATTGCGCCACTGCAGTGCAATCTGGGCAACAGAGCGAGACTCCGTCTCAAAAAAAACCAAAAAAAAACCAGCTTTTGGTTTTGGTAATTTTCTCTTTTATCTATCTATTGTCTGTCTATTTTGGTTATTTCTGCTCTTATCTTTATCTTTTTTGCTCTTATTTTTATCATTCTCTGATTTTTAATTTTTCTATTTTTACTTATATGCATTTTAAAGCTGTTTTAGCTGAATTCCACAAATTTTGGTACATTGTATCTTCATTCAGTTCAAAACATTTCTTAGTTTCCCTTGTGATTTTTGTCTTTGACTTATGAATTAAGATGGTGTTGTTTAATTTCTAGATATTTATGGGTTTTCTAGATGCCATATTGTTATTGATTTCTCATTTAATTCCACTGTGGCCAGAAAATACACTCTGTATATTTCATTCATTAAAATTTATTGATTTATTGTCCAGCATATGGCCTATTTTTAAAAATGTATTATGTGAACTTGAATAGAATACATATTCTGCAGTTGCTGGATGTTTGTTCCATAAATGCCAGTTAGATAGTGATCAATAGTATTGTGCATACCTTCAGTATTTATGTAGATGTTTTTTCTGGTTTTTCTATGAATTGCTTACTAATGGGGTTCTAAAATCACCTGATATAATTGTGGAATCTATCTGTCCCCTTAATTCTGTGAATTTTTGCTTCATGTATTTTTGGGAACTGTTATTAGATGCATATGCATTTATAATATTTATGTCTTCCTGGCCAGGTGCGGTGGCTCACGCTTATAATCCTAGCACTTTGGGAGGTGGAGGCGGGTGGATCATGAGGTCAGGAGATCAAGACCATTCTGGCTAACACAGTGAAACCCTGTCTCTACTAAAAATACAACAACAACAACAAAAAATTAGCCGGGCGTGGTGGCAGGCGCCTGTAGTCCCAGCTACTTGGGAGGCTGAGGCAGGAGAATGGCGTGAACCCAGGAGGCGGAGCTTGCAGTTAGCCGAGATAGCGCCACTGCACTCCAGCCTGGGTGACAGAGCCAGACTCCGTCTCGAAAAAAAAAAAAAAAAATTGATGTCTTCCTGATGAATTATTCTTTTTATCATTATAAAATTCCCAGTGCTGTTTTTAAAGAAACATTCGGCATTCTTGGAAAATGAAGACATGGTAACTAAAATTTAAAAATATGTACATTTAGATAAGGTTCAGTTAATACAGTTGAAGAAATCTCACAGCAAATGGAACAATAACAACAAAGTAAACAATAGTGATAGAAAGTGGTAGATAAATGACAAGAGTCCAAGAGGATTTCTCTAGGAAGCCCAGCATTCAAATAATAACAGAGTTTAAAAAAAGAAGAAAGAAAGAAAATGAAAAATAGGAAAAAGGAAAACAAGAGGAGAAAATTACCCAAGAAATGATATAAGAATATTTTCCCATTTTATGCCCTTATAAAGGGCTGGAGGAGGGAATTTGTTCCTTTTGCCCTTCTGCCTCTGCCATGTGAGGACACACTGTCCATCTCTCCAGAAGACGCAGCATTCAAGGTGCCATCTTAGGGGCAGACACCAGACCCTATGAGGCAACTGGACCTGGTAATGCCTGATCTTGAACTTTCCAGCCTCTAGAACGGTTAGAAATAAATTTCTTTTCTTTATAAATTAAGAATATGCATATATTTCCCCTAAGTGAAGGACACAGTTTACCAGCTTCAAAAGACCTACATAGGACCCAGCACAATGAAGGTTAAAGAGCTACACCAAGACTCAAAGACTCATCACTGTGAAATTTCAGAATGCTGGGTGTTCTAGGGACTTCTTTCTCTGGCTCAATTGCTGAAGGAATTATTATTATTATAATAATAATTATTTTTTGAGACGGAGTCTCTCTCTGTCGCCCAGGCTGGAGTGCAGTGGTGCGATCTCAGCTCACTGCAAGCTCCACCTCCCAGGTTCACGCCATTCTCCTGCTTCAGCCTCCCGAGTGGCTGGGACTACAGGCACCTGCCACCACGCCTGGCTAATTTTTTGTATTTTTAGTAGAGACAGAGTTTCACCGTGCTAGCCAGGATGGCCTCGATCTCCTGACCTCGTGATCTGCCCACCTCAGCCTCCCAAAGTGCTGGGATTACAGGTGTGAGCCTCCGCACCCAGCCTGCTGAAGGAATGATTTTAACTGTGAGAGAAAGACTTATTCAAGGAGAACCAACAGGGACCCTCCTTTTCAGTTCCTGAATCTTAGCCTCAGCTCACCTGAACTTAGCCTCACAGCTGAAGCACCCTGTCAAAAATTCTGAGCAGCCCTGTTCCCCTCACCCAGATTTCTGGTTCATGTAAATCTTTGAAATGCTCCTAGTACTCAAGCACTGAGGCGCCAGGAATCTTTGTTTAGCCACCTTACCAAGTTAATCCCCAAGGCTGTGCTTTAAGTCTGTTACCAGATTTAATTGAGGATAATGTAGTGTATCCTTCCTTAGGAGAATATTTGTCCCTACATGTGATAAGACCTAATGGTTACCCCTTGAACACTTATTAGTTGATACCCTTGAGCAGTTTGGGAAATAATTTTCAAATGAGGTATAATGAGCTCAAGTCTTTTGGAAGTCATCCAAATGAGGGTGCCCAGGCCAACAGGAAAAGCACTGGGAATAAAGTGAGAGCTGAGCTTCTGCCCCTGCCGGTCCTGCTGCTTGTGCTTCCCACGTCAGGATAATGATTTACAGCTGGAGTTTTCTAGGGCTGTACTAGCCTTGGAGACAATCAGGATTTGGCTTTAAATTATATGTGTATGTGGTCTCAGCTACCTCCCAGTTTTGTGTTGGTTCTAATTCATGGCCTATCTTATTTTAAAAGGCCAGTAAAGGCTGATCTTGACCCAGCCACTTGTTGGTCTGTTGCAGTTTCTAAGTAACCGCGCATGGCCACCATCACTACTGCTCCTCTGCTGCCTCAGCTGACTCTGACCCTGGCAGACAGTGTTTCTCCAGAGGTCACAGCTTCTGACCAACCTAAAATGACCTGGCCAGTAAGTGAGCACGACTCTTTATGCTTCCAGAAGTAGGCCTGTTCTTCCTGTTCTACACACCCTCCATTGAGGAAATTTGAACAGATTGAAACTAGTACACCTTTCATATGAAGGTATTACCTGGATTCTCACCAAAAACCTCTCTTGCTGATTCTGGACCTGTGCCCCAGGTTAGGGCATAGGCTTCTGGCTCTATCTCAGGGAGTTTTCTGCCTTTTGAGAGCAGTACTTTCTCCGCCTACCCCTTTCTCTTATTCCCAGCCACACCCTTGAGGCAGGAGCATCTTTATCTCCCACTTATTACTAAGGACTTGTAGTCCTGGTCTTGGAGCTAATTTCTATGCTTTCTTTACTTTTTTTTTTTTTTTAAATCCCAAGATGTATTAAAATCCTATGCAATTTCCCCTGACCTAGAGCTATCCCAGCATTCTCAAAGCTGCATGACTCAAAGGAAGACATCCCCTGGAGCTCTTCTTACTAATCATAGTTAACATTTATTGAGCACGTATCACATTATCTCATTTATCATCACAAAAACCCTACGAAATCTATTTGTTACAGATGAGAACACTTGGCTTAGAGAATCTATGTCACTTGCCCTAAGTTTATAGATAAAAATAGATAAGCAGGGGTTTGAATCCAGATCTCTCTCTATCCAGAGCCCATGCTTTTAATCACAGCATCACTTCTAGGTCTGGATTTTAACCGTGTGTACAGATTTCAATTTCATTTCAAGTTAGGAAAACGCTGGGGTGCTTATTTGTCATCATTGCTGTGATTAGCAAAGTGAGAATAGAGACAGGAGTTGGAAATTTCCCTGCCCTTAGAACTCTGAAAGACAAAGCAGTTAAACACTACATCACAAAAGTTCATTATGCTTAGATAACAGAGAAGAGGGTGGAGTGGTAGCAAAGTCAACAGGAATTTACAATGGCAGTTTGGGACTGGCGGGAAAGATTTAGGCCTCAGAATCCTAGGCAGTGCATCTGAAATGCAGAAATCAGTGGGGCTGGTGGGGCCGGAGGAGTTTTCAGAGGGCACAGTGGTCTTGAATTTGCCTTTGAACTAGTGAGATTTTGGTTTGTAGAAAGGAAGAGGGAGAATTCTCCCAGGTAGAAGACAGCTGGAGCCAAGGGAGAGAGGAGAGAATGAGTGTGGGTATTTGGGATGGCATTGGAGTGGGCCAGCCCACACTGGGGAGTGATGCAGGATAAGTTTGAGAAGGATCTTGAGAGACAGATTCAAAAGCTTGGAATTGAATGTGAAGGCAATGGGGAACCACAGAAGGCCTTTGAACATGGGAGAGGTGGGCGAACAAAAATGATACAGAATGTTTTGTTCACAGCGTGACTCATTTTGCCCTATCAAACAGCTGTAACTGGAGTCAAGCTATTAACACTGCACTAAAGATTTAGGTTCTATTATCTGTTCAGCCATAGAGCCATGTTCTTTCTGCAGAGATATTTTTCTAAACTGAGGGAAAGCCTTATGTGAAAAATGAGAGGTTGCTCACTGGCTCAGGGAAAAGTGAGCTAGACAGTCTGAATGACAGAGTCATCAGTTATGATAATCCCCACTTCCAATGCATAGATGTACCTGCCAAGAGAGTGACAATGCTTGTTTAAGCTAGCCAAGACATGCTCTCTCTCTTAGATGGTGTCAGAATACACAAATTTGTATTCTCTGGTCCCCCTTTTCCTAGATTCCAAGCCAATTATATTTTTCATTATTTCCTCATCCAGGAGACTATGCCATTTATTTGGGTACAAATTGATTTACATTAACAGCATTGGAACCTGAGGATATATGTGGGTCACCTAGCTCCTGATTAGATTTAAGAAATGCCTTATTTTTCATGGTTCAATGAAGTAAACAAACTGTCCTCTTTGCCATAGAGTTAGGAAGCACTATGATGTCAGGAGTAACTTTTGCTACGAGCTGATTTCACCCATTCCAAATTGATAATATGTTCAACTTCAGAGAGTGTTCTTAGCCCCAGGTTCTAGGAGGGCTGTGGCCACCTAAGATCTTACAGCTTTCTTTTCCTCTCTACATACAGCATGAGCCATTGTGATGCTATTAGCATATTTCGTGGTTTCTCTATTTGTTGAATCTATGAGCGCCATGAGGAAACCTCTATTTTCCCCCTTGGGTTGGATTCAAAACCTAACATAGATATGCTATTATGGTTTACCTGTATATTCTAGCTAGCAACATTTAAAATTCTCATTTATAAACTTTCTAGATCATCAAAGGATGAAACAGGTAATAACTGAGATGCCTTTTCCCAAACTTTTTGCCAAAGTGCTCATGAAATTACATGAAAAGCGTGAAAAAGGGAGGACAATAAGCTGTAAATTTAAGATGGAGAAAAGCCATATGCTGAGGTCCACAGAGAATGTCTACTAACGTAATTGTCGATGGAATGGATTGAGAAGCATGTAAGCACGTGCTTACATGCTGAACCAGAGAAGCCCAGCTGGTACTGAAACATAATAGAGAACAAATGTACCTTGCCCTCATCATTTGCCCCCGGCTATTTTAGGACCCTGGGGCTGCCCTGGCCAGAAAAGTAAATGGTTCAACTAGGAACCGTTCAACTATCTTCTGCACCAACAGAAGTCAAATCCAGAGTCATGCCTTCCACTCAAACTATCAATTTCTCTCTTTCCACATCCATTCGGAGACTCTGGCTCCCAGACCACAGCTGGGCATAGAGACAAGCAGAGGTGTGTTGCATCTTAGAATGGATGCTATGTAATAAAAAGGACCGTAACAGGGAGAGAGATAAGAAGGCAGGGGCCAACGCATGCTGGGAGGGAATGTGGTCTTTTATGTGCTGCTGTCTAAAACAGGACCGTAGATTGCCTCCCAGTCTTTCTTTTACCAGTCAGAAATTGCAGCAGTTGGAGCAGGAGAGACCCCAACCTAATGCTGAGACACCTGAACAAGCTAAATCTCTGTGGACTTTGAAAACAGGTAGAAACTATCTTCACCAGTTTACTCTTTATACCTGCTTTACTTGCACTCAAGAGGAGAGTGAGGGAGTATGAAGACCCTTCACCAATACTCTGCTGGCAAGTGCCAGGAGTGAACATAGTGTTCTCTTTTCCAGTATGAATAGGTGGAGAGATGCCCAAAGGGGACCTATAAAAAGAATACTGCAAGATAAGGGAAAAGAAGCTTTTCCATTAAAACTTGAAGCAAGACTACATATCCAAAAATAAATTTTTCCAGGAAAGAGACTTTTTCAGTAGACATATTTTTGGTATCCCTTAAGAAAACTGAGAAGGCATAGCCTCTATGAGATGGGAGTCAGGGGCCATCAGGAGAAAATAGATTGGGATGCAGGCAGATTGGCAAAGGTTGAAATAAGAAATAAGGGCAAATATACCAAAACTATAATAGCAGAATTAAAACTTCTACTGAAGAGAGTAACTATAGGGAAGACTGCAGAAATCAAACCAGTAAAGTAGAACACAAATTAAGGAGTGAAAGGATTAAGATGAAAGCGTTCAGCGAGAAGACAGAAAACACAGATCTAATCTAGGAGTTACATTTGTTCCCAATGAAGAAATTGAACAAAATACTAGAAACAATGTTCAAACATATGGCAGAAGAAAACTTTCCTGCCTGCAGAAGAGATCTGAGATGAATTAAAATTACCAGACTCACATAGAGACATAGCTTGTAAAATGTTTTGATTTTCCAGGTTAAAGAAAGAATCAGAGATTTATAGAGAAATAAACAGGTTACTAACAAGGAAATGAACATTAGGATGGGATCAGACTTCTCAACCCTGAAGGCTAAAACACCATTTTAGGAGACAAGGTGGTATCTCAAGAATTCCATGTTCACCCAACGTGATGTTTACGTGCAAAGGCTGTAGGAATTCATTTTCATATTTACAAGAAGACAGAAAATACACACCACACAGTCCCTTCTTGAAAAAAGAATTTTAATTTGCAGCCCCATTGATTAATAGGTGAATTGGCATGAGGATACAAGGGGGGAAACAAGTAGAAGATGACTTGCAGTGAGTGTTGGAGACTATTCAAAATATAAAATAAATAATTGCCTTGAATATGATTATAAAACTGTATGCAAAAGCTGACAGATGCTGTTGAAAAAAAATTTAAGTATTATAAACTTTAAATTGGGTAAGCAAAAATTGATAAATGGGAAAAGAGCAGTATATTTCATGTTCTCCATAATGAGCTAGTGTTCTTTTCTTTTTCTTTTCTTTCTTTCTTTCTTTTCTTTTTCTTTTTTTTTTTTTTTTTTTGGAGACAGAATCTCACTCTGTCACCCAGACTGGAGTGCAGTGGCACGACCTCAGCTCACAGCAACCTCTGTCCCTGGGGTTCAAGTGATTCTTGTGCCTGAGCCTCCCAAGTAGCTGGGATTACAGGCACGTGCCACCATGCTGGCTAATTTTGTATTTTCAATAGAGACAGGGTTTTGCCATGTTGGCCAGGCTGGTCTCCAACTCCTGCCCTCAGGTGATCCACCTGCCTCAGCCTCCCAAAGTGCTAGGATTGCAGGTGTGAGCCACTGCACCCAGACTGTTTTTTTCTATAGCATGTTATATGACATGTTATATCTTTCCCCCAACTAAAAAAAATGAGATAATGTTTTCTGTAACTGAGTGATTTTAGTTTGAAAATGACTTCTTCAACAGCATGCTTTTCAAGCCAGCATGTCTGTAAAACTGAAATTATTATAGGATCACATGGCTTCAATTGTGTATCTGGCTTCAACTGGCAATGAGGAAATCCTAATAAGCTGAGGCTTTAAGAAACTGCGGAAAGATACAAGATATATTATATGCATTTTTTTTCCTTCTCATTGGATTTTTTTTCCAAGTGAAGAAAAGCGCTGGCATCAGTGAGAATGAATAGTAGTCAGTGGAAACGTAAAGTAGAATGACTTTGGTAAGATAAGTTTTCTAATTTGATGTTTTGGTTAAAAAGTATCTATTTTAGTGCTTATGAGAATTCACTCAGGAATTCATGAATTCCAATTGAGCCAATGTAAAAATTTTGAAATAAAATGTTTCTCTATGGTGTTGGCTTTTGTTAAGCATTGATCTGAAGTGGGAGGGAGGAGGAATCTCGTGAGTTCTTCCATATGGTGTTCCTCAAAGAATGGGTGTGGGAAAGAGAAACTGGAAAGTATGCCTATGAAGAATGGAATAAATAATTATACCTTTAAAAAATACTATTGCAGGAAAGAGAATATTTTAGCAGACATATTTTGGTATCCTTAAGAAAACTAAAAAGGCATAGTCCCTATGAGATGGAAGTCGGGGACCACGAGGAGAAAACAGATCGGGATGCTATCTTTAGCCTAAATCATAGTCTTTGCCTCCTTTGCATTGACAGTTATACTGTAATATTTATCTTTGATGAATTTAGGTCTGTACACACCATAGTTGTCAAAAGAAAAAAAATGTGCCAGAAGAAATTCGGAGAAAACCTATAATATTGTGGTACAAATATTTGGTTCCTTGGGAAAATTTTGCTGCCACCTGATTTTTAATAAAATCAGAAGACCCAGGTGTTGGCCAGGGCAGAATTAACAACCTCCCCTACCTTGTAGCCCTCCAAAAATGCTAGTTAATTATGTCATTAATTACTGACAGCCCATCTGTGATTTCCAATCTTTAACGTTTCAAGTGAGTGAGAAGATGGAAGTAGTGAGAGTAACTTAGAAAAAAAATCACATAGGGCCACTTTTAGACCATAAACTCCCCCAAACCATTCATCATTGTGCGCTAAAGGGTTGGTTTAACATTTATGCGCACATTGTACAAACATGTTCACTCTTATAGGGTAGAAATTTTACCCTCCATGGTCACTCTTGTAGGGTAGAGATGCATAACATCGACATGTATAAATGACCACCCAACTATACTAACTAATCACTTATACTGCACCCAGCACTCTGCTAGCTGTGTAGGAGGCACAGGATAAATATGAGCTTAGTCTCTGCTCTCAAGGAAGTGGAAAGCTAGTTAGAGAGGTCACACAAAATGATTAGCAAACAATCAGGTGTTAACCAGAATTGTCTTCTTTTCTGTGCCTGTGTTTCTTCATCTGCAAAACAGGAATAATAAAACTATTTATCCCAACAGGATATGGTATATAGGAAGTGCTCAGTAGAAGTTAGCTCTTCATTACTGTCATGTAAATAATTATTAACTTTTAATAGGAGGTAAGAGAAAGAAGTGAAAGCTGGCTGCTGCAACAGTAGGGAAAGTTTAATAATAGAACTGAGACTTGAGCTAGGCTTTTGAGCAATGGGTAAAATTTAGAGAGCTGGATACCTGAGTGATTGGGAGGTCATCCAAGGTGAGAAAAATAGCAGTTGCAGAGGCATGTGGGTTGCTGCCTCTTCAGTTAAGCTCACAGTGACTCAGTGACTGTGTATTGACTTCGTGGGAAAGAAAATTGAATAGAGAGGGTGGGGTGTGATCATGAAGGCTTCACAAGTCAGGCAAAGGAGTTTGGATTTTGATACTATAAGCAATTAATTGTCTATACTTCAGTGAAAAGTCTGGTAGCAGGATGCAGGATGTTTGGAAGGGGTGGATCACTGAAGTCAGGGAGGCCCCAAGAGAAGGCAGTTGCAACATCCCAGTTGAGCTATAATCAGGGCTTGGCTTGCAGAGTGAAGAGTAAGAGATGGAGCCAAGGTGCTAAGAAGGAAGAAGCAGCAGGCCCTGGGAAAAACAGCAGAGCAATGAAAAACAGCACAGTTGCATTTTGGGATCTGGTGCCACATTTTCTGAGCCTAACACAGGGTATACGTACATGTGTATTTACTGAACAATTGAGGCTGAATAATTGATGAAGTCACTGCAAATCTGAGATTTACGGGGATCACAGTTTATAGCCAGGCAGAGAACAAACGAATTGGGAAAGAATATGAAGAGAGGAGTGTCCTCTCCAATCTTCTTTTAGCTTATTTCTTTAATGAATCTGTATGCCCAGTGTGTAGAAAATTAAGACCTAAAACATTGTTTTAAAACATTGGTTTTAAAATTCCAGGACTGGAATCATCTATTTGCCTAAATGTATCCTCTATGCATCTCTGTGGTTCTTGAGGGTAAGAAGGCATCATGTTTATATACAATGACTACATTGATTAGGGGAGTCTTATGTCCTATCTACGTTCATATCCTGACACCGTACATCTAGCTGATGTCTCTGAGTGAGTTCCTGAGCCTGTCTATACTTTAGTTTCCTCCTGGGTAAAATGAAATAATAATAGCATCTACCTCACAATGATATTGTGAGGCTTAAGTGAGCTACTACATGCTAGGTGCTTAGAGCAGTGCCTGGCAAATATTAGATATTACCTGGGAGAAACCATAATAGTAGCTGTAGCAGTGGTGGCATGTCACGGTGTGATGGTGAGGGTGATAGCTCACTTTACCTCAGTGAATGTAAACATTGTAACCCATTGTTCAATAAATGCTCCTCTAAAAGATATGCTGAAAGCATAATTGTCAAAGGGAATTCCTGTGAAACCACATGTAAAATACTAAGAGTAAAGAGCAAATATTTGGGGGATATCTATTAAGACCAAAATTCTAGGTTTCAGGGAGTATCACACTTACCCATCATTCATGCAAAGATCATTTCATGAAAACAATGTGATGCAGGTTTCATACTTATAGATACAAAACTTAAAGGTAAGAGTGAAAATATGAGGTATGTATTCGTCCGTTTTCATGCCGCTGATAAAGATATACCCGAGACTGGATAATTTATTTAAAAGAAAAAAGAGGTTTAATGGACTCACAGTTCTACATGGCTGGGGAGGCCTCACAATCATGGCAGAAAGTGAAAAGCATGTCTTATATGGGGGCAGACAAAAGAAGATGAGAGCCAAGTGAAAGGGGAAACCCCTTATAAAACCATCAACTCTCGTGAGACTTATTCACTACCACGAGAACAGTATGGGGGAACCGCCCCCATGATTCAATTATCCCCCACTGGGTCCCTTCCGCAACACATGGGAATAATAGGAGCTACAGTTCAAGATGAGAGTTAGGTGGAGACACAGCCAAGCCATATCAAACTGCCTACTATTTGCAAAAGTATACGGTGTAAAGGACACAGACACCTCACCTAAGTGAATATCACTTGGGTTCCAGGTTTCCTTCGATCACCCAAGCTGGCTATTATTATCGTTCTTACACTGCAAGCAACTTATATCCCAGGCCCTGAAAAGGGGCCAGCTTTGTTGGAACATCATGTGTGGACTGACATAGGAATACTCTGTCACTTGACTGACAATTGGAAAGCATGAGAGTGCTTTCTGGCACACGGGCCCCTCCAAATGCTTCCTGGAGTGGCTATTTTGCCAGTAGATCAGTAACAGAGATTAGGGCATATGCAGAGCAGGCCCTGTTGTTTTTCCAGGAACTAGCCCTAATTTGTATTATGTTTTATTTTGTTTGTTCAAATTGCATTTTATAATTTATAATTACATTTCCCCCTGGGTATAGCAGAAGGCAAGCAGTATGGTTATGGAAACCTCAGCGCTTATTGTTTTTCAAAAATGTTGGAAGTTTCAGGGACTGAAGAATGGGGATCATTTCATTATAGAAAAGAAAAAGATGTCTAGCAAAGGGTAACAGTCTCAACTTGATTAGTGTTTTCCATAACATAAAAGTGGTGCTGCCTCCAATAGAATTATCTGGCTTTACCTGACTTTGGACTTCACTTCAGATGTTCCCTACAGCTATTTGCTGACCATCTGAAATGTTAAGACTGGGGCTTATGTCATGGCACACAAGCAGAGTGCAGGGCCTCCTGGAGCCAGCCCTCGCACGTGGTGTCATGGAGACTGCAGAACCCCACACCCACTTTGGCTGAAGGCCACACACAGTCTCCAGCGCCAATGAAGAGGCTTCTCAATCCATGTTTCTAGAACAAAGCTCAACCTGCAGTGGAGGAGTCTGGAAGAAGTGCTCCATGGGTGTTTCTATAACCTGTCTTTACCAGAGAGTCGGCATTGTGCATTTTACTCCCTCTATCTCTGCTCGGAGAGAATCACCGGGAATAGTGAAATTCAGGAAAGCCGCAAAAATTCTTAAAGTGGGAGAATCTGTCCAAGGAACAGAAGTAAGCATAATACAACTATATCTAGGAAAGAGAGAGGTGCAATTGGAGAAGGAACTTTGCAGGAACTGTGTGTGTGTGTGTGTGTATTTGGTTTTTGTTTGTTTGTTTTTGAGATGGAGTCTGGCACTGTCGCCTGGACTGGAGTAAAATGGCACGATCTCAGCTCATTGCAACCTCTGCCTCCTGGGTTCACTCAATTCTCCTGCCTCAGCCTCCCGAGTAGCTGGGATTATAGGTGCACACCACCACACCTGGCGAATTTTTTGTATTTTTAGTAGAGACGGGGGGTTTCACTATGTCGGCCAGACTGGTCTCGATCTCCTGACCTCGTGATCTACCCGCCTCAGCCTCCCAAAGTGCTGGGATGACAAGCGTGAGCCACTGCGCCTGGCCTTGGTTGGTTTTTAATGCATCCAGTGATGTTTTGTCCTGTTCCAGTTCTTAAAATTTTTTTGAAAGCTAGATATATTTTTTGCTTAGTTGTGTACTGGAATACCTCTAGTGATACCAGTAACAGTTCAATTTTATGAAGTGTTTTTCTTTAAACCATTATCTTCAGAGATTTTTGATTGAAGAATTCATTCATTCAGTAAATACGTATTGCATATCTTTTATCCAATGGGCACCTTTCTGAAAAGCGGAGATGCAATAACAAACAAGAGAGTTGAGGTCTCTCCTCAAATGATGCAAGTACTTACATTCTAACTGGGGAGACCAGCAGTACACACATATACAAGAAAGCACCAGGTGGTAACAAGTGTCATAGAAGATTAAAGGAGGAAGCATGTGTTCAAAAATGAATGGGGGATGGTGATGGGGCATTTGAAGGGAGTCTTGCATGAACAGAAGCAGGCATGAGAAGCCCTGGAGGAAGGGCATTCCAGGCATGGGGAACAGCCAGGGCAAAGTCTCTAAGATTGGCATGAGCTTGGCAATGTGCAGGAACAAAAATGGTACCCGTGGCTGAAATGTTTTACAGGAGAATTTGGAGAGTATGGTGGAGGCTGGTGAAGGCCTTGTAGGCTAAAGTAAGGAATTTGAATTTTAGTCTAGCTGTCACAGAAAGCCATCGTAGGGTTTTAATCAGGGAAGTGATAAAGTTTCATTTGGAAACAATAAACTAATACTCAGTACTATTGAATATTGCTCAAACTATTTAAAGTCAATATTTCATTTTTACATGTTTCAAGGAAAATGAAAGGTAATGAACACAGAGCATCTTTTATGTAGAGTGTATTGTTTGTTTCATGTAACTCTTAGAACAACCCTAGAGGTAATTATTCGTCATATCTATATTCATCCAGATGATAAAACTGAGGCTTGCAGAGATTAAGTAACTCACCCAAAGCCACATAGCTGGGGCAGAGTAAGAGTTCGCTTCTTTATGAAGAGTGTGTGCTATTTCCGTTACACCATGTTGTCTTAGCGTTTGAGGTCTAGAAAAGCACCTTCAACATAGATGTTCAATAAATCTGTTAAATGTATAAAAAATAAGCTTTTCCATTAAAAAAATCTATTTTAAGTCATAAGTCAAAGAATATCTTTACAGGGAATTGGGCATGTTCAAAATTGTTGGAAAGGCTTGGGTTGGGGGATGTGAGGCTGGGATTCCAGATGATTTCAGAATGAATTGCTGATCTGACCTGCCAGGGAAGCCACCTCTGTTTCCTTCTGCTATGGCCTGGAACAGATGTGAATCAGGAGGCCACTGCTGATACTGTTAACTCCAAGAACAAATCACCTTAGCTGCAATATAACCATCAAGAAAACTTGACTACCACCACCAGAATAGCCACTCAACAGTCACCCAGTGGAGACAGGGCCCTGGAAACTGTTAACTCCAAGAACAGATCACCTTAGCTGCAACATAACGAACAAGAAAACTTCACTACCACCACCAGAATAGCCACTCAGCAGTCACCCAGTGGAGACAGGGCCCTGGAACCCTGCTGTAGAGAAGCTCCTGCCTCCATAAACCTGTTTGCAAATAGCAACAGGAGAAGCAGCAGGAAAGATAGTCCCTCCCTCACTTCCATCTTCCAAATCTCCCATGTGCAACTAATTTGGAGGACTGAATTGTAAATCAAACCCCGGCTGGAAGAGAGCCTAGGAAATGCAGTTTTTAGCTTTCCGGCCTGTGAACCATGGAGGGAAAGTGAAGTGGATGATGAGTGCCAGTTTCTCATATTCACATCTCCCACTTCCTATCCAACTGCAATGTCCATCACTTGGCAAAGCAATTTTGAAACTTTGAAAGGCAGTCAATGGGGTAGAAGTTTTGGTTGACATTAGTTGAACACAGCTACTCTCTGAGTGTCAAAGGGCTGCACTAGTAGCTTCTTGGGTGAGGAGCTTCCTGGGCCTGCACTTGGCCTATGATGCTTCTGCCTCAAAGATAAATGAGCTGAGGATTAGTTTATACCCTGCGAGGTCCTCAGAAGAACACAGCGTAATTGAAGTTAATGTGCTTTCTTTACAAGCATTTAACCAAGCTCAAAAGTGTCTGTGGACAGTTGGCTTTTAAGGCGTCTAAGAACATGGTTACAGAGGGCCTCTCACCAACCACCAGCTTCTAGAGAAGCCCGTGTGGGATGGGGATGCCTCCACGGCCTTTGCTCTGCTTCACAGCTCACCTACACAAGTCTCATGTCAAGTCAACTCTGCTGGTCACATGGGTTTCTTCCCTGTCTCTCTGTGTTTCTTCTCTTCTTAGAAGAAAACTGGTCATTGGATTTAAGGCCTACCCTAATCCAATAGGACCTCATTTTTAACTAATTACATCTGCAAGACCCTATTTGCAAATATGACCACATTCTGAGGTTCCAAGTGGACATGACCTTTGAGGGAACACTATTCAACCCACTATAGTGACCCTTTCAACTGTGCACTGTGCAGAAGATTTGTGTTTTCTTGCTAAGACAAACCCTAGATCCAGTACACCATTCCTGTTTGAGGAACAGTACCTGTGACCATCTCTTCATCCCATCTCACTCCCTAACTCAATCCAAATTTCTAATTTCTGCATTTGAAATTTCTGCATTTCTGTTCAATATGTGATCCTCTAGGGTATATCGTAGTCACGCCATCCTTTGTTTGGTGGTGATCACATGTGTGGTTACAGAATCATGGGCATGGCTCGGTTGAAGATTATATATGCTGGATATATGTCTTCATATTTTATTTATATGGCTGTATTTTTCTACCTAAGCGAAAAACCTTTTCAACAGGTTAACTTTCCCGAGGTGAGGAAGTCCAAGCCCAGAGCATTTTAACAACAGGTGACATTTAGCAGGCACACTGCAGTCAAGCTGAGGGATGGCCAGGGAACTGCCTCAGAATCCCAGACCTGATTGTTGCCAGACTTCCCCTTGAAGTTCCAACCATACTTGCAAGTTTGCAAGTTGGATCACTTCCTTTTCTTTTTTTTTTTTTTTTAATTGTTTTGAGATGGAGTCTCGCACTGTCACCCAGGCTGGAGTGCAGTGGCGCGATTTCGGCTCACTGCAAGCTCCGCCTCCCGGGTTCACGTCATTCTCCTGCCTCAGCCTCCCGAGTAGCTGGGACTACAGGCGCCCGCCACCATGCCCGGCTAATTTTTTGTATTTTTAGTAGAGACGGGGTTTCACCGTGTTAGCCAGGATGGTCTCCATCTACTGACCTGTTGATCCGCCCTCCTCGGCCTCCCAAAGTGCTGGGATTACAGGCATGATCCACCATGCCCGGCCTGCAAGTTGGATCACTTTCTTTGTGGGAGTCTGATGGACTGAGGAGGGCTATCTAACTATTAAGCATTAGCAGTATGCAGTATGGTGCAGCAGTTCTGTATCAAGAATTCCTGTGTAGAGTTTTTATGTGCATTCAATGCATTGATGGTTTCATTTATTGACTTTGCAGGCATTTATGAAGTTCTTACTGTATACCTGTTATCATAACTGGCACTGAAAACATAGAAAAAATAAAAGACCAGAATAGTTCCCAAAGGAATCAAATTTCATACTTGTATCTTCGTGGACACTGATACAATGCTAATCTCTTTCCTGGTCAGTCCAGAGCTTTGCTGATCTATAGACTCAATCACAAGATGCCTATTTCAAGTTGAAAGTGGATGAGAAATTCTGGTTGTGGGTATGCTTGTCCTTATGTGGAAGATGCCAGTCATTCTCTCTTTTGTCATTTAACCTATGTTGTCATATCCCTAACGATCTCTGACCTTGCAGCCCTTAAAAAGAATGATGCAATGCTATATATGCTAGGCATGGAAAGATGTCCTAGATACAATATTCAGTGAAAAAAGCAAGTTTCAGGATAGTATATAGGGTATAAAACCGTTTTTTTTTTTTTGTTTTTGAAGTACTGGAGAAATGTTGTTCTGGGACCAGCAGCATGAGCATTACCTGGGAACTTGTTGGAAATGCAAATGCTTAGGCCTCACCCCAGACCTACTGCATCAGAAACTCTCAGTATGGGTTTGGGAATCATGAACATGACCCCCAGGTGGTCCCAATGAATGCTCAAGTTGAAGACCTGCTGCTCTAGCGTGTACAGTGTCCCAGTATTGTTTGTTACTGTATATAGTATCCTAAGGTCTAGTGTGGGTTTGTCACAGCTTTATAACTGGCTTATAGTTACAGTCCCTGTAAATGAATTGCTTGTTATAAAGAATTTTGATTACATTATTTTTGGTTTATTGTATTTGTATATACATTTCCTTTACAAAATCAGTAAAATACAAAATCAACAAATTATAGGTACTGGAAAAAATGCTGCTGACTATATGAAAACAATCTCTAGATGGCTGTACATTAAGCCAGTGCTTTTCAGACTCTGATTTACATACAGATCACTTGGGGGATCTTGTGAAAATGCAAGACTGGATTAAGGCCTGAGGTCCTGCATTTCCAACCAGCTCCAGGTCAGTGCTGCTGTTCTATGGGTCACATTTTGAATAGCAAGCCACTAAAATGTTATCCATAGTTATTGTTGGAAGGTCAAATGGTGGGGAGTTATGCTTTGTACATTTCACCTTTGCGCATTATTTTTTAAAAATATTTTTTACAAATAACTATATTCAGAGAAAGGATGAAAGATTTTTAAAGTCTTTCACCAGAATTTGCCTTACTTTGACATCTCTCTGCTATGCAGGCTTAGCCTTGAAACACATTTCCAAGAGTGAAGCAAAAGGAAACTCATTTATTGGCCCTAGAAATCCCCCCACTGATACTGTAGAAATGAATGTTAAAAAGCAGTGGTGATAGGTATAGAGGGAAGTAGGAAGAAATTCATATTAGCTGGAATTTTTTTAGTGCCAGTATTAGAAATCTAACTGAAATGGGCTTAAGGAGATAAAGGACATTTTTAAGAAATCTGAGGGAAATGCTTGCTTTCGTCATGGCTGAATGAAGTGTTCAAACGATGTAGTAACGAGATCTGCTTTCTTCTGCAGTGGCTTTATCTTCAGGCAGTTCCTCTTTCCCTAGGGTGGCCACCAGCAGCCCTAGGCTCTGCTTCTATGATTAGAAACCACAGCAGAATGAGAACCTCCCTTCCCAGCAAAAATTCCAGGGACGACTCCCATTGGCAGGAGCCCGTCTCTGAAATTTTCGCAGTAATTTTGATTGGCTAGACTTGGCCACAGGCCCACTTCTGAAGAAGTCTGGGGGTGGTGTCAACAACATCCACGACAGCTGAGAGGAAGGGGTGATTCCCCAAAGGAAAATCAAAGTTTTGATACAAAAACAAGATGGAATAGATGTAAAACTGAGAGATGGTGTTCTGTTATTGTGCCAGTCTTCCAGCCCAATCCTTTCATTTTGCTTATTTGGAAATCAGTTTAAGGGATTTATTCAAGGTCACATGGGTAGTCAACAGCAGAGCAAGACTTAACAACTTCTGCCCTATTTCTACATCCTCTCTACTGTAGTACTACCACCTTCTTGGAAACTAGGAATGAATCAAACATGGAGCTTCTATAATGCTTGCCTTATCTTTGAAATGTCTTCTTAAATACTGTATTTCATGATATTGAATTTAAAGGAACTCTAATTGCACATCTCTCATCTTTGACTCTCCTACATTGACTGCCTGGAGTAAGAAAGCCACATTCTTTCTGTGATAGTAATCCTTGCTACTCCTTTCCTCTTTGGGGAAACAAGTCAAAGCTTGACAAAGTGTAGCTGCTGATCTATTTGAACGAAGTTCGATCCCTAACCAGTGATCCCATGAATGAGGTGGATGCCCTATGGATGGAGAAGCTCACACCGGCCTCTGCTTTTTTTGTGGTATATTTTATCCCGAGAGCTTGATTAATAATCTAGACTGGGTCCTCCCTTTGGGTGGGTATGTTGCCCTCCCAATTTTCCCAGGCACAGCAATATCTCTGCAGACAGGTACGGGCATGCATCAGAAATCTGGAGGCTCGCCCAAAAAGTTATGTCTGCTGTTTGTGAAGGGGCAATGTAGCAATTATATGAGTAATGCAGTGGCAGATCTTCTATGAGAAATTAAAACTGGAGAAAGAGGGCTTTCCTCCTTGAAGGAAGGGTGTTGGGTGAACTAACACTATTTTCTCCTGCCCTTTCCCCCAATCTCAATCCCTTTCTCTCCAAACATTCTTCCTTGAGCACCCCACTCTGGCACTCAAAAAGCCATGGGAATGGGAAAGAAGTGGCTGGAAGTAAACAGCCTGCTTACTCACAGCAACTGAAAATTTTGTTTCGACGATTCTGGTTCCAGGGGCAGGAGCTGAAGATTAATGCCTGGAGTCTGCCCCATTCTGAGAGCAGCAGCCTGGCTCCTGGTGGCTCCAGCAGCAGGTAGGAAAAAAATGTTTGTTCTTACCCTTTTTTATGAAATATAATCTGAAGACAAATTTAATGTTAAATTCCTGTACAATGGGCACAGTAGAATCATCGAAGGGTTTAAATAATTTGATTTGTCTGCAAACCAGCCCAAACTGCTGAGGGAGTTGGTTCTGCTGCTGAAGTTGATCTGTCTCATGATTTATTCTTTAGGGAAGGGGGTACCTTGGGTTGTCCAATGTAACAGCCACTGCTGTCAGGGCTAGGAAGAAACTCACATCTTCATGACTTGACAGTGCCTGTGCTTTCTGTACTTTTGCTTACAGTGTGTGTGTTTATGTACGTGTCCTGTACTCTAGACACACACTTGCCTTGGTAAGAACACTCTCAAAAACACAGATGATAACCTGACCAGAAGACCGGTCCCTTTGATGCACCGTTTTATTCTAAATGTTTCAAGAGCCCAACAATGACTTCTTGTAAGACACCATCATAAGTTTTTAAAAAGGAAGTTATTAAGAGTCTGGGAAACATTAAGTAGGTGTCGGTTACATTAGTATCAGTTACATGCTTACCCTCTGGGTTGGAAAAGGAGACATTTACATATTTGGGGTTCCTGCACTTCTTTTATGAGGGGTATAACTTAGCAAAACTAGACAAGAAACTGTACAATGAATACAATGAGCTGTTACAGAGTTTGTCATAACCAGATCCCAAGTGTTGTAAAAGTAAAATATGATGCATGTGTGATAGAAGGAAGTGATAAAGGGAATATGGAGAAGAACAAAGTGGAGTTTTATGAGAATTTCTAGGTCTACTTTTAAAAAACAGACTAAGTTTGTGAGTCAGTAACTAGGCAATCAGTTCTCAGAGAAGCTACTTATGAACTGTGTCATCACATTACTTTTAAGATGACCAAATATTGAGGCTATCTGTTGTTTGCCATTGTGAGTGTGTGCTTGTGTTTCTGCATGTGTATTTATGACAGAGAGAGAGAGACAGAATATGAGGGAGGGAGAGAGGAGAAACTCTCATATATTGGCTTACAGACAAATGCTGGGTCATTTAAAAATGCATCTCTGTAACCACTTGTTCTGGAAACATTAATCACCACCTTCTGTGTTTTGGGCACCGTGCTGGGTCCTGGCTGTATACGTGTGTATAGTGTGTGGGGCACAGTGCTAGGTCCTGGACGATATATGTGTGTATTTTGTGTGTGTGTGTGTGTGTATAAAATGCGAAATTTCTTCTTTAGTAACCTTTACCTACCTCTTATTCGTGTTGCCAACAAAAAGACAACCGCAGAGTTTTAGTGCAGTTACCGTAGCAGAATTCTTAAGGTGGCCCAGTTACCGAAACTGCTTGTGTACTGACCTACTATAAAAATATGTATTGTCTATATATACTTGGGAATGACACCCTGTTGAAAATAAATACTGTGTTCCTCTCAGTACTGGGCTCAAGCTTCCTTAAAATCCAGTTCTCCAAGGCCAAGAATAGTGAGAGCACTGCTATGAGATTTGGACCCTGTTTGTGATCCCTGAGTTCCCTGGGCAAGGGCCCTGGTTCTTGACTAAGGGCAGGCTCTAAGGCAGGGACCAAATACCTTCTCTGCCCTGCCCTCTCCCCAAAACCCTGGGAATGAAGTTGAATGGGGAGTGGGGTGGGTGGAGCCCCTTCCCCTTTGGAAGACTCTTCCCTGGGTGTCTCCAAGGGAAGCTTCTTTTCTCTTTTGCATCGTTCTGAATGCCCTAGGCCCTCAACAAACATTCTTGAACTTCCTTGCATGTTAGCATGGGGCCCTCACCTGCCCTAAGAGGCTAACTCCTTAGCTGGACTGAGGCAGGCCCACAGGCAAGGTTGATAGATGTAAAGGTCACCTCAGTACCAGCACATGCGCTTCCTTTTCACTGCTTCCTTACAGCTGCTTCTTCTCTTGGTTGCTATAAATAACATCCTTCCCCACTCTGGAAAATGTCTGAGTTTTTCATTGATGGTTCCCCAGCTCCTCACATCTCCTAGTTCTGGTGAAATATGCTGCCATGGGGGAAATGACAAAGCAGAGGAAGAAATCAGCAGCAATATCAGTAACAGCACCCAGAATTTGCTGAGCGCCAGCTATGTGCCAGGTACTGTGCCAAAGGCTTTATATACCTGATCTAATTTATTCTTTACAACAACCCTATGAAGTAAGGACTACTGGTATCCCCATTTCATAGAAACAAACAAACAAAACAAAACAAAAAAATTTAAAAAATGAAACCAAAATGGACGCTTAGCCTTTTCTCTGCTGCTGGGGGATTCAAATCTAAGTGCCCGACTCCAAAGCATTCGACCACAGCCTGTGATGACAGTGAAAATCAAATTGATCTTGAAAGTTGGCCAGGAGAAGACAGTACAGCTCTGTGAGGCGGACACTTAGGCAGAATCCCTTCTGGCCCTCTTAGCTCCCCTGTTCTTCCATGGAGGCTCTGGAAAGGTCTGCTGGAAACCACCAGGGAGACCAAAGGACTTCCTCTGCTGCCTGTGAGTTGTCTCTCCAAGTGTCCTGTCGTGCCTCCCTTTGAGGTCTGGCAGCTGACATTTATCTTGGTCTTTGTTTACAAACAAGGGCTGTGCATCTTGTTCTTTCCTTGCTGTTCAGGGCTGACTCTAACTCTGCAGGAACATATGTTTGACTTCCACTATGCTGCTGTTTCCGGAGACAGAGTCCTGCTTTAAGAGGAGTCAGGAAGTGTCCACACTTGTTCTTTTCCTTTCCTTGAGTTTCAGCTAATATATTCCCCAGAACCTACCTAGAACCAAGAGTTCTCCTCTTGGGATGGACTCCTAGTACCTGTTTGAAACTACTCTCAGGTAGAGTTTGGGAAATCTCTAACCTGTTTGCCTGTGGTCCTACAATTAACCAGTCTTGTGATAGCTCATTCCCAAGCTGTCACAACTGTCACAACTCTAACCTGTTCCTGTGTGTATCTATAGGCAAATCTTCTGTAATGTGGATCTTGTCTCACAAGACTAGGGATGCCAGAGGAGGGCCAAGGTCAGCCTCCTTAGCACCGAGACCATTGGATGACTCTGGTTAACTTGAGCAGCATACCGAGACCTATCCCCTTAAACGTCTTAGAAACTATTTTTATTGTATAACTTGGTAATGAATCAGTCAAGTATCACCTTCTTTGATGTTTGGTCTTAAGTTGCTTATTTTCATTTTCAAAGAGTTTCTCTCATTTTGAATTTTTAAAAAAAGAGAATAAAAGAATTGCAGATTTGAAACAACAGAAAGGAAGAAGACTAATATTAATTGAACAGGTAGTGTGTACCCAGTGTTTTACTATCCTCTTTACATGTGATACACCATTTAATCATGACAGAACCTGGCAAAGTAGAAAGACCCATTTTACAGTTGAAGACATTAAGGTTTAGTAAAAGTTCAGTACTAGGTGTGATGGAGGCGGCATGTAAATGGGGGTTGTAATTTGAAGCTCAAGTTGTTTCCCTTATTCCATGCTGCGTCCACCATGGCGCCTGGATTACAAACTCCTTCCCAGTGGACAGGGTGTGCTCAGATGGTTCATCTCATTTAATCTTCACAATCCTGGGATATAGGTACATGACACTGATTCAGCAGATGGGGAAACTGAGACTCAGAAGATGCTGCTGGGTTTATTTAAAACCACTTCCTATTATGGCTTTAAAAAGTTTCCTCCTCATCTCAAAGACAGCTGACTTCCTGGGAAAATGGTGTTTACATGAAAAAATTTAATCTCCCAGATCCTAATCAACAATCATCTATTTGTATCACTTTAGATTTTTCAAAACCTTGATCTTAGCAATATGTGTTTACTACTTTGTTCTACTTCATTTCTAACACAATTTTATTTCATAGACACAGGCTGATATGGTTTGGCTGTGTCCCCACCCAAATCTTGAATTGTAGCTCCCATAATTCCCATAATACATGTCGTAGGAGGGACTCAGTGGGAGGTAATTGAATCATGAGGGTGGGTATTTCCTGTGCCGTTCTTGTGATAGTGAATAAGTCTCACGAGATCTGATGGTTTTATAAAGGGGAGTTCCCCTGCACATGCTCTCTCTCTTCCCTGCTGCCATGTCAGATGTGATTTTGCTCTTCCTTTGCCTTCCACCATGATTGTGAGGCATCCCCAGCCCTGTGGAACTGTGAGTCAATTAAACCTGTTTCCTTTATAAATTACCCAGTCTCAGCTGTGTCTTTATTAGCAGTGTGAGAACTAATACACGAGGAAATGTCAATGAAATGACATACTTGTCATTTACTATATGAATATAGTTTTCTATCATATTACTCAGGCCAATTCCTTATTATTGAGCATTTGAGATGGTCCAATGAATGCAACTTTTTAACTTTTTCCTTTGGGTTTTTCTTTCAGACGTGTCAGTCTGTTCAGGCTGCTATAATAAAATATCATAAATTTGCATGGCTTATGAACAATAGAAATTTATTTCTCACAGTTCTAAAGGCTGGAAAGTCCAAGAACAAGGTGCCAGCTGATATGGTGTCTGGTGAGGGTCTGCTTCCTGATAGATAACCATTGTCTTACTCTAACTGGTGGAAGGTGCTAGCTAGTGGGGGTTCTTTTTAAATAAGGGCACTAATCCCAATTATGTGGATTCATAAGGATTTCAACCTATGAATTCTTGGGGTACACAAACATGCAGACAATATCATTCTGTCCCAGTCCCCCAAAATTCATGTTCTTCTTTCATGCAAAATACATTCATTGCATCCCAATAGCGCCAAGAGTCTTAACTTATTTCAGCATCAACTCAAAAGTCTAGAGTCCAAGGTCTCATCTAAATAGCCTCTAAATTAGATATGGATGAGATTTAAGATATGATTCATTCTGAGGCAAATTGCTCTCTAGCTATGAATCTATGAAACCAAACATGTTATATGCTTCTATGATACAGTGGTAGGATAGGCTTAGAATGGACATTCCCAATCCAAAAAGGAAAAATAGGGAAGAAGAAAGGAGTAACTGGTTCTGAGCAAGTCCAAAACCTTAAAACTCAAAAACAATCTTTGGCTTGATGCTGTGCCCTCCAGGCACACTGGGGCAGAGACTCTGCCTTCTGGATCCACTGGAGTGGCAGTTCTACCCTCACAGATTTGTCGGGCAAAGCCCATGCCACAGCTGTCATGGTTCGGAGTTGTGTGCTTGTGGTTCTTTGGGGCTGAAATGCACACCTGTGGCAACATCTATCTAGGGTCATGGGGGCAGCCTCACCCCCATGGCTGCACTCCGCATTGATTTTGGTGCCCTAATGGTAGTCTATGATAACCCTGTGCTTGATGGGGCTTTTGCACTCTGGGCCCATGATGAAGGTGACAGCCGTAATATTTTCTGAATTTCCTTCAGAGCCATTCTTCCATTGTCTTGGACAATAGGTCCTGGTTTCTGTTTAGATAGTTGACTAATTTCCTTGTCAACTATCGTTGTCATTTGGCCACACTCTTGATGTTTTCTCCCAAATATACGTTCTCATTCTTTACAATATGGATAAGCTGAGAATTTTCTAAATCTTTCAGCTCTGCTTCCATCTGGATTAACAATTTCATCTTTACGTCATTTCTCTCTTCTCACATTTTAGTATAGTCAGCCAGGAGAAGCCAAACCATACCTTCAACACTTGACTTAGAATTTTCCTCAGCCAAATATCCAATTTCACTGCTCACAAGTTTTTCCTTCCACAAAACACTAAGACAAAGACACAATTCAACTAAGGTATTTGCCACTTTGTGACAAGGATCACCTTTCTTCCATTGTTTAATAACATGTTTCTTGTTTCCCTCTGAGATCTCATCAGAATGGCCTTCATATCCATATTTCACCAATATTCTGTTCACAACAACCACTTATATATTCTCTAAGAATATTAAGGCATTCTCTACAGCTCTTCTCTTTTCTTTCCGAGTCCTCACCAGAATCACTTTTAAGGGTCTATCTTAGGAGGACACAAAAGTTCAGACCATAGCAGGGGAGTATGGCCTCCAAAGAAGAAATCACTGAGTCAAATAGAATGACAAATTTTATAGCTCTTCTGGCAAATTGCCAGATTGATTTCCTCAGAAACCAGCAACAAATACAAGCATTGTCTCCCGACAGTCCTAGGCTGCCCTGTTCTTTATTAAGTTGAATTCATTTATAGTTCTCCTCTCCAAAAGCTTTGGGGGCATTGATATTAGAGTGTCTTTCTCCCTATCACTGAGCCTTCTAACTGAGGACTGACACTGAGCCAGCTAACAGCAGCAATTCCTCCAGTGAGGGTAAGAAGACGTTAAATGCCATGTTCCGTGGCCTAAAGGAATTGGAGAGGTAGAGGAAATGCATGGGACAAATTGAGAAGGAAAGAAAACTAGGTGAAGAAGCCATGATAAACAGAGGTGTAATGGATGATATGGGAAAATTAATCCCTTGGGGTTCTTGAAATAAAGACCAAGATGTGAACTATATTTATTTATTGGTTTAGGTGGTCACCAGTCTCCAAGATAGCCCCTAATGATGATATTAGTACCCTGTGTTGTCCCTACCCACATTCTATAAGCATTGGTCTGTGTGGCTGGAATACAAGAGAAGTGATGATATGTTACTTCTGTATTAGAATGTGGAAGATGTAGCAGCTTCCATCTTGGCCACTCATTCCTCTCTCACACTCTTGGATCACTCACTCTGAGGAATCCAGCTGCAAGTTGAAAGCAGCACTGTGGAGAGGCCCACGTCATGAAGAGCATGGTGGTGACAGTGTTCCAACTGCAGCAGAATCCCAAACCACACCTTCACAAGAAAACCTGCACCATCTGCTCAACTAGCTCCTTGTTAAACTGAATAGACTGTATCAGTTATCTATTGCTGTGGAACGAAGCACCCCAAAATATAGTGGCTGAAAACAACAATGATTTCTTGTTTCTCACACTTCTTTGGATTAGTTAAGTAGCTCTCATGCTGTCTTCTTCCTAGACTTACTCGTGTGACTACAGTTAGCTACAGATTTAAAAGGGCGTCACTCCCATGTCTGGGGCCTCAGATAGAGATGGTTGGAATAGCTGGGACTCTAACTTCTGTGATTTTCTTATAGGCTTTAGGACAGTGCAATGTTCTCAGGGTACCAAGAGGATAACAGTAAAAGCTGCGAAGCCTCTTCAGATCTGGGCTTGGAAGTTGCACAGCATTACTTCTGCCACATTCTATTGGGTAAAACAAGTAAAAAAGGTTAGCTTAGATTAAGAGATGTGGGAATAAACTCTACCTCTTAATGAGAAGATTTGCAAATAATTTTTGGTCACTTATAATCCACAGGTCTACCATCTGGAAATAATTATTTGCATTCTTCCCATATGCAAAATACACTCATCCCTCCAAGACACTTAAAGTCTCATCTTTATGTGTGTCTTAATGATTGTGTCTGGTTTGAAGTCCATGATTTTTTGATCTGCCATCCGGTCCAGACATAAAATTTCTCACATGTAATTTCTCTTCATCCAGAAATGAGATTTGCCTTCCAACATAGCATATCCTGCCCCCTGTTCATTTCCTCTAAATTATACTTACAAGTTAAACCATACACCCACCATACAATGTTGAAACAGGGACATGGTAACCTTAATATCCTCATTCAAAAAGGAGGGTAATGGAGGCAATAGCAGTAATTGGTCCATAGTAATTCTGACATATGTATCTGGGCACATATTTTCAGATTCCTCCACTCAAGCAGGCAGAATTCCTTGATTAGAATCTGGCTCTACTCCTGACTCAACGCTCTGGGTTCTTGATTCCATCTTCTGAAATAACTTTTTTTTTTTTTTTTTTAAGAAACAACCTATGTTTTCAGCCAAGTATCTCTCTCAGCCTGTTGCTTGCTTGTAGAAAGTTGGGAGCCCAGAGGTCTCTTATCATCTAAACTGTTATTTATATAAAACTGTTCTTCAATCTGATACAACTCCTTTAAAAACTTTATCGGTTTTCCATGTATCATATTATTATTCCCTCTATTAGACAAAATCTATACCCATAATTCTTTCTGGGACAGGCCTCTCTCTACTAATGCTCTCTCCACACTAATGTTACAATAGAAATATAATGCAAGCCACATGTGTGAGTCATATATATGTTTTTTTGAAATCCTAATAGCCACATATTTTAAAAGAGTAAGAAGAAACAGATGAAATTGTAATATATTATTAGATGCAGTGTATCTAAAACATTATCATTTCAACATGTAATCTGTATAAAAATTATTGAGATATTTTAAACTTTTCCATACTACATGTTTGAAACCCAGCATGTATTTTACACTTACAAAACATCTCAATTTGGACTAGCCATATTTCAAGTGCCCAGTAGCTACACATCACTAGTGGTTACCATCCTGGGCAGCCCAGCTCTATATTACCCAGAGATATTTTGGGATGAGGCTTCTACGAATCTTAGAAGCCCTTTCATCCAGTTGAGAGTCTACTCAGAACTTCCTAAAGTCCTTTAGAGGCCTTAATACAGGATTTCATAGCCACACTCTAGATTAATCTTTACCCTGAAACCATTTTTTACTTTGAGAATCCTTTGCCAGCTGGAGAAAATGGAAATGAGGAACAGTCTTACATTCTAATCCAGCAAGTCCTGGGACCTGCTCATTTCCTCTATGTTGTGCTTGCAAACTAAATGATTCCTTCTTTAATTCATCCGTCTTTCTTCTATACCTTATCAGGCAGTGTTAAAAATAAAAACAAAAAACTATTTTAGCATTTTGTGTAGAAATAGCATTAGCCAGACCCATAAGCGTATCAGGTACAGTTTTTGCTTTACAAGTTACCACAGGAAATTATTTTGCTGATTGTTTCAAAAATATGGGTTTCCCTTTTTCCAGACTCCAGAAATAATTTCCTCTCTGCTCTTTCAGCCTCTGCCCACCATGTGGTCCCAAAGCCAATGCCACATATTTTAATTTTTGTTTTGTGGCAGCACTCCACTCACCAATTTTTGTTTTCATTGCAGAGTAACAAGTGATTCCGACGCTTAGTGACTTAAAACAATAATTTGTTATTTCTCATGATTCCATGGGTTGCCTGTCTAGCTTAATTGCTACTGGTATTACCTGGGCTTATGCACGTGGCTGCCTTCAGCTGGAAGATCAACAGGGGCCTGGGCTTAGCTGGGACAGCTGGGCCTCTCTCTGTCCATCTGCTCTTTCATCCTTCAGGAGGCTAGACTTTCTCATGTGGTGGTGGCAGTGTTCTGAGAGTACAGTACAAGCTTCAACAGGCAAGCATTTATCGAGCTTCTAACCATGATCACATCTACTCATTCCATCCACGTGACGAAACCCGGCATCGCATGGGAGGAAACTACACAAGGGCATGGATCCTGGGAGGCATGATGAGTTGGGGAATAATTAATGTAAAATCTACCACTAGATCTCATAGGTATTTTATGTATTACATAAGATATTTGTATCTAAAGCACTTTTTAGCACAGTCCTACTGCACTGCAATTTGCCCAAGGTCCCACAAAGAGTGACTGAATTTGGTTCCAATGTTGCTTTTACTTCACATTTGGAAAGATTCCACCCATGCTTGCTCAATCTAACAAGAAACAGAGTTGAGCAGATGGGACAGGTTTCCTGGCAGAGGTGTGACTTGGAATTCCACTGCAGTTTTCAATACAGTTACTTCTCACACAGAGAGACCTCACAGGATCCCTTGCAATAGATAACGTTCAATAAACACATGTTTCTTGATGCTCCTTTTGTTCCAGAGAGGAACCTTGCCCTCCTTTAGCGGAGATGTTGACTCTCAGCAACGACAGCTGAGCCTGTAGTTTTTCTCTGTTCACAGTTGTCACCTGGCCTTTCATTAATATACAAGAGAAAGCAGAGAAAGAGTAATTGAGGTATGAATGGCCCAATTTTCTTTTCTATATTTCATGCTAAAACTTCTGTGGTTTTGATAGATTTCCAATTTAAAGGAAATTGGCTAACACTTATTCAGAACTTTTGTGTTAAGTGTGAGACATTGTATAAAAGCTTCAACTACATTAACTTATTTAATCCTTAAAGCAGTCTGTTTTACAGATGAGGAAATAAAGCACAGAGAAACTAGGTAACAGCCCAAGGTCACACAGCAAATAAGACGTGGAGTAGGGGCCTGACCCCAGGCAGCCCAGCTCCGAGGTCCATGTTTCTAATCACTGTCCCACAGCTGTCTACATACAGGGAAAGCAAAGAGACCATGAAATCAGAGAAAAGCAAAGTGTGGAGTATAGCAGAAATCAGAGCAACAGTCTGATGCTGCATATATTCTTTTCAGGTATTCGGTCCTTGGGTGATCTGTATAAACTCTTTTAGGACTCTAATTTCTTTTGGTCACTTGGTTTCCCAATTCGGCACATGGGTTGGGAGGTATTTTTTTTTCTTAATTTGTCTCATTTGATTCTTATGTCTGAACTGAGCTTGTTAAATTGAAAATATTCTCATGAGTTATGGAAATAATGGCTTGGTGGCCCTGAACCCTGGCTAGAGAGGGTGCCATGTCTTGGAAGACCTCAGCAGGGCTCCTGCTAACGTGGTGGAGAACACATAGTTTAGCTCCTGCTACATCAAGACTTACGATTTTGCGAAGGTGCCAAGTTTGCATGCAGGGTGACAAAAAGAAGCAGCTCACATTCACAATTAAGTCTTTTAAAATCTGCCCAAATGTTGCCGGAGCTGCATTTTAAAGCGTTTTGGCAGTTACATATTTTGGGAGATGATGGGGGAAATGTTAGAGATGTAAACGAATGTGGAAGTAGTGTAAAGATAGTGTGTATGTAGGCCGGGCGTGGTGGCTTACACCTGTAATTCCAGCACTTTGAGGGTCCAAGGTGGGCGGATCATGAGGTCAGGAGTTTGAGACCAGCTTGACCTACATGGTGAAACCCTGTCTCTACTAAAAATACACAAATTAGCCAGGCGTGGTGGCACGCGTCTGTAATCCCAGCTACTCAGGAGGCTGAGGCAGGACAATCGCTTGAACCCTGGAAGCGGAGGTGGCAGTGAGCCAAGATCGTGCTCCAGCCTGGGCGACACTGCACTCCAGCCTGGGCGACAGAGTGAGACTCTGTCTCAAAAAAAAAAAGATAGAAAAAGATAGTGTGTATGTAAAGAGAAAGTTTTGAATGAAGCAAGATCTGTGCTACTCACTCATTTTTAGATTAGTTTTTGTATGTGTGGACACAGAAAGACCTGAATCATTAATGTGTCTTCAGTTAACAGAAAAAGATTTAGGAAGTTAAGGAACCCTGAAGGCCATAGAAGATTATATATATGTACATATATACATATGTGTGTGTGTGTGTGTATATACACACATACATATAATGGGTGTGAGTCACATGTAGCTTAAGTATCTTGAGTTGGAAGCCCATACGGTGAGCAGTACAGTGAGTTGTTTCTAAATTAATTTCTATGGCAATTGTCAATGATCTCAAAAATGTTGGCCTAAATTAGGAAGCAGATTTGATCTTTGATACTGCAGGGATTTTGCCATGAATAGTTATGGGAAACTTGCCAGCTTATCAGGGTGGATTGGCATTAAGAAAGCTGGTGCTCAGACAGCTTCCCTGTTCCTCCTTCCTAGCATAAATCATTTCCTCTACTCCAAAACTCTAACAATTGGGCTTAGAATTATACTATGCACTGAATAAGAAATTGGAAACAGAAGTTCAGAATCTCTCCATGCCCTGTTTCCTCCTGACTTGCTGCTTCATTTGGGGTGTTATGTCATTTTCTTTGTTCTTCAACTTTTATTTTAAGTTCAGAAGTACTTGTGCAGGATGTGCAGGTTTGTTGCATAGGTAAATGTGTGCCATGGTGGTTTGCTGCACAGATCATCCCGTCACCTAGGTATTAAGCCCAGCATCCATAAACTATGCTTCCTGATGCTCTCCCTCCCCCAACCAACCCCTCCCAACAGGCCCCAGTGTGTTGTTTCCCCACCATGTGCCCATGCATTCTCATTATTCAGCTCCCACTTGTAAGTGAGAACATGCGGTGTTTGGTTATCTATTTCTGTGTTAGTTTGCTGAGGATAATGGCTTTCAGCTCCATCCAGGTCCTTGCAAAGGACATGATTCTGTTCCTTTTTATGGCTCCATAGTATTCCATGGTGTATATGTACCACATTTTCTTTATCCAGTCTATAACTGATGGGCATTTAGGTTGATTCCATGCCTTTGCTACTGTGAATAGTACCACAATGAACCAACGCATGCATGTTTCTTTATAATAAAACAATATATATATATATCCTTTTGGATATATACCCAGTAATGGGATTGCTGGGTCAAATGGTATTTCTGCCTCTGGGTCTTTGAGGAATCACAACACTGTCTTCCACAATGGTTGAACTAATTTCCACTTCTACCAACTGTGTAAAAGTGTTCCTTTTAATCTGCAACCTTGCCAGCATCTGTTGTTTTTTGACTGTTTAATAATAGCTGTTCTGACTGGCATGAGATGGTATTTCATTGTGGTTCTGATTTGCATTTCTCAAATGCTCAGTGATGTTGATCTTCTATTCATATACTTGTTGGCCACATGTATGTCTTCTTTTCAGAAGTGTCTGTTCATGTCCTTTGCCCACTCTTTAATAGGGTTGTTTTTTTCTTGTAACTTTAAGTTTCTTAAAATAGCTGGATATTAGACCTTCAAAATTTTTTCCCATTCTGTAGATTGTCTGTTCACTCTGATTATAGTTTATTTTGCTGTACAGAAGCTCTTTAGATTAATTAGATTCTATTTGTCAATTTTTGCTGCGGTTGCAATTGCTTTTGGCATTTTCGTCATGAAATCTTTGCCTGTGTCTGTGTCCTGAATGGTATTGCCTAGATTTCCTTCTAGAGCTTTTATAGTTTTGGGTTTTACATTTAAGTCTTTATTCCATCTTGAGTTAGTTTTTGTATATGGTGTAAGGAAGGAGTCCAGTTTCAATTTTCTGCATATGGCTAGCCAGCTCTCCCAGCACCATTCATTAAATAGGGAGTCTTTTCCCCATTGTTTGTTTCTGTTAGGTTTGTTGAAGATCATATGATTATAGGTGTCTGGTTTTTATTTCTGAGTTCTCTATTCGTTCCATTGGTCTATGTGTCTGCTCTTGTACAAGTACCATGCTGTTTTGGTTACTGTAGCCTTGTAGTATAGTTTGAAGTTGGGTAACATGATGACTCCAGCTTTCTTCTTCTTGCTTATGATTGTCTTGGGTATTCAGGCTCTTTTTTGGTTCCATATGATTTTTAAATAGATTTTTCCAATTATGTGAAGAATGTCAATGGTAGCTTAATGGGAATAGCAGTGATTATATAAATTACTTTGGGCAGTATGGCCATATTCACAATATTGATTCTTCTATCTATGAGCATGGAATGTTTTTCCATTTGTTTGTGTCCTCTCTGATTTCTTTGAGCAGTGGTTTTAGTTCTCCTTGAAGAGGTCCTTCACATCTCTTGTTAGCTGTATTCCTAGGTATTTTATTCTCTTTGTAGCAGTTGTGAATGGGAGTTCATTCATGATTTGGCTCTCTGCTCACCTATTATTGGTATATAGGAATGCTAGTGATTTTTGCACATTGATTTTGTATACTGATAGTTTGCTGAAGTTGCTTATCAGCTTAAGAAGCTTTTGGGCTGAGACAATGGGATTTTCTAGATATAGAATCATATCATCTGCAAACAAAGATAATTTGGCTTCCTCTCTTCCTATTTGAATACTCTTTGTTTCCTTTTCTTGTCTGATTGCCCTGGCCAGAACTTCCAATACTATGTTGAATAGGAGTGGTGAGAGGGGGCATTTTTGTCTTGTACTGGTTTTCAAGGGGAGTGCTTCTAGCTTTTGCCCATTCAGTATGATATTGGCTGTGGGTTTGTAATATATGGCTCTTATTATTTTGAGGTATGTTCCTTCAATACCTAGTTTATTGAGAGTTTTTAACATGAAGGGATGTTGAATTTTATCAAATGCCTTTTCTATTAGGTGCCTATTCTAAATAGGCATCTATTGAGATAATCATGTGCTTTTGTCTTTAGATCTGTTTATGTAACTAATCACTTTTATTGATTTGCACATGTTGAACCAACCTTGCATCCCGGGGATGAAGCCAACTTGATTGTGGTGGATAAGCTTTTTAACATGCTGCTGGATTCGGTTTGCCAGTATTTTATTGAGGATTTTTGCATTGATGTTCATCAAGGATATTGGGCTGAAGTTTTTTGTTTTTTTTTTTTGTATCTCTGCTGGGTTTTATTATCAGGATGATGCTGGCTTCATAGAATGAATTAAGGAGGAGTTTCTCCTTTTCAATTTATTAGAATAGTTTCAGTAGAAATGGTACCAGCTCTTCTTTGTACGTTTGGTAGAATTCAGCTGTAAATCTGTTTGGTTTTGGGTTTTTTTTTGGGGGGGGGTTTGATAAGCTATTTATTACTACCTCAATTTCAGAAATCATTATTGGTCTATTCAGGGATTCAATTTCTTCCTGGTTCAATCTTGGGAGGGTGTATGTGTCCAGGAATGTATCCACTTCTTCTAGATTTTCTGGTTTATGTCATAGAGGTGTTTATAGTATCTTCTAGTGGTTGTTTGTATTTCCGGGGGTCAGTGGTGATATCCCCCTTACCATTTCTGATTGTGTTTATTTTATTCTTCTTTATTAGTCTAGCTAGGTTTCTAGCTTTCTGTTTGTTTTTCTTTTAACAGTCAGGCTACTCTACCATAGGGCTGCTGTGGTTTGCTGGGGTCAGCTCCAGACCCTAGTTGCCTTGGTTTTTACCATATCTGGAGATGTCACCAGTGAAGGCTGTGAAACAGCAAAGATGGCAGCCAGTTCCTTCCTCTGGAAGCTCTGTACTGGGGCGTACTGACCTGTTTCCAGCCTGAACGCACCTGTAGGAGGTGGCTAGAGACCCCTGTTGGGAGGTCTCACCCAGTCAGGAGAAACGGGGTCAGGCACTTGCTTGAAGAAGCAGTCTGGTTACTTTTTGGTAGAGCAGGTGTGTACTTTTTTTGTGCTGGCTGGAGATGTGAGCAAGGGACAGCTCTCAGCTTCATTTTTCAGTCGCTGACACAGCAGCTCATCTCCAGACCAGGAAATCCTTATTCTGGCCTGACTAGAAATTGCTCCTTTTCTTTTAACCCTGTCTACTTTTCTCACCGGACCTCTTCAGATCCTCTTTCTCTGGTGGGTTAAATCAGATCCTGCTACTGCTACCTGGTAACACAGCTCTGTCTGGGCCCAGAGAATCAAATGGGTACTATCAACCACACAGGCTGCTCCAGAACAACTGCATTCCATGTTGTGGCACAGCAGGCATGAGTCTGTGATGAAGGCATCACACTCACCCAAAGAACAGAGTGGGCTACAGTTGCTTAAGTTTATTTTACAGTGTTTCTGTTTAAATTTAGACAGCAGCTGCCTGTCCTTTCAGTTGAGCTCTTCCCATCATAGCAGAGAAGCCAGCCAGCCAACAGCATGGCACAGCGCCATGCTCCTATTCCTTCTCAGGTCCTAGGCTTACATCTGGCCCTTGGGAAAGACCTCAGGTGAAGAGCTATCTTAGGCCTCACTGTCCAGTTAGGAATTGTTCCTTGGGTGGCTTACACATCTCCAATGGGGAAGCAGAATCTTCTACCCAGAGGTAGGGCTGGATGGTGCATTGTTGTTAGGACTTGAGAGAACTAAGAAAGGCTTTCTGTCCCCCGAATATTCTCCCAGAAACTTTTCACACTATTTAGGAATAATTTATTTGTGTTAACAAATAATCTTTATTTATTTTTAAACTTTTTTTAGAGACAGGGTCTCCTTATGTTGCCTAGGTTGGTCTCAAACTCCTGACCTCAAGCAATCTCTCACCTCAGCCTCCCAACAAATACCCTTTTAGAAATGTTTATTATTTATACCTAAAAATAGGTTGCTTGTTTATCGAATTTTTACATGAATTGTAAAACAAACTGGGCACTTCCTAGAGAAGGGAAAGGGGCTCACATGTCAGGGACAAGGACAAAGAGGTTGTCTAGAATAACAGGGTATCATGCTTGGATGGAGGGGTGGTGGGGTAGGGGAAGAGCTTTTGGCAATCAGTATGTGGATTCTGAGTACCAGTGACTCCTACATCTGTATTCACAGTCCCAGATTCTCTCCAGAGTCCAAAATCCATATTTATAATTTCCCTTTCAATAGATCCATCTAAAGTCCAATGGGCACCTTAAATGCAGCATGTTTCTAAACCTAAATGCATCCTTTCTTCTTTTTTGCCCATACTCACACCTTTTCTCTAATCCAAGCCTTTTTGAATGTCCCCCCTCGACTCGATCACCCTTTCCAGAGGTTTTATCTCATACATTTCTCTGCTCTAACCCCGCACTGCCCATGGCTTCTTTCTGGCTCTCAGTTTCTTCACACAGCCAATTGCAAATGACCTTTTTATTGGTCTTTCTCCCTTCATCTCCCTGTTTCTACTTTATTTCCTCTTCCATATTACTGCCAAAATTAACCATCTGAACACAAATCTGATCACCATTCTCCTCCAAAAACGCTTCCTGTAACAATCTGCCATAGCTACAGAATAAAGTCTAAACTCTGTAGTACACTACACAGAGCCTGTCTCCATCTAGCCACTCCCCCATGTCCACCACTGGAACACAGGCTTTGGTGACACTGCTTATGCTCTTTCCTCTGCATGAAATGGCCTTTTCCTATTCTACTCCTTTCTTCACCATTCCATCAGATCTAGCCTTCTCTGCAAAGCTCTCACCATTCCATCAGATCTAGCATAAATATTGCCTTCTCTGCAAAGCTCTCTCTAGCTTCCCCAGGCCTCCCTCTCAGCGCCCAGAACATTTTATACAGTACAGCTCCTATAGTTGGAGCACTAATGTTTGGCAAGTGTCTGCACACAGGAAGTGCTCAATTAATGTTTACTATTAAATGAAGAGGATACTGGCGAAAAGAGGCTCCAAGAGATTACAGAAGGTGCCAGAGGGAGAAGAGAAAACAGTGAACAAGTTAAAACAGCAAATGAGCTATGCCATACACAATCATCAGACTGGAAGAGATTAAAAAGACTCATAGTGCCCAGTGTTGAGGGTGAAGGAGGAAAATGGGTGTTTTCATTTGCTGCTGGATGCTTGGTATCCTGATTGAGACTGTGTAGGGAAATTTTGACAACATGCCCTTAAAGAAGATGACAGGATTTGACCCAGCACTTCCATTTTAAAGAATTCCCCTTAAGGGAATGATCTGAGCAGCATTTGGTGATATTTATATAAAGATACCTGTTTATATCAATAACCTAGTGACAGCTGAAACATCTAACTACAGGCAGTTGACTAAATAAACCACAGCACATTTTTACCTTAGACTATTAAACAGCCATTAAAAGTGACAATATGGATCTATAATTATTAACATGGAAGGATAATATTTGTGATGCATCGTAGAATGAAAAAAGCTGGTTATAAAAATGTGCATATACTATGATCTCACTTAAAAATATTAGCATTAAACAATCATGAGGAATGTGTATTATAATGTTAATTGTGCTTGTTCCCAGTTGATGGTTTCTTTACACCGTTCTATATTTTCTGAATTTTTGAAATGATTAGAATTGGTTGTATAGACACACACACACACACACACACACACACACACACACACACACACACACACACACTGCAATAAGGCTATTTCCACTAGGAGAAAGAGCAGGGAAAGCAGCCTTAGCTACGGTCGGCTAACCCTGACTTCTGGTTCCCATTGTCATAGCAGCTGCAGGGCATCCTGGCTGGTGTGGACACTGAAAGCAGCAGAGTCCTCACAACCCAGGGGGAGCCCAGTTGAGGAAAGGCTGAGCATTGCAGTGGTGACAATGCTAAGTGAAGATCCAGCAGTGTGGCAGCAACATGTGCTTCCAGATCATTCCCCAAAAGGCATGAGTCCCATGCCTTTTCTGTTAATATCCAAGCTAGCTCAGAATCCACTGGAGGATATCTGGAAGACACTAGGAGCTAAATTAGGTAGAGACCCTGAATAATTCATGGCCACAGACCTTTTCAAAATTCTACTATAGGGGAAAATCATCTTTAAAAGTCTCCGTATCAGGAATTCCAGTCTGGCTGAGCTAAATAAAACCTAGTGGGGAAGCTGGCAGTAGCTTCTGAAGCGGAGGACCTCCTCCTCTTTCCCCTCTCCCTTCCCCACTAATGTGTTTTAGTTCATAGAGTGCCTGCTGATTTCCAGTTCCATTAGAAGTACTCCAGAGTGAGTGTTTGTTGAAAACACAACCCAGGGGAGCTGAAAAGGCTTGGCTGGGCATTGCAGTGGTGACAATGCTAAGTGAGGATTCAGCAAATGTGGTGGCAACAATTGCCTCCTGATCATTCCCCAAACCCACAGGATGGCTTGATCACACCTCTGGGCCAGGCAGGAAGTCAGGAGACCCTATTTTCTTGGTGCTGGAGAACAGGGATGCTCTGCCTTCCAGAATGCTCCGGGCAGCTTGAAATGGCATGATCCCTTACCTGATTGTGGGAGCCCCCTCATCCTTTGCTGTGCCTCCCCCTGCTACTGAGCGTGCCCACTCAGGCTCCATCGCAGACCCTGCAGCCAGCTACTCCCCTCTTCAGCCCCTCAGTCCTCCCTGCAGCTGCTAAAGTGGCCTTGGCCCGGGCAATGAGCACCCCCCAGCCTGTCCCGTGCTCGCAGCCACCTCTCCCGCTGGGTGACCCCATCCGGCCCTGCCTGTTGCTACTCTCCATGTCCTTCCCCCACCCACGGAGTGCTCCCTCCTCTCGGCTGCCCATACTCATAAATCTAGAAGGCCCCAGAGGCCGGCACTGGCAGCAATTTAGCCAGAGTCTGTCCCCAGAGCAAATTGTCTGGGAGCTCTGCCAGCTTCTGAAGAAAATCTGCTTTGTGAACAGGGGAAGAAGCCTCTTTTATACTTTCTGCTAATCACGTTATTTACATAAGAGAGCCCCGTGTGTTTCCTTCCTTTCCCACAAGTCCTCACACTCAAGCCCCTGCTTGTCCTGGAGCCTTGAGGAGACAAGAGCAAGACGTGAACAGGTGGTCGACTATTGTTCAAAATATGGAGGAAACGTAAAATACATGTCCTGAAAACTCATTCAGTTTCTCAAAAGGCTAAGGCATTTTATTAAACACATTTTCTTAGTAAGGAGAAAAACAAGGCTGTAGCCCGACTGGAAAATTTACTGCGGCCCATCCTGAGCACTCCCCTCTCTTCACAAAACAAATAGTCATATGAATTGTGTCTTAAAAAGCAAACTATAATTACAGTCTCTTGCCTATAAGCTTGATTTCTCTGTGATGTTTCTAAGCTAATTTGATGTTCTCTGCCTTGACTTGTCCTTTCACTTGTGGCCTTTCACTCTCTTCCCACCCTTTTCTTCAAACGCTGGTCTTTTCCTGTTTCTTTCCTTCCCAGACTCCCTACCTCAAAAGCCAATGGAGTCCAACAGATCAAGAATGACTATGAATGACTGAGGCTTATATGTTTTAAAAAACATGGTGAAAAAGTCAAGCTTAGGTGAGGGATATCCTTCAAGTCATGAGTTCAAGAAGTTATGCCTTAACATCACTGCTCACCATCATTCAAAACATTTATACAAGGCCTCCCTTGGAATTGCCCTGAGGGGTGGTTTACAAGACACACAAGAAAAATCAATCTTGATACTTTAATTTTGTCCCCACTTGGTTACATTTCTTCTTCATCAGACTTGGCTCTAAATGACAAATCCTAAATGAAAACGAGTCATAGCCAGGTGCAGTGGCTCACGCCTGTAATCCCAGCACTTTGGGAGGCCGAGGCTGGCGGATCACGAGGTCAGGTGATCGAGACCATCCTGCCTAACACGGTGAAACCCCATCTGTACTAAAAAAATACAAAAAAATTTAGCCAGGCGTAGTGGCAGATGCCTGTAGTCCCAGCTACTCGGGAGGCTGAGGCAGGAGAATGGCGTGAACCCAGGAGGCGGAGCTTGCAGTGAGCGGAGATTGCGCCACTACACTCCAGCCTGGGCGACAGTGCGAGACTCCGTCTCAAAAAACAAAACAAAACAAAACAAAACAAAACAAAACAAAAGTCACTCTAGCAGGACAAAGGTTTGCCACCAGTAACAATGCACATATATGTATATACTTTATTTATGTATTTATTTTGAGATGGAGTCTCACTCTGTCTCCCAGGCTAGAGTGCAGTGGTGCGATCTCGGCTCACTACAACCTCCGCCTCCTGGGTTCAAGCGATTCTCCTGCCTCAGCCTTTTGGGTAGCTGGGATTACAGGCACCTGCCACCACGCCCGGCTAATTTTTGTATTTTGGTAGAGATGGGATTTTGCCATGTTGGCCAAGCTGCTCTGGAACTCCTGGCCTCAGGTGATCCACCCGTCTTGGTCTCCCAAAGTGCTGGGATTTCAGGCATTAGCCACTGCCCTGCGCGTACGTGTATATACTTTAAATAAGCCCTGAGGACAATCCCAATGGAGGCGGTCCAAGATTATTTTGTGAAAACAGGGCAATCTTCCCTTCAGGCCTAGCACCCTAGGGCAGCCATTTTGGAGGAAAACATTTCAGTTGGATGTCTAAATTCAGAAAAGTTGTATGTTGTTTATTTTTCATCCATCTTGTTGCCATGGAGGGAGGCAGTTGTGGCATGTGATGTGCACTAATATTTATGGAGTGTCTCCTACAATGAGCCCAGCTCTGAGCTGAGCATTTGGTGTGCAATAACTCATTTATTCTCCCAGCAACTCTGTGAGAAAGCAGAGGCTTTAAGAGGCAGATAACTTGAGCAAGGTTACACAAGGAGGGAGTAGCAGACCCAGGAATTAGATCCATTTTGCTGACTCTAAGGCCCCGTTTACCAACTCATCCACCTGAGTTCACCTGTTCATGCCTCCCTTGTGTGGTTCTTTCTTTTTAACTTTCAATATTTCCGTGATTTTTTTTTTCTTCAGGAACTTGGTTCCCTATTTTTCCTGGATTGTTATTAATAATTTCTAAAAGAATCCAATATATTTTATTACTACAGATTTTTGTTCTAACCCGTGACTTCACTTATAGATGTTTCTCAGTTACCTCGTGAAGGAGAGCTCTGTAGAAATATTTATCACTGGTGTACCACAAGCAGTTTGTGTTATTTTCTTTGTAAACCTTATGTGAAATCTGAATACATAAACTTATTAAATCACGCGTTGACCAGAGCCATAAAAAATGCCTGGTAATTGGTCTCTACATCCAGAGCTTGGAAATCTACCTGTCCCTGGGGAATTATACCTCCAAGGCTAACACCTGAAGGGTCCGTCTCTACCGCCTTCTTTAGTTTTCTTTTCCCATAGGCCTTTGCAGCAACAATGCGTGTGATGTAGTTTTATCCACTTAATTGTTTCTTTCTGTTATCTTCAACCTTTTGGGATGCATGCCCTGCTCTGTCTTTCTTCCTTTCGTCTCTGCTCAGGGTCCACCTGAGGCAGTGTCTGGCTCTTCTTTCTTTCGCTCCCCGCCCCCGCCAAGAGGCCTATAACCCAGAGTGAAGCTTGTAGGGCTGCTTGGTAAAGCCATTTCATTCACCTACAGCCCTGCCCCAAGTCTCTCTAAGTAGTCCCACTGCTTTCTAGCCTACTCCCCAGTGGCTATTACTAGATAAAAGTCACTAAATGAAAAACAGATATTCCCCACACAGAAGAGAGACAGAGACAGATTTTTTAATCACTAATATTTTTTGGTCTTAACTACAGTTATTTACTTGTAACCTTGGCAGCAGTTTTTGTACCACTTTCCAAAAAAAGAAAGATGGTGACTGATTCAGATAAGATGGTATCATAGAGGCCAGTGGCCATGAACTGAAATAAAGAAGAAAGAAATTCTGATAATATGAATAACAGCTTTGATCATGAAAATTATTCAGGGCAAAGTGATGTATTAGGATAACCCATTTCAAATTGTGGGGGTTTGCTGTAGTAACTGGGAAACACAAATACTTGTAGTTGTAGAACACATTGGTTTACAAGCCATCAATGCTCACAACAAAGGAATGTAAGACATTGGGGAGCTCTATTATGTCACCATTTTATAGAGGGAAAAATTGAAACAAAAAGAAGTTAGGTATCTTGGAAGGGAAAAGATTGATTAAGAACACAAGAACAGAAAACCAAACATCATATGTTCTCACTCACAAGTGGGAGTTGAATAATGAGAACATATGGACATAGGGAGGGGAATATCACACACCGGGGCCAGTTGGGATGGTGGACTAGGGGAGGGATAGCATTAGGAGAAATACCTAATGTAGGTGATGGGTTGATGGGTGCAGCAAACCACCATGGCATGTGTATACCTATGTAACAAACCTGCATGTCCTGCACATGTACCCCAGAACTTAAAGTATAATAATAATAATAATAATAAAGAAATAACAATAAAATTAAAATAAACAAGAAACAACAGAGCTAGGGTTAATATAATAGTTATAATAATTAAATGACAAGTTCAATGGACATTTTCTCTTTTGGTAATAATACTTCATGATGTATGTATGCATAGGAATCATATGATTTTTTTCAATCACTTTAGACCTATTCAGTCCAGAACTAGAAATGAAGACGGCTAACTTTTGGGTCTTGCCTCTGTGATGAGCTCAGTCACTGAAGTCTAGCCAGGCTATCCTTCAACTTCTTTATCTTTAAAGGGTTGGCATGCAGCTGGGAGTGGTGGATGGATAATAGTTATGCATATGAAGGTGTTGTGGTGGTTTAATTAATATTGATAAAATACTTGAAGATCCTCAGATGAAAGTGATCAACCAAAGAAAAATTATCATAGGATCCCTCCCTGCTCCTGCTTCAGATTTTTGGGCCAAAGTAAAAGGAGTTAACCTAGTCTGGAAAATCCTGCCACTAGAATTATGATGAAGGGTGTAGATGCTAAGCTTGTCACCCTAGTGCAGAGTGATGGTGTATTTTGGATTGCTGAAATGCTGCTGCAAATCATTGTATCCCCAGGGACAACGTCTTGTCATCCATCAAGGCTGCCACTGGAGAATTTTCTACCTCAGCAACTCCTTGCCCTTAAAGCTAGCCCATGCAAGGAAGTCACAACCTCCTTCTGATAGCTGATGTAATGTTTCTTTCTCTTTTTTTTTTTTGTGGGGGATGGATAAAAAGAACTAAAGTCTGGGACACAGCACAAATCGGTGGGTTCTAGCAGCTGTGGAGGAGAGATGTTAAGAGAAGGAGTAGTCTGTATGTACCGGATTCTTTCCCCCAGGCTGGAACCAACTCAACTCTGGTCATGTGATCAGAATAGAGGAAAAGCAAGGATTGGGGCTCAGTGGTGAGGCAACTGTAGAGATCTTGACGTGGAAGGGGCTCCTGTCCTCACTGCCTGGATGTACTGGCCATGGCAGCACTGACCACTGAGGCACCTCAAGGGCCTCCTTCCCAGCAGTGAAAAGTGCCTCAAGGGCACTCCTTCCCAGAAGTGGAAAGTGGTGTGCCTGGGCAAAAGTAGCCTTTCAGAGGAGACAGAGAGGCTTTCCACCCTCACTCTCTCAAAATTAGGAGGCTCTAGTCTGATTGAGCCCTGACAATGGTAGGAAGAGAGTCTCTATGCCAGACTTTCCCAGAGTGCCCCACCCTCAGGGCCATCTACATCAGAATCACAGGAGCGGCCTTCTGAACCTGGGCCTAGGACTCTGCATTCCACAAGCTCCCAGGTTTCTCTGAACTGGTACAGTCCCCTACCCCACTCCTTGTTGATCCAAGTCCTAACTGAAAAGTTGGTCCCAATGACCAAAACAGGCTGCATTTCCTGATCTCTCAAGAAGAGAAGAGCCATCCCTGCAGCTGGCACATTGGGTGACTGTTGCCTCTTTTGAGGACATATCTTATAAATTTCTAATCAGAGAATTCTGAGGAACAGATTCCTTTGCCATTCCTCTCAGCCACAGCCCACAATTCGGCCGAGCCATTGACAGCTACTAAGTCAGAAAACCCCGGGCCAGGCCTTTCTTCACAGTGGTTATTTTGGCTTTACAGTTCAAAGTCTGGATGGCAGAGCCTCAAGGCAAATGCTCTTATGCTCCCAGAGAAAATGATACACATTTGACCAACATTCTTGGATGCTTCCTGAATCTCTACATTTTTTTTTTTTTTAACTAAAGGAGGATTTCTGTATTATTTAGAGCTTCTCTAATGACCTGAAGTGAGGTCTGGGTGCCAATAAGTTAAGACAGCTTAGTCTTTGACCTGGGCTGAAGCCTCTCTGAAATTCCATGTCTCCCTGTATCCATCCCATGCCTTCCTTGTCTCTTCATGACTGAGCCCTGGCATCTCCCCAGCTAAGGCCTATCTCTCCTCTCCAATCCCAACTGGAGGCAAGAGGCATTTAAGCTTCCCCAGCTCCCATGTCTGGGAAGCTTAGACTGTTGGAGCATTGACCAACCATGGGATATCAGGGAATTATAAACATCTCTAAGCCTTGGTAACGTTATTTGTGAACATGAGAAGAATAATTCTTACTTTGCCAGGATTAAATCAGATTATGTATGTTAAGTGTCTACACTTGTGCCTGGCACATGGAAGGTGCTCAATAAGTGGTGTAATGTCACTCTTATCACCTCTGGGCTCTTGTAATCTCTCCCCCACATGACTCTTCCTGCCCATTTGACCCTGGTTACAGCTAAATTGACCAACAGACTCTCAGGCAGGAGGTCGCTGGGTAGAGAGACAGGGATAGTTCTCAAAGTTCTCTCCTACCCCAGCACATTTTTCAAAAGTGATTCTTCTCAATAATTTTTAAGATAAAATGTTAATGAAAACAAATGACACAGGGAGGGGAACATCACACACTAGGGCCTGTTGGGGGTTAGGGGGCAAGGGGAGGGAGAGCATTAGGACAAATACCTAATGCATGTGGAGCTTAAAACCTAGATGATAGGTTGATAGGTGCAGTAAACCACCATGGCACATGTATACCTGTGTAACAAACCTGCATGTTCTGCACATGTATCCCAGAACTTAAAGTAAAATAAATAAATAAAAAAAGATAAAATGTGAGTAAGATCAGTTAAGACTACAATTGGGCCAGGTGCCGTGGCTCGTGCCTATAATCCCAGCACTTTAGGAGGCCAAGGCAGGCAGATCACTTGATGTCAGGAGTTCTAGACCAGCCTGGTCAATATGATGAAACCCTGTCTCTACTAAAAACACAAAAATTAGCTGGGCATGGTGGCGCATACCTGTAATCCCAGCTACTCGGGTGGCTGAGGCAGGAGAATTGTTTGAACCCAGCAGGTGGAGGCTGCAGTGAGTCAAAATTGCACCACTGCACTCCAGCCTGGGCAACAGAGTGAGACTCTGTCTCAAAAACAAACAAACAAAAAAACTATGACGACAAGAGGAGAAAGGAAGCAATATGCGATGCAAAATAGATTGAGAAGGTGGTTGTGGGTATTGCTTTTTGTGTGTGTTTTAAACTTGTTTTCTCTTTCATCAACCAGTAGGAGAGTTTTCACATACATCCCAAGTCCCTACCCTCTTGTTCAACCATGATGGTGTCCCCACCCCCATCCTAGAAACTTGTTATGCCTCTTTTCCTAGATTGTGCTACAGGATGGAAGTAGAACCACATCACACATTCCCCTCTCATTCAGCCCCTTTCTTAAATGGTTCAGTTCTGCTAATGGACCTCCTGCTTCTTGGTTCTAAATACCAAGGCAGTTGTATTGCCCCACTCCAGTTCCCGTTACCAAGATCGTAGTTCTGCCTTCATCCCTGTGTCTGAATGCTAACTCCAGGACATAACTCAGTCCCCTTCTACCACTCAGACCTGACTATCTCTAACTAGTCCCTTTGCCCAGTGGCAGGACCTCTATTCTCCATCCATCACCTTTTGATGCCTACTGGCTGCCTCCCTGAACGTCAGTATATCTGCTGCTTCAATTCCCCATGGCTGGACTCTGTGTATATATTAGGCCCCCACTTCTAGTGCAACTGGTGCCCCCATTTGTTGGAATCCCATATGGAACTATCTGTGCTCCCTGGACACAGTATCTTGGTGTGGCAGAAACTCCATGTCACCTGGGCCTACCTCCTACCACCTGTCTTGCCCCTTGATGATAGGTTTCCTCTTCCTGCTACATGGTCTTTATAGTGACCAGCAGTAGCCAGGACACCAATTTCTGGGAATAAACAGCTAATAGAGCTGAAAGAACATCTTCAGGAGACAGGATAACAGAGCTGCTACTGATGTTTCCAAGGAGACCCATCCGTTGGACTTGAATAGCTGTGTCAGGGAGAACCATTGAGGAAGTTGAGTTTTTTTTCATTAACTCGGAGTACAATCTTTACCTAGAGCCAAGCCAATGAGGTTTGAATCCAAGGGAAAGCCAGCTTCCAATACAAATAGAATGTGAGACGTTTTAGAAAAGCAGGGCTTTAAGGGAGCTGAGACACTGCAAAGTAGTTACTCTAGTAATGCAAAGGGGTTGAAGGCCAGAAGGAGGCACTTTCTAACCTTCTGGGTGTTCTGAACCCCTGAACATCAGGGCAGTTTGGCTGCTGTGCATCTTAACTTCATCTCCAAGTTCTGTGGAGAGAGGGGAAAGTGCTTACATGGTGTATGGGGGAAGCTGGAAGTTTCTCCTCCTGCCAAAGAGCTGCCCACTGGTGAACCCCTTGCCTTGAATTCTCTCTTCTAAGGACTAAACACAGCTATTATGCATCCCAAGACACACTCACAAAAAAACAAAATGTGTTCCACCTGAGTTGATAAATTCTCCATTTACAGGGACTGGTTTTTAGGTTAGCTTTTTGCTATCTAGGTAATTAGACATAAGGCGGGTCCATCCGATTAGAGACGAGTAGGAGGAAAGAGTGCAGTGATGCATTGATTAAAGCATTCACTTGGGAATATGACTCTGGAGTAGAAGACATCAGACTCGGACAGTTAGCCAGGGCAGAGAGAAGCCAACACAAACAAAATGGCATCTCCACATAACTTCAGAAAGGACCAGAGTGAGGGGGTATATGTGTGTGCACATGTGTGTATCTTTCAGAGTGAAATAGATGAAGTGAATTTCTAGCTGCCATTTGTCTATATTCACAACCCTTTAGAGCCCTGTCATCTTGAGTATGTAAAAAAATAAGTGCTTGTGCTTCCCTGAAAACAGGCAAATTCTACTGATTCTTAGTCTCAAATAAACGTAAAAAGCTGTGGGCTTAAAACTCAGCTTATTTATTTATTTATTTTGATGGCACTTAGAATAAAATGTTCCAAATTGAACATTTAAAAGGGAACAAACAAAGTAACCCATTATGCAAATGGTATTATGGGATGTCGAGTCCCTGGGCAAAGGAAGATAAATGAATTTATAATTGTGTTTTAATCTTCCCTGCTGGAAACAGTTCCTTGCCTCTTTTAATCTGATGCCAATCTTTGAGTCAAGAGATGGTGACTTTAATCTAGAACTTTGTCAAGATGGCTGTCAATTGCCTTGGTTATAAACAGTCTTATAATTTTGCCTCCAAATTGTAATGTCATTTTCAATTCCCTTTATCATTACAAATAGATGTTCTGTTATAAAAAATTGAATGATGAGCTTTGTTGTATACTTTAAGTGTTATTTTTATGAAAAATGCCTAAAATTTGGAACTGGGAAATAATAGAAATGATTAAGTGATTAAGGAAACAATCTGTAATTGACATACTCCTCCCTCTAAATTACATTTTCCAATGGTTTATTTATAAAAGTTGACCAATCCGGTTTGGTTATTTCCATACATACGAGTCTGTATCTCTCCCCTGAGGAGTTTGCTGGCAGACACGCTAGGAGCAGTAATGAGTTTTCCAATCCAGACCAGCTGGAATCAAGGCTCCAAGTATTTATTCTGTGCAAAGAATGCACCACTTGTCACATAGATATAAAAATCCTTAGTGAAGCATTAATAAAGAGAGCTGTTTACCCTTTGTGTAGCTATTATAGAAACCAATAAGAATCTAGAAATGTAGGTGTTTGAGTAAGATAAATTTAATTGTGTTTTTCTCAGTCATAACTCTCCACTGTTGGTGGGGAAGAATAGAGTCTCAAGTTCTGTTAAATTACCGAGCTCTGATCCTGAAAAACATCAGTTTTCCTTCCTTAAGACCCAATTACAAAGCCTATAATTATACCATTGTCATCCAAGCAGAGGCAAATACACTTCATCTTCTGCAAAGCAATGGGCTGAAATGTAATTCTTCTACAAGACTAACAACAAGCCACAGTTATTTCAGAGTCATGGCCATGCTTGAAATTGAAGACCACTCTCCAAATACAAGCTGGCTCTCCGGTATGGCCTGATGTGCTAACTCACAGATAGTACTACTAGGAAGCTTGAACGGGGGTGATGAGTAGCTCTTCAGTCCTCCCTCCCAAGTGACTGTCTACAGCTGACAAGCCTCATTGTCCCTCCAAGCATGACCCAGCCAATGAAATTTTTGAGTAGTCTCAGCAAAGGAGTTCCTCTCGGACAAGTATAACATACAAACAATTAAGGAAATTTTGTCTAAGAGAAAAAAATTATCTTAGCATATTCCAGTTAACTTATTTTAAATAACGTTTGCATAGAAAAAGGAATTTGAGACTTCACACGGAGTCATGCTTCCAAGGCACCTATCCCCGTGGAATTGGTGAAGCATTATATCAAAACTTAATCAAAACTTGAGATTTATTTAATATGAATCAAAGTGTACCATGAAGTATATACTGTAGTAAAGACAATTTGTCTCATCTCATGGCACAACAAAGGAATATTATTTAGAAATCAAGGACACAAAAGAAATGTAGATTTAGATGTAGACCACCATCCATGGCACCCTGTAGGCAAGGGGATTTTTCTCTAAGGGCAGCGAAAAAGAATGCTGGAGTCCCAGCTAGTCCACTTTGCTGAGCTGTGAAATCTTGGGCAAGACATTTATATTCTCAGAAGCGCATTTCCAGCTCTGTGTAGTGGGGATAAGTGTACTAATGTTCCCTGTAACTTTCTCCCAGGGGTGTTATAAGGAGTCAGTGAGAAAACGCATATGACACTATTTATAAACTGTACTAAATACTATTATAATGGTGGTCAGTCTTCTTTTTATTATTAATTTTACCTCTGATATAATCTAAAGAGGAAGTATTTTCCTTGTGACCTTTCTCATTTCTGAGGTCCAGTGCATTTTCTCTCATTTTGGAAAATTTTAACCACTAAAAGTCAAAACGATACAAGCCTTACTCCAAGTATTAACTGACTTCCCACCTGGGATATTGCTGGGAGATTTGGATTATCTTGTTGCCACCATAGCATTGTTTTACCATGAGTGACTGTGGCTATTTGATTATAGCTGTCTTATTATAGCAAATTATGCATGTAATTCTGAATAAAACAGCCAACAGCTTCAGAATTACTCAAGCAAGCCAAGCCTTTGACACTTCATTCATGCATGCATACAGTCATTAACTAAATTTAATACATAACGATTTGTCAGCACTGAGTGCAGTAGGAAATGAACAAGATAGTCTTGTCCTCAAGATGCTCACTGTTTCACTAACAATAAACTAAATGATTTAATACATGGGACCCTAGATAGTTCTTGCATTTCTAACACAGTGCTTGGGATGTTGTACGTTTTCCCAAATCTTTTCTTTTTTCTTCCCACCCCCCGCCCCCTGCCACCCCAACGGAGTCTCACTCTGTCGCCCAGGCTGGAGTGCAGTGGCACAATCTTGGCTTGCTGTAACCTCCGCCTCAGGGGTTCAAGTGATTTTCCTGTCTCGACCTCCCAAGTAGCTGGGACTACAGGCAGGTGCCACCATACCCAGCTAATTTTGGTGGGGTTTCACCGTGTTAGCTAGGCTGGTCTCGAACTTCTAACCTCGGGTGACCCACCCACCTCGGCTTCCCAAAGTGCTGGGATTACAGGTGTGAGCCACTGCACCCGGCCCACATTTTAGCAAACATTTTCTGAAAGAAATGAATAAAATATAGTTCATCAGTGTTCTGAGAGTTAGTTTTCCTAGCAGAAAGGACAAACTCATTCAGTTCCAATTTTGAGAGCTTAGAAGAAGCTTGAGTTTTTTAACTTAGAGATTCCTATTCTTCCTGAAATCCAGGACAAACCCAACTTTTCAGTCACTTTCTCCACTACAACAAGGAGGTCATGGTGATCCTTACACTGTAATGAAATAGTGTCTGTACTCATTGCTGACTTTGTGCAGTGAAGAAGACTTTCTGTGGAAGGGTATTGGAGAGATAAGAAAGGAATGAGGCAGAGACTCCTGGTAGCACAAAATTTGGGGGCCCTATCACCAGTAGGTCTTGTGTTAGATAAGCCCAGGGACTCTTTGCCACAGATACATTTCAGTCACTATAAAATGGGCAATATGATTTGATTTGGCACTGAATTTTAAGAGACATTCACTCCACGCATTAGCAAACCTTGTTTGTATATGGATGTACCCATTGTGCCCTAAGGAATGGTATTTCAAAAACTGCTCTGTGAAAGGCACCATTAAGAAAATGAAAAGGCAAACAACAAAATGGGAAAAAAATATTCACAATACATATATATGTCAAAAAATTTGTGCCAGGTGTATATAAAGAACTTTTACAACTAAGCAATACAAAGACAAACAACCTAATTTAAAAATGGGCAAAAGACTTCAACAAATACTTTGCCAAAGAAGATATATGAGTGGCCAAAAAACACATGAGAAAATGTTCAACCTCATTAGTCATCGAGGAAACACAAATTATATACCACAATGAAATATCATTATACATGGCTAAAATTAGAAAAGGTGCAGAGCAACTTGCATTCTCACACACTGCTGATAGGAATGTAAAATGGTACTACCAATCTGGAAGAGAAAGGAAGTTTCTTATCAAGTTAATCAGTATTATTCTATGATACAACAATTCCTCTCCTAGATATTTCATTCAATATAAGTAAAAATATATGTCTACACAAAATTTGTACACAAATGTTTATAACAGCTTTATCCTTAATAGTCAAATACTAGAAACACCGAAATGTCCATCAGGAGGTGATGAATATACGAAGTGTGATATATCCATACCATGAAATTAAAAATCAGCAGTTAAAACAAGTAAACTGGCGAGTACGGTGGCTCACCTCTTCCAGCACTGTAGAAGGCTGAGGCAGGTGGGTCCCTTGAGCCCAGGAGTTTGAGACCAGCCTAGGCAACATGGCAAAACTCCATTTCTACAAAAAATTCAAAAATTAGCCAAAAATTAGCCAAGCATGGTGGCACGTGTTTGTGGTCCCAGCTACTACGGAGGCTGAGGTGGGAGGATCACCTGAGCCTGAGGAGGTCGAGGCTGCAGTGAGCCATGATCATGCCACTGCCCTCCAGCCTGGGCAATAGAGTGAGACCCTGTCTCAAAAATACGTAAATAAAAAAAATAAAATGAGTGAACTATTCATCTATGAAACAACATGGATAAATCTCAAAGATATTATGCTGATCATTAAGAAAACATAGATGCAAAAGAACGTACATTTTATGATGCTGAAAAAGACAAATCTAATCTATAGTAATAGAAAGCAGATCACTGATTATCTGGGGCTGGGGGAAGTGATTATGGTATTATATAGTGATTCAAGAGAGCTTTACTGAGGTGACGAAAATGTTCTGTATCTTGACTGTGGAGATGGTCACACAGACGTATACATTTGGTGAAACTGTCCAGTAGTATAGGTGTATTTTATTCAATGTAAGTTGTAGTTCTGTAAGGTTAATTTTAAAAGCTGACATGAAAGAACATATATAAATACACCAAAGTAAAACTCGACATCAAAACATTTATGTTATATACAAATTGTATTAAAGTATTTTTATTTTACTGGAATATAAATAGCTAAAATGAGATTGGAGTATATAAATTGAAAGGAGGTTTATCCATATATTCTTTTAACAGTCATATAGTGATATATCTCAGAGAATATGCAACACAATGTACTTAAATCTCTAGAAAACATTTACACATTTATGTCTTTTGTCTTTCAGTAGAGAACAGTAAAGAATGTATAGCTCTAAAAAAAAAAAGACTGGTGTCATTTTTATTTAAATTCATGGAAGAGAAGCATGCATTGCTTTGTTGATAGACGCGGGCAGGTTAAGAAACTTAAATGCAAAAACCCTATGCAAGAAGTAGGTCTTAACCCCAACCAAAAGAAGAAGAAAGGCAGGAAAAAAAAAAAAGGCTAGCAGGGCTATATTGGGATTATAAATTTTCATGCAGGAGGCTTAATACATATTGTGGAATTCAGCTCTTATTTCATCCCTAAAATTTTGTTTCTCTTCTTTAACTGACCAAGATAAATTTGTGATGAGCAGAAGTGATATTTATGTACCATAAATTCCTAGCTTTGAACAAATCATATTTGTGGTCACATCTGGTTTCAGGCTACATATTTATGTAACCCTTTCTCAGAGCATTGCACAGAGCTTACTTAAAATGTAATTGAAAATGTGGGTATAGAATGAATTACTTTTAAGTGTAGTAATCATTTAAAATGTACCAGGATTAAAGGTCATTTAAATGACTCATCTCTGGAAACATAAAGTGAAAAGATAGAATTCTTAATTTAGCTGCTCCTTAGATTTGTTTTTTAGCAGAATTTTAAAAGCACCTTAAACATACCTCATACTGATTTATTCAAGACCACACATCAAACCATAAGTGAATTCTTATGTAAAATGTCTTATTTCTAAATACCAGAAAGTAATCTGGTCTTAATCTCAAAATTTTTGGGTTATGAATGACATGTAAACAATATCATTTTTAGCTGTGTATCTTACATGTGGTTATTTACATGTGATGACATAAATCTGAAGAACAGGGGCACGGGTAAAATAACAAAATGATGGTCAATTTAAGCTTAACCTTTGCAAATAGGCTTTCTGTTTTTCAATTAGCTTTGTTGTTTAGGTTTCTGTCTACCATATTGCTATTATAAAACCCTGTAGCACCATGTTTTGGTAGGGGCAGCAACATAATGAAAATGCCTGTTTTCCCTTCCACTTTTAAAAGAAAGTGCTCTAGGAAATGGAGCATGAATTTAAAAGTCAGTCATGTGTATCTGCACCTCAGCATCATAAAAATATCATGGATTTGACAAATTTGCACAAGTGTCCCTTTTTGGGAATTTGAAAAGGGAATGTTGCATTTTCTTTTGGATTGAAAATTCTTCCTATGTTGGAAATGTCTTCAGCAGCTACAGCAAATTAGATTTGGCCTAGAGGAGTCAGACCTAAAAGAAATCCTACTTTGGACAAAGTTAAAATATAATACACATTGAAAATGCAAGACATAATATAAACTTTTATGTACAGCACTTACTTCAGCAGCCTGTGTACTCAATTGGAACAATATGGGGAGATTAGCATGGCACCTGTGTAAAGATGGCATGCAAATCCTTTTATGCTTCACATTTTACAAAAATATAGGTTATAGACATGATCTGCATGGGATTAAAATCTGTATGGAAATACAACAAAATGGAAACACTAATCATCTCTGGGAATTAGAACTATTATTTTTTAACCTCTCTGTAGTTTTAAATTTTCAACAATAGGGGTGTACAAATTCATAATCAGGAAAAAAACATTTAAACATAAAATGATGTATTTATACAAGCTGACTATTTGATTATCTGAAGACAAAAGCAGAATTTACAAAAGTGAATGAAAAATAATGTTTTTCTTTAAGTCTTAGTGCCTTGGGGAAATAGCTTCTAAGCTCTTCTGAACAGAATGATTTTGTGAAAATAAAATGTTATGCTACCTCCCAGCATGAAAAACAGGCAGAAAAAAAAGGTGCCTTGGTGGGGCAAGATAAGAGCCGATGACCAGATGAGCCTTCCCCTTAGCCTCTGTGGTCCTGGAAGGCACATATGCAGAACTGGGGCAACGCTGAATAGAGCTGGAAAGCAATTGTCTGTGGCTGAGGATTATGAACTCAGCTATGAACTCAAAGACAGAAACCCATGCAAGTGATGCCTTGCCATCTAACCCAGTGCTCGTGACATGGTTGCTCCTGTAAGTGTATGCTGCTTGGCTGTCTGGCCATCTTACTTTCGTGGCCATCTGGTCTTTGTGATGTAGAATAGGATGGTGACAAATTCAGGGTCCTTCCCACATTGTTTGCTCTGGAACTCCCCTAACACATGATAACTCATGCATAGGTCAAGGAGGCCTCTAGCACCTAAGTCTTACTTGTGAAATGAGCTACTGAACACATGAACATCTGCAATTTAGGGCCAATTTAAATTTCAAAGCAGATTTATTAAAGCATTCTGTATTCAGTGTTACACGTTTGGAAGTGTGCTCTATAACAGTGTTGTTGACCAAATTGTGCATAGTAAAATGCCTATGGTGGAAAGCATATGGTTATTACAAATATGATTTAAATGTGTTTTGCAGATGATTTTGTGCTAGCAATATCAGGGATAAAGCCTCCAGAACAATGCAGGGTATGGGAAATGGCCCAGCTGCTTAGACCATGCATGCAGTTTGCTCTTTTATAGTTGATCATTTTTGTACACACATACACAATATCTCATATCTTATGTACAAAAATATACACATAGATGCATGTGATTTGCAGTTAAGAATCTGGACCCTGAATCCAGCCTTTCTAAGTTCAAATCTTGCCTCTCCCCTTTACTAGGCATGTCCTTTGGGCAAGTGGGTTTATTTTTCTGTGCCCCACCTCCTTCCTCTGTAAATTGGAGGTCAAAAGGTAACTTATAAAGATTTTAAAATATAATATATATAAAGATCTTAGCATAGTGCCAAAACATAGTAGTCACTCAATAAATATTATGTATTATCATTTTATCATTATATCGTATTTATTTTCTAGAAGGAATTATGCATGACCTTAGTAGGTGTTTTGCGGGGAGCGGGACCTCTGGGGGCAAGGAGAGGTCCTTTCCATTCTGTACTATTCTCTACCATTGGATTTGCTGTTCTTTCATATACATTACTTTTTTATTTTTATGACGGGGGGGGTCTCTTTGTTGTTTAAAGAAAGACTTTAGACAAATTAAATTTAACAGCATTTAACTGAGCAAAGAACGATTTGCAAATTGGGCAGCCCCCTAAACAAGAATAGGTTTAGAGACTCTGGTGCTGCCACATGGTTGGAAATTTAGGGATAGAAAAGGGAAAGTGATGACATACAGAAAATGGAAGTGAGTTACAGAAACAACTGGGTTGGTTATAGCTCGGCGTTCTCCTTATTTGAACAGTTGGCCACTTGTGATTGGCCAAAACTCAGTGATTGATGCAAGAGTAGGTTGCAGTCTATTTGTTTATCCAATTAGGTACAGTTCACTATGTTCAGAAAAGCCTTTAGGCCAAATTTACAAGGATGCAGCTTTAAGCTAAACTTAATTTAACTTTGTGCAGAAAGATTTTTACTTCTTTTTCTTTTTGTATCTCTCTATTAAAAAACACACAATCCAGGATTGTGTGTTGGGTGGGTGGGTGGGTGGATGGAGAGAAAGAGAGAGAGAGAGAGAGACAGACAAATAGAATAGATAGATAGATAGATAGATAGATAGATAGATAGATAGATAGATAGATAGAGACAGATGATAGGTGGGTGGATGGATGGATGGATGGATGGATGGATGGATGGATGGATGGATGGATAAAGGTTTTTAAGTACAAACAGAAGGGAAAATGAAGCTCAGACTTGTTTTTTAAAGGCCCTTCTTTATTTATTTATTTTTATTTATTTATTTTTTTGAGTCGGAGTTTTGCTCTTGTCACCCGGGCTGGAGTGCAGTAGCGAGGTCTCTGCTCACTGCAACCTCCCCCTCCCGGGTTCAAGCGATTCCCCTGCCTAAGCCTCCCGAGTAGCTGGGACTACAGGTATGCACCACCAAGCCCAGCTAATTTTTTGTATTTTAGTAGAGATGGGGTTTCACCATGTTGGCCAGGCTGGTCTTGATCTGCTGACCTTGTGATCCGCTGACCTTGTGATCCGCCTGCCTCAGCCTCCCAAAGTGCTGGGATTACAGGTGTGAGCCACTACACCCAGCATTTTTAAAGACCCTTCTTTCTTTACAAGATGTTATACTTTTCACTGCTTAATTTGAATCCCTAGTAAATATTCTGGTGGAACTCCCTTTCTCCTGCCTCCTCATTTTGTGTTAATTGCATCACCATAACCCCTGACCTTACTACTTTCAACTCATCTTCCATTTCTTCTGGAACACACACTTTTTTACAACTGGAAAGTTGTAAAATAGAAAAGATTCATTATTTTTACTCTTCTAAAAGAAGGTCACATGAGTCACTTGAGGGGGTCCACTGTGAGGCACAGACTCTGCCCTCAGGAAGTTGACAGTCCTTTGAAGAAGATGAATGAGTAACCATACAAGTGCAAGATGTTAAAACCACCATGAAAGGGGTGAGCTCAGAGTCCTGGCAGGGCACAGGAGGCATCCGGAAGGAGGCTAAGGAGTGACATCTATTCTGGGACACTGGAGAACAATACCAGTGAGCTGTGTCTTGTACAAGTCTGAGTAGTAAGCCATAAATTGATCTTCGCTTCTTAACAAGTCCTCGCCCAGGGCTGCCCTGCTCTTGATAGGGACTATGCTCTGTAGCCTGAACTCTAAACAGCTGCCTAGAAACCAGAGCTGAAGGGATGCAAGAGAGAACAAAGTACTTGGCATTCACTCAATGATTTCCTTTAAAGGTGGAGCAAGTACTGTCCCCAGATCATGTCTCCTCACCCTTATCACCTCGGTGTACAGGAGTTGCACCTGCCGCCACCTCTTTGTTTGAAGGTTTTCTCTGGTCTCTGGAACCCACTTTGATACCCACTTCATGAGCAAGAAATACCAGGGAATTAATATTCTCAGGAGAATCCCCCAATCAATAACTGACAGGAGTTAGAATATAAACATCCCAGCTCCCTTGCCCCTTGGGTGGGATGACTATGAAGTTTGTGTTTCCCCAGAAATGAGCTCCCATTGACCACAGTGATAGGTCCCTGTCCCTTTGCTGTCTCACTTTTCCTAGTCCCCTAATAATGCTCTTTTCACCTTCCAAATAAGCCTCTTACACTAAATTCTTGTCTGAGGCAACCCAACTTAAGACCCATGAGCAAGCCCATTTGCAAACAAACACAACAACCACTTTTTATATTATCCTACATTCTCCACCACTCTCATCAGATACTGTCTCTGTTTCCACTCACGGACCTGTCACAGTGCTCAGCACACCACAGGCTTGCCGCTTTGCCTCTCTCGTTGAATTGTAAGGGCTTTGAGAACATGGACTCTGTCTCTCATCTTTCTATCTTCAGCACCTCAGTAAAGTCTTCCTAAATGAATTTCCTGTGGGTTCTGCAATCTTCCTCAGGGAGAATGTCTCAGCTGAAGACATATTACTAAATACCTGGCAAGAAGGACAAGGTAGATGAGTATGGGAATGATGTCCTAGAAGGAAGAGAGGAAAGAAGTAGCCCTGATAATGTATCCACAATCAAATGTAACCCCTGCCCATGGGTAAAGTACACACATTACTGTGCTTCAACCTCTCTGTCTCTAAAGTGGAGATTAAATAACACTTGCCATGATTTAGTGTAGGAAAAGTGCTTTGAAACTTCGGAAAGACTCTATATGATTAAAGAAGTAGCCACTGTTCCATTATTTAAATAATCTCATTGGCAAAGGCCATGCATTAGTCATCACAGCAGAGTTTTTTATGTTCACTGAACATCTTTCATCTGAGGCCATCACCATGGTTTATAAACATTAACTCAACATATTCCTCAGGACAACATCCAGACTGGTCCTTTACATGAATGAATAAACTGAGGACGGGAATGGCTAAACAGCTTGTCCCCAAACATCCATAGTTGGGGCCAGGCAACAGGTTACCATTAGGCAAGTTAGTAATCAAGAGATAGCCTTATATAAATATTTGGGTAGATGAGACAAATAGATCAGATAGGCAGACCCATAAGGAAAATAGTACTCTCTCCTCCTTTCCCTGCTTCTCATAGAAACAACATTCCCAATGGGGTCTCTAGAAAAACCTCCACTGAATAACAGGTTTCATGAATTATGAAAACCCCTGCAAAATATGTCAGAGTTGCTTTATGCTCAGCAGCTTCTCTGTGCATCCCATAGGAGCCCATCCAAGTGGTCCTAGATTTTTCATGCTTCTGACAATAAAACTAACTGTACCTTTCAGCCAGATAAAGAGGGAAGGCTGCTGTACCTTTATGAGAGACAGATGGTGAGGCATACATTAACATGGCTTCCACTGCAGTCAAATATGATCCCTCTGTTCCAGCATCTGGTCTGCAAACACAGAAGGACTCCTTCAGTGAGGCTCAGTGGGGCCAGGCTGAGGTGGGAGGATCACTTAAGCCCAGGAGTTTGAGAGCAACCTGGGCAACATAGTGAGACCCCCATCTCTACAAAAACTAGAAAAATTAGCTGAGCATGGTGCCTCATGCCTGTGGTCCCAGCTACTCCAGAGGCTGAGTCCAGAGGATCATTTGAGCCCCAGAGGTGGAGGTTGCAGTGAGCTAGGATCATGCCACTGCACTCCAGCCGGGGTGACAGAGCAAGACGCTGTCTCAAAAAAACAACAAACAAACAAAACAAGAAAGAAAGCAGACTCAGCTCAGTGGCAAACCCCACTGGTGGTTAGGAGTTGCCAATTCCCACTTTTGCCAGTGGATCATCCAGCTGAGGGGTAGAGCAACTTGTGTTCTCTCCCCAGCTGGCCCTCAGAGATCACCAAAATCAGTAATACTACAATGTGAAGCACAAAGCACTAGGAGCACTAGGAATAGGCAGATTTTCCACCTGGTTTTGCCTGCTGTTGTGGCCTTGGAAAAATCACTTTTCCTTCCTGCTTTTTGGGCTCCCACAACTATAAGATGAGGAACTTTAGCTATATCTCTAATCTTCCGTATGTATAATTAAACCCTTGCATTCCAGAATTTTGGGGAGCCCATTAGAAGGTCCCCAAAGGTAAAACACCAAGATCCCCAACCCAGCTACAACCAATGGTTTTACTTTTATCTCTGTCATTTATATATTGGGTTTCCATGTGAGATTGCATTGGGGAAAGAGGGTAGGCTTGTGTTTGCTCAAAAAAAAAAGTTTGAAAATCACTGGTCTTAGTACCTGCTTTTTCTGACTTTGAATACAAAGAGGAAATCATTTGATAGTTCTGATATCCTGTGGTTCTTTTATATCAGAGCAGAATGGAATTGAACCATGTCCGTGCAGAGAAATCTTCCAGCAAAACTAGCCAGTGCATCAAAGAGCTCCCAGGAAGCTTCCTAGAATCAACAACCTCTCACCCCTTAACATCCCCCAGTTTCCTCCTGCCACTAAGGCTCAGTAGAGCTTTCCCATCAAAGGGTGCTAATCTCTCTTCTTCTGTTAACTTAATTGGAAAGCATCCTCCAGTCTATGAGCCCCATATCTCCTCTCACAGGCAGACACTTACTATAACTATCATAAGTCACGCTTTCCAAGGCACACAAGATGAATAGTTGGTCTTGGGGGACATGCTGACAGAACAGCCCTGCAGACCTAGAAACATGGTGTTTTGTGTTTTCAGTTCATGCCTTTCCTCTAAATGGGGAAGAAAACACTTTATAGTGTCTGAAAGCATATATTATGGTGCTAGACTTCTTGGGCTTAAATCCTAGTTGTACTTCTTACTAACTTTTTGGCCTTGGGCCAGTTTCTTAACTTTTCTGTGCCTACGTTGACACATCTATAAAAAGAGAATAACAATAATCATGAAAATGCCTATCTACTTTTCAGGATTGCTGTGATAATTAAATGAGCTCATACATGTGAATGCATGTAAAGTGGTTGATGTTTAATAAGCACTACAGAAGTGTTTGCTAATTAAAAATACATAACACACATATTTATCATCATACACAGAGAGAGAGAGAGCGAGCACAACTACTATTGTTCAGGCACTGTGCTGGCCAGGCATTTTATCAATATTGCTTTTATCTGTGTGTTTCTTATATATCCAGTAGCAATCATTTCACCCTAGTGGATCAGGAAAAAGAACTGAAATTTCTACATAAGCAAGTAGTAAATATAAAATTGGGAATTTTGTTCCCTAGTCCCAGCATCTCCCGATAGACCACCCTACCTTGAGAGACACGTGTCTTAAACATCTCACCTGGCAAAAGCACCTGAGGTGATATCTCATAACAGAGAACCCACACAGCCATTTTTACCCTTTCTTCCAGTTAAAGTGAACATTTCCTGTGACTGGAAATCAGTTAGCTATGGATGAAAGAATGGCACAAACCAACAAAAGCACGTTCTGAGTATCAGTTAGTTTGTATGGCTTGTGACAAGAATCTAAGAGAGAGTTTAGTTCTCATTCCCAGCTTTGTGATAAGATGCCCTTGGTGGCCATCTGGCTACAGGCAATAATGCCTGCAATTGTGAGCTGGAGCCAGCTCCTACAAGCTCATGAGAGACAGCTGTTAAATCTCAGGATGTTTTGAGGATGTTGTTAAACACAGCCACTGTTAAAAATTACATTATGTAAATGTTCATTACATTCTAAAGAAAGGTAGTAAATACTCAGTTAATCATTTCTTAATTATTTTACTGCATTTTGCTATTACCTATGTTCTTGAAGTTACTCACATCGATTCTGTCTGTATGGTGGACATACTACATAGTGATGGGTTACTGTAGCTCTCTTCCCAGCTCCACTCTCCGTGGCGTCACACTGGAAGCTGAAATGGGGCCATGTTTGGAGTATTTATACCACAGAAACTGGCAAATGCCACAAATCAGAGTTAGATTTATTGTTTTGTTGGTTATGTAGTCTTAAGAAAGTAACAGGTAGATATTAATAAGGTAGATTAAATGTAAAAGTGTGTTGCATCTACCTCAATATATTTATTTATTTGTGAGTTACTATTATTATTATTTTAATTTGAGACAGGGTCTTACTCTGTCACCCAGGCTGGAGTGCAGTGGCACAATCTTGGCTCACTGCAACCTCTGCTTCTGGGGATCAAGTGATCCTCCTGCCTCGGCCTCCCGAGTAGCTGGGACCACAGGCATGCACCACCACACCCAGCTATTTTTTTTTTTTTTAATTTTAGTAGTCATGGGGTCTCACCATGTTGCCTAGGCTGGTCTTGAACTCCTGAGCTCAAGTGGTTCACCTGCTTCAGCCTCCCAACATGCTGGGATTACAGGCAGGAACCACCATACCCGGCTGCAAGATATTTATTAATTAGAAAAGGACAAACAGTAACTTTACAGTTCAGCGTTCTGGCAGATACCACCTTAACAAAGAGATTGTCTTGGTCCATTCTGTGCTGCTATAACAAAATACCTGAGACTGGGTAATTTATAATGAACACAAATTTATTGGCTCATGATTCTGGAAGCTGGTAAGTCCAATGCGCCAGCATCTGGTGAGGGTTTTCTTCCTGCATCTTCTCATGGCAGAAGGGCAAAGAGGGTGAGGGAGAGCAAAAGAGTAAACTAGTGGCCTCAAGCCCTTTCATAATAGGCATTAATCTGTTTATAATGGTAGAGCCTTCATGACCTCACCTCCTTCTTTTAGGCCCTACCTCCCAACACTGTTGCATTGGAGATTAAGTTTCCAACACATGCTTGTTAGGGGACACATTTAAATCCTAGCAGTGATTAAGGTTATCACCAGTAATAAGATATATCAACATCATGTACCCCTTGATAATGATGTGCTTAGAAAGGCACATTACTTCTGAAATATTCTTGCATAAAATGAATAACTTTAACATAATCACGAGAAAATGTCAAACAAGCCAAAATTGAGGGATAAGCAACAAGATAACTGACCATTATTTTCAAAAGTATCAAGGTCCTGAAAGACTAGGACATATTGAGGTATTATTATCACAGCCACAAGGAGAAATGACAACTAAATGCAATTTGGGACCCTGATAATCTGAATAAAGTCTGCAATTTGGTTAATAGTACGGTGCCAATGTTTATTAGTTTTGATCATTATCACTTAACTGTGGGTCTAACATACTTCAAAAGAAAAATGTGTTGTATCTACAGCCATTACATAATGAATAGCACAAAAAATTGAGGAAATATTCTTCCCGTACTCAACAACTATTATCAAGTTCAGTTTGACAAAAAATTTTCTCATGTTATTGTGGAACAGGTGAAGTTCTTTCATGGTCTTTGCTGTTTTACTTTTGCTTTACTCATTAACATAAATGAAAATGCCAATCAATATTCATATCAGAAATACATTCATTTGTCAATTGCAGCCATAAGTTGGCTATGGATATGAGACTGGCAAAAATCAACAAAAGCACTCTCTGAGTATCAGTTAATTTTTATTGCTTGTATTAGCATTTGTATATGTGCTATCCATCTATTATATCAGTAAAATTTATAATAAACATATACTTCTTTTCCAGGGAGTCAGTTGTTAAACATTTACCACCACATCGCTGAATATCTGTCAAAATTATTCATCTTTTCTTCTCTGGGGCTTTTTAAAAGAAATTATTGGGGCCAGGCGTGGTGGCTCACGCCTATAATCCCAGTACTTTGGGAGGCCGAGGTGGGCGGATCACGAGGTCAGAAGATCGAGACCATCCTGGCTAACATGGTGAAACCCCGTTTCTACTAAAAATACACAAAAATTAGCCTGGCGTGGTGGCGGGCACCTGTAGTCCCAGCTACTCGGGAGGATGAGCCAGGAGAATGGCGTGAACCCAGGAGGTGGAGCTTGCAGTGAGCTGAGATAGCACCACTGCACTATAGCCTGGGTGACAGAGCGAGACTCCATCTCAAAAAAAAAAAAAAAAAAAGAAATTATTAAATATGCATTTTTCATATTCTGGGATTGTGTCTAGGAATCATCTTGTGATTTTGCTGACAACAATTATATTCATTCAGATTGAAGAGAAAATGAATAAAATATATTGTGCCCACCCCAGGGTCCATGATACCTCACTGATCACCTGCTACTGATTATATTAGCAGTCATATGTCTTTGAGCCAATTTTCCACCCAGGTGGAAGTGTTAACACAAAACATGACTTAAATTAGTAAAAATTTTGTTTTGTGTGCTTATTTCATAATTTCCTGAGTCTGAAGACGTCCTTCCTATATAAACAACCACCTACATTGACTGAAACTCTTGAGGACAGAGTTTGTACTTAGTTCTGTCATTATTTTCAGAATCATTTTTCTCTTTTTGCATTACAAGCTTCAGATCTGGCCCACAAACTGACCTTCTCAACAGTAATAGTAGTAAGGAGACAGAGCTCAGTCCTAAGTTATCCTAAAGCTCATTCAACCCCATTTTGTAAATCTTTGTCAACCCAGTGCTCAGCACATGGCCTGGCACTTAGTGGAATGTCAGTGAATGTTGTCAATGTCATCCAGCCCTTTGAGGGCTGCAATACTGCTATTAGCTCACTCTGAATAATGTATCTTTAGAACAGTCCAGAAAATGTTATGTCCTACAACCAATAATGGTCTCTGCCTCCTCCATGTCTTGCCAAGTGCTTAGGTCACATACCTTTTGCAGCTCTCTTGATTTTACCTAAGTGTAGCCCAATGACAAAGAGAGGACCATTCAGAGGAATTACAATGCCAGATGAACAAAGCCAAGACCTACTTAGGTTTTTGCTGGGCTTCGAGGAGTCTGGGTTTTTTTCTGGGGTGGGGCAGGCTGATGGTAGGGAACTGCTCTGCTAGAGAGGCTTTGGCAATTACTCAGAGATGTTTACAAGGATTTATTTCTTAGAGTGGTTTGATTTCCAGAAAAATTGCCTTTAAAAAAAGCTGGATAAAACAGGTTCCACATTACACTTGTATGAGTTGTCCTGAATGGCATAAATTATTTTTCCTGAGGCTATTAGCTCAGAGTCTGAGCAACACACTGGTGTTTTTACAGGAGTCTAATGCATAGAGATTACGGCTGACTCTCCATTTTATATAATTCCTGACCTAGTACTGAGTCTCACCAAATGTTGATGATCTTCAACTCATTCAGCAACTGGGAAATAATCACATTCAGACATTTCTACCAGGCTTGTCATAGCTACTAATGCCATCCTTTAAAAAGGAAATACCTTCTGAACCCTATCAATAAATGTAAAAAAGAAATACCCTTCTGAACCCTATCAATAAATGTCGTGGTCTCAAGATGACATTGCCAGGCCCTTAGACCCAGGTTTCCTGTTTCCTCCTAGGATGCCACCCCTGTTCCACTTTCAGAGAGCGTCTCTGGGTCTTGGCTGAGGTTGTGCCTAGTGAGTTCTTGTCACTGCACACTGACAATAACTCCCCTCACTTGCAGTTTTCCTGGTGGGCTACTTTCTTCAATGTGGATCCTTTTATCTCTTTCAATTATAGTAAGACCAATAGGAAGAAAGTCTTTTGGGGAACAGCAGAATTGCAGCTTCTAGGTGGGTGGGGAAAGGACCTAATTCACAGCCTTGGGTTGACTGGTTGTTGCATGTGCCTGGGCAGCTCTGCCAGTGCCTTGCACAACCAAGGAGTCAAGTCTATGGAGGGTGGGGGTACACAGGGAACTCACCCTGCTCCTGTCTGCCTGTAGGGACAGCCATCCACATAGTTCAAACGGCTGTAGATCTCAATTCATTCTAAAGTCTACTAACTGGTTATGTTTTCTCGAACCACATGCTTAAACCAACTTCTTCCACATAAGCAGCTTTTACCCATATAATATCACTATTACAGGGAGGAAAGATTTTGTCACTCTACCCATGGTAATGTGTGATGTAGTCACCAGTCCTCAAAGCTTAATTACAACAGTGCTGCATGATTGGAGATTGAGTTGTTTCTTATGATGGTTGATTTTTTTATTGGACAAGGGCTTAGAGCCTAGCTATAGGAAGTTGTTTCTTTTGGATACAATCCTAGAAGTTTTCCTTTTAAAACATTCTTTCTACCTTTCCTATTTTCAATACCTATCAGGTCTATGTAAATATCACCGTCTCTCTCTTCTTTGCCCAGACAGCTGTCACACTATTTAGCTTTTCCTTCTATAACATTCTACTTAAAGAGGTTGCCAGTGTCACTTTCCCTCCTCTAAAACTGGGGATTAAAATTCCCAGCCTTCCAGAACAGGTAAATAATTGCTTTGTCATGAGAAAAATCAATATCTGCTACCACAGGAAGTCGGGCAGGAAGCAGTTGGACAAAGGCCTGCACTTCAGCTGTGCAGCAGAGTCATTTGTGTGACCCCAAAGGTTATGCTTTCCTGCTTGTTTTACAAAAAGCTGATGAGCCAGGCAGAGGAACCAGAGTCCAGATAGGACTAGAAGTATGTGCCAGGTACTCTCCAGTGGAGAACGCAGGGCCCCGGGGCAGCCGCTCAATTAGATGTATTGTTGACCCAAGGTGAGATTCAAGAGGAGATAAAGACTTTCAGGGAAAGGGAAGAGCAGTGAGCAGTTCACCCACATTCCCCACCAAAAGTGAACTACTCAGATATTTTGCAGTTTTCTCTTCTAATGCTCAGGGAGCTACAAGGACATTTTGAGCCTATTCAGTCATCTTTTGATTGAAATCAGGGAAACTCAGTACTCTCATGGCTTCCAGGGTCCTCAAACCTTTCTAGCCCCACTTAAAAAAAATAGCTTATTGAAATATAATTTACACACATAAAATTTGTCCCTTTAAAGTATATAATACAGTGGTTTTTAAAATATATTCACAGTACGTACAACCATCACACAATCAATTTTAGAACACTTTTACCACCTCAAAAAGAAACCCTATACTGTTTACCAATCATAATCCTATTCTCCCCTCACCCCATCCCTAAACAACCAATAATCTATTTTCTGCTCTATAGATTTGCCTATTCTGGACATTTCTACTTTCTATCTCCACAGATTTGCCTATTATGGACATGGAATATGTATAGTCTTTTGAGACTGGCTTCTTTCACTTGGCAAAATATTTTCAAGGATTATCCATGTTGTGGCATATATTAGCACTGTGTTCCTTTTTATGGCCAAATAATATTCCACGATGTGGATATACCACATTTTGTTGATCCATTCACCAGGTGATGCACATTTGGGTTGTTTCCATTGTTTGGTTACTATGAGTAACGTTGCTATAAACATTCATGCACATATCTTTGTGTGGATACATGTTTTTAATTCTCTTGGAGTGAAATTGCTGGGTTATATGTTTTGAAACACTGACAAACTTTCCCAAAGTGGCTGCTCCACCTAACAATCCCACCAGCAAGGTATGAGGGTTCCAATTTATCCACATCCTTGTCTACACTTATTATTGTCTGATTTTTTTATTTTAAGCTTTCCTGGTGGATATGAAGTGGGTCTGATTTGTGTTTCTTTTGTGAATAATGATGTTGATCATCTTATCATGTGTTTATTGACCTTATCATTAAACACATCTTGTCATCTGTTTATTCTCCTATGGTAAAATGTCTATGCAAATCCTTGCCCATATATATATTATATTATATTGCATTATATTATATATATATTTTATATATATATATATATATAGAGAGAGAGAGAGAGAAACAGGGTCTCACCCTGTTTTCCAAGCTAGGGTGTGTTAGTGTAATCATGAATCACTGCAGCCTCACCTCCTTGGCTCAAGTGATCCTCCCACCTCAGCCTCCTGAGTAGCTGGGACTACATGCCCATGCTACCATGCCTAGCTAATTAAAAAAAATTGTAGACACAGGGTCTCACTATGTTATCCTGGCTAATCTTGAACTCCTGGCCCCAAGTGATCATTCCTGCCTCAGCCTCCCAAATTGCCAGGATCACAGGCATGAGCCACTGCAGCTGGCCTCTTGCCCATATTTTTAATTTATTTATTTATTTTATTTTTTTTAGAGGAAGTCTCGCTCTTGTCCCCCAGGCTGGAGTGCAATGGCATGATCTTGGCTCACTGCAACCTCTGCCTCCTGGGTTCAAGCGATTCTCCTGCCTCAGCCTCCCCAGTAGCTGGGATTACAGGTGCCTGCCACCACACCTGGCTAATTTTTGTATTTTAATAGAGACGAGATTTCACCATGTTGGCCAGGCTGGTCTCGAACTCCTGACCTCAAGTGATCTGCCCGCCTTGGCCTCCCAAACTGCTGGGATTACAGGCGTGAGCCACCGCACCTGGCCTCTTGTCCATATTTTTAAAAGTTTTTAGAAAACATCTTACTTTCTAGTTATGATCATTCATAAACCAGCTGAGCAGTTTTAGGGAGAACACTTTACATGGTGGAGTGATATGGATAATGGAGTTTGTTTAATATGTTTGGGTGGATTTCTTTTAAATAGGCTTTTTAAAAAGCAGCTTTAGGTTCACAGGAAAATAGGAAGGTACAGAGATATCCTGACTACCCCCTGCCCCCCACACACAGTCTCCCCAACTATCAACATTCCCCACCAGAGTGGTACATTGGTTAAGACTGATAAATCTACACAGATACATTATCATCAAAGTCCATAGTGTATATTAGAGTTCGCTCTTTATGTTGTATATTTTATGGGTTTTGACAAATGTACAATGATGTGTATCCACCATTGTAGTATCATACAGAATAGTTTTACTTTCCTCAAAACCCTTTAGTGCTTTTCCTATTCTTCCTTTCTCTCAGACATTGATCTCTCTGTACTTTTGCATTTTACAGAGTGCCATCTAGTTGTAATCATACAGCATGTAACCTTTCCAGAATGGCTTCCCTCCCTTAGTAATATACATTGAAGTTTCCTCCGTGTCTTTTCATGGTTCAATAGCTCATTTGCTTTTAGTGCAGAGTATTTCATTGTATTGGACGGACCACAGTTTTTATTTATCCATTCACGTACTGAAGGCTACCTCGGCTGCTTCTAAGTTTTGGCAGTTATGAATAAAGCTGCATAAACATCTATGTGCAGAATTTTATGTAGACTTAAGTTTTCATTTCATTTGGGTCAATCCCGTGGAGTGTGATTTCTGGATCATATGATAAGAGTGTTGTAAGTTAGTTTTGTAAGAAACAGCCAAACTGTCTTCCAAAGTGGCTATCCTATTTTGCATTCTCTGTAGCAATGAATGAGAGTTCCTGTTGCTCCACAACCTCACCAGCATTTGGTTTTGTGTTTTGGATTTTGGCCATTGTAATATGTGTGTAATAGTACCTCACTGTTGTTTAAATTTGCAATTCCCTAATAACGTAGGATTTTGAACATCTTTTCATATGCTCACTTGTCATCTATCTGTACATCTTCTTTGGTGTGGTGTCTCTTCATCTGCTCATTTTTTCACTTGGGATGTTCGTTTTTTATTGCTGACTTTTAAGATTTCCTTATGTATTTTGAATAACAGTTCTTTATCAGATATGTCTTTTGCAAATATTTTCTCCCAGTCTGTGGCTTGTCTTTTTGTTCTCTTGACAGTATCTTTCACAGAGCAGAAGTTTTAATTTTAATGAAGTCTAGCTTATCAATTATTTCTTTCCTGGACCATGGCTTTGATCTTATATCTAAAAAGTCATCACTGCACCCAAGGTCATCTAGATTTTCTCTTGTGTTTTCTTCCAGGAGTTTTATATTTTTGCATTTTACTTTCAGATTTATGATCCATCTCGAGTTAATTTTTGTGAAAGGTACAAAGTCTGTGTCTAGATTCATATTTTTGTATGTGTTAACTCTGTACATTTTAAAATTGGGTTGTCTTTTTTATTGTTGAGTTTTAAGAATATATATTGTAGTTATAAGTCCCTCACTTGACTTATCTATGATATGAGAATATTTTGTCCCATTCTGTGGGTTTTTTACTTTTTCGGTGGTGTACTTTGAAGCACAAAAGTTTTTAATTTTAATGAAGTTCCATTTATCAATTCTTTTCCTTTGTCACATGTGAATTTGGTGTCATAGCTAAGAAATCATTGCCTAATCCAAGAACAGGAAGATTTACTCCTGTTTTCTTCTGAAAGCTTTATAGTTTTAATGCTTGTATTTAGGTCAATTATATGTTTTGAATTAATCTTTGTATTTGGTGTGAGATATTGGTGTAACATCATTCTTTTGAATATTGATATTCAGTTGTTCTGGCGCAATTTATTATAAAACTATTCTTTCCCCATAATTTTCCTGGCACCCTTGCCAAAAATCAACTAGCCACCTAAGATAATAGGGTTTATTTCTAGACTCTCAGTGCTACCCCATTGATCTGCGTGTCTATCTTCACAGCAGTACCACAATGTCTTGATTACTACAGCTTTGTGGTAAGGTTTGAAATTGGGAAATATGTCCTCTGCTTTTTCATTTTAGGATCATCTTGTCTATTTTAGGATTATCTTGTCTATTTCTACAAAGGAATAATCTGGGATATTGATGGGGATTGTGTTGAATCTGTAGATCAATTTGGGGAGTTTTGCGTTCTTGGATGGTTCATTGCTAGCATCTAGAAATACAATGGACTTTTATATATTGATCTTGTATGGCAAAACCTGGTTGGACTCAGGTATTGGTTTTAATGGGCTTTTTCTATTTTTGATGGGTCCTGCTTCCACTTTGCACTACTCTCCTCATTTCTGAATTCCACCGTTTTTGACCTTTTTTCAATTTCTCTAACACACTAAGCTCCCCCTTGTCACAGGGCCTTTGCACATGCTGTTTTCTGTCTGGATGTCACCCTTCTGAATTCTTCCACCTAGTTAACTATTTTTCACCTCTCCCTCCCTGAGCTGCCCCCACCTCAGTCCATGTCTGTCCCTTTTGGGAAGCCATCATAGTACTGTGTTTCTTCTCAACATTTACCTTAGCTTATGAGCTCATTTGTGTTATATTTTGACCAATGTCTATTTCCCCAGCAGACAGTAAGCCTCTGTTTTTCTCATTATTATATTTTTCAACATCTACATAGTGCCTGACACATAGTGGATGCTTAACAAGCATTTTTTGAAAGAAAAAAATGAATACATAGATAGCATTGGGAACATGCACCTATCACAAAGAACTTTGGGCAGGTTGGTAGGGGGAGCAAATTTAAAGTTGGGCATACCATCTATGTAACCAATTCTGGCTTCCTTCTGGGCAATTACATTCCAGAATGGAATGTGATTGTCTGGGAGAGCAGAGGCATTGAGTATGTAGCCAGTAACGTGGTTCCCCCAACCCCCACCTTTCTCTCTCTACTAAAGTTTCTTGCCTTGTGGTGGGAAACCCAGAAAGAAAAATCCAGCCATCTGAGTCATTTGCAGATGACTTCTTTGTCTGCTTCTTACCTTTCCTGAGGTACAGCTGACTTATGAGGGTGGGGGGAGTAGAGGAAGGTGGGGAGTTGAAAAGATTCATTTACTTTCCTTACCAAATTAGTTCACTCTAACAAAAATAGGGAAATCCCCAACCAGCTGTTCCAGTGACTAGCAAGAAAAATATTCTCTTGGAACACTCCAACAAAAGGCACACTTTGTGTGCTGGCTGTCTTAAAAAGAATGCTTTAGAGCCTTCCAACTATTGCCCACCCTGAATGCTTTATAAATATCAGTGGCAATAGTTAGAACGTGTTTTTTTTCTTAATTGAAATTCTAGTGCTTTGGTGATGGCATAGATCCCCAGAATCAGGAGAAACATTGAGGGTGATAGGGAACCAAGAGAAGACTAGCTCAGGGGCCAAAAAAATGGAGCCAAGATATGGTGGGGCTGCCACTTGTTGGTGTGTGACAAACTTTCTGCCCTATTCTTGGAATCCATGTTCCAGTTGTCAGGCCGGACAGAAGGAAAATGTTTGCATACAGAGAAAGAAGGTTGGGAAGTAGATATTTTTCACTTTGATGTATATTTTAGATGTTCCTTATGCATCTGAAATGGGGTTTTGCTTCAGGTGTTTTGAGACCTTTTACCCGTGGTGAAATATTGTATTGTGAAACTGCGACACCATCATGATAGGGGCCGTGCTGTTTTGTCTTTGGGTCTTCATTGGCTACCACAATGCCTGGCTTAGAGTAGAGGCTCAATGAAAATTGGACAGAATGTCTTAAATAAGATGATTCATGGCAAACTTGCTTTGCAAAGTAGATTTTACAGCCCTGTGAAGTAAGCTCACTTCCTGTGTTTTTTATTTTGTCCTGAGGCTCATCCTTTTTATCTTCTGTGCCACAAGATACAAATATTTATAGTACTTAATTTTTAGTTGGAGTAGATAATTTATTATAAATAAATTCCATGAGCAAATAAATGAAATAATTGTTTTGCTGTCAATAAAATTTAAAGGAAAATGATTCAAAAGTGAAAAATATAGCTTACTAGTCATGGTTTTTCAATGCTTTGTCATAGGAAATTTTAAAATACTAGGAATTCATATTGAAACAAGAATGGAAAAGGAAGTTTATGAAAGCACAATACTCAAATCCATTTACTTTTTTAGACTAATATATTAAGGTAAACACCATGCAAGAAGTACCCTCTCTTAACTTTCCTCCTATTTCAGAATACTTCTCTATTAAAAGAACAAAATTACAACTTGAGTCCCTTCTTCTGAACTCTGCAATTTCCCTATCAGTTATGTTGATGTGGGGTGTCTTAGAGCAGAGGTTTCTGAGTACTCATAGGCAAGTTTCCAGTTGCTTCCTAACAATATTGCCTGGGACAAAATAGAGACAGAATTCTAAGTTGGGATGACTTTACTTGAGTTAAAAAATTTGCAAATTGTTACAACCTAAATGGGTCTAGATCATTGAACTTGGGTTTTCTTAGATTTCCTCTATTCTCAAAGCTTTGCTTATCATGTACATGCTATTTTGGTTCCATAAATATTCACTGAGCATTGACTGAAGTACTCATCTAGATTCTGGGAAAAGGGCAATGAATAACACACAAAACTCCTCTTCTCATGGAGTTTATATCCTGGTAGAGCTTATTATTTTCCCTATAGTAAAATGAAATAAAAACAGTATAAATCTCACAGCGCTCCTCTTAGGATTCAATGGCGGGGTAGGGTAAGGAGGTGGAAGACAAAAACTGAGAGACAAAACATCTGCTGGCTTTTCAAGGATCTTGGCTGTGTACGGATGTAAGAAAAGGTTAAGGGAGACCCATTGTTAGGATGCAGACATGTAGGCATGGTTTTTAGGTGGAAGGGAGGAAGCACTAGAAACAAAAATTGCTGAAAACATGAGAGAGAAGAAAAGAATGAGGTCAAGAGTATAGGAGAGATTAACCTTGATCAGGGAACAGAATTGTGACTCCAGATGTCACAGGAAGAGTTCTGAGTGGAGAGACTGAAGGTGTTTTTATGTAACTAGGCCCTGGAGTTGTGTCATTTAAAGTTGTGAATGGTTTCCCATATTAAGAGGTAGGAACTTTGAAGGTTAATGTGTGATGTCCCTGAGGCATTTTCCTGGCTAGATTATATGGTATAAGGTTTTTATCATGGAAGTAATTTAAATATCCCTAGAAACAGTACACCAATGTTTCTCAGAGTTTGTTCCCAATACCACCTGCATCACGTTACTGTGGTACTTATTAAAACTACACGCTCCTAGGCCCCATACCAGGTGCTTCAAAATAGGATCTCTGGAAGCTGAACTTTGAAAGTTTCATTTATTATTTTGGTAAAATACACACAACAAAATTTCCCATTTTAAAGTATAAATTCAACAATAGTATATTCACAGTGTTGTGCAACCCTAATCACAATCTGCTTTCAAAAACATTTTATCACTCCAAAAGGAAATCCTATACCCATTAAGCAGTCACTCCTCATTCTCTCCTACCCGCAGTCTGACAACTACCAATCTGCTTTCAGTATCCATGGATTTGCTCATTCTGGATATTTTCTATAAATAGAATCATATAATGTGTGGCCTTGTGTGTCTGGCTTCTTTCACTTATCATAATGTTTTCAAGATTCATCCATTTGTATCATAATCCAGTGCTTTCTTCCTTTTTATGGCTGAATAATATTCCATAGTATGATATGCCACATTTTCCTTATTCAGTAATTTGGCAATAGACATTTGGGTGTTTCTTTCTTTTGTCTATTGTGAATAGTGCTTCTATGAACATTTGTGTACAAGTTTCTGTTTTAACACTTGTTTTTCATGAGTATATACCTAGAATTGCTGGGTAACATGGTAATTCTATGTTTACCTTATTAAAGAAATGCCAAACTGTTGTATACAGTGGTTGTACCACTTTACGTTTCCACCAGCAGCAATGTGGTTCCAATTTCTTCGTGTCCTCACCAACACTTATTATACTCCATGTTTAAAATTATAGCCATTCTGAGTGAGTGTGAAGTCGTATATGACTATAGTTTTAACCTGCATTTTCCTAATGACTAGTGACATTGAGCATCTTTCCATATACTTCTCAGCCATTTGTATATCTTCTTTGGAGAAAATTCTATCCAGGCCCTGTGCACATTTTTTAACTGCATTGTTTGACTTTTTGTTGTTGGGATATAGGAGTTCTTTATATAATTTGCAAATATTTTCTCCCATTCTATGAATTGTCTTTTCACTCTGTTGATAGTATCCTTTGATGAACAAAAGTTTTTACTTTTGACAAAGTCTAATTTATCTGTTTTTTATTGCTTGCAGAAAGGCACCCAAGTTGATTATGATTTTTATGACCATGATTATAGCAGTAAAACAACTAATCTTGCACTGACAGTATTACCAAGATCCTATCTGTTGAGGATAGTATATTTCTGATAGCTAGATTTGCTTTAGGTGTATATATGTAAGAGTATCAAAAATTATGCCCATTCATTTACCTGTGTCTTTTTCAATTAAAAGATACTTTTTATTAGCATAAGTATTTCCCTTTAATTTTGATTATAAATAAATTTCATGCCTTATTTAGAAGGGTTAAAGAAAAATAAAAAACAAAACTGCTAAGTAGAAATTGTTTAGCTATCATGACTTACCTGTTATAGTTTCATTGGTCTAAGCATTTACTTTTATATAATCTGTTTGCATTTCACATTTACTTTGCTCATCAAAAATTTATTGAGCATCTACCACATGCTTGATAATATGCCAAGCACCAAAGATAGGAAGATAAAAAGACCTGATCTCTGTACTCATGGTTTTCACCATCTTGCAGGACACAAGAACATAGATGCTGAAAAGATTATACTACACAGGAGATTTCTATAGGAGAATGAGACTAAAGTGCTGTGAGATCACAAAAGAAAGAATTGCGAACTGTATTCTTTTGGTGATGGGAACTCAAAAGAATTATTTTGGGCAAGGGAGTTCCATGAACTCATTTAATTTTTTTGAAATGTAATTCTGGCAGCAATGTAAGCGTGGACCGAACTAGAATAGACCAAAATCAGGCAGTGAAGTCAGTAAGAATGGGTACTTTGGAAATGAATTCGCACCATACTCTTGTTCAGCCCTTAGAATTGTTCTAAAATGTTTTAGATATTGCTGTGACGTAGGTTTCTTGAACTCTTATTGGGGAAAGTTTCAAACATATAAAAAATTCTTTCATGTACCATCAGCACAGCTTCAACAGTTATCAAAAACATGCCCAGTCTCATTTCACTGATTGTCCCCCATAGCCCCCTTCCCAGGTATTTTGAAGCAAATCTCAGACATTATATTATTTCATCTGTGAAGATTTTTATGTAACTCCAACAGATAAGAACGCTTAAAAAATATCTCAATAATATTATCCTACCTAAATAAAGTTAATAATACTTTATTAATGGAATGAGGTTTTTAAAACTTAAGGATTTATGTAAATATTCACATATAAAATTCTGTATTATTTCTTATGGAGAATTTTTTTCCTTAATACCTTTGGTAAGGGATGCAGGAGTGATTGAGTTTCTTAAAAACTAAAATCGTTCTTCTTCAAATACATACAAAATATACAGTTCTCAGAGCCACATCAGTTATTAGCTCTTTTATTACATGTGTATAATAGGGAAGTTTCTACTTTGTTATATACTCATAGTTTGAAAACAATATGTATAAGTTGAGCTGTTGAGGAATTTTCCTTTGAGATTTTTTTTTACTCAATAATAATTCCTCACGTTTGTGTCATGCCTTGAATTCTCCAAAGTGCTTTCATGTCTATTATCTAGTGAACTCTGAGAGTTCTGCTGTGCAAAGACGTCTATTATCTACTGTTTACAGTTTTTTTTTTAATCAATTTTACTTTGTTGCGGCTTTTGGGCTTGGAATGAAATAATAAACAATATATGCAAAATCCTCTACTTGCGAGCCAAGAGAGACTTTGTAGTCAAGCCTGCATAAGGATGAAAGGAAATTAGTGTAACATCTCATCAGTTATAATTTACTTAATCTTCTGTAGTATGGGAATATTTGGCATTTATACACACACACACTACACACACGTGTATAAGGATTTTAAATCCATAATTACAACTCAGTATTTTCCATGGGCTCAAAACCCACCTATAAATTTCCCGAACCATTTGGAAAGGGTTGTATTAATAGTAAGATTAAGAAACATGGCAACACATGAATTAGGAAGGGTTTGGGGCTGAAACATTCCAAGAGATCACTCATAATTGATGCCCCATCCTTTTTATCATTCTTTAATTTTTGTTAACGTGCCCAGACATGCACTAGACACAGTTATCTTCAAAACATTCTGTAGTAGAATAGCTTGGTGTCTGTTAACCGAAGACATGATACAAGCATCATATTTAATATCAACTTTTGCTGTTCACCCATAAAATACAGAACATTGAAGCACTCTTTTTAAACACAGCAAAAATCTGCCCCATGATTAGAAAGGAGTACAGAGGTTGACACTCCACTCTGTACTCCAGAGGTGTGCTCTGGAGTAGTACAAACGGGTTTACAAACTGCTAGAGTTAAGGAAGCTGCATGATCTGTCTTCCGATTTAGTTTCCTGCAGTGGTGGACTGGAGTCTATTTTACCTGATCCAAAGAGCTGATGTTAAATATGCAAGAATTTTGCAAACTAGTATTTAAACTGTCAGTTGCTTGAAATCAGCCAGGGTGGGAGTATTTACACCACAAAAATGAGTCAACTGTCAATCTGGCTTCCCTCTCATCCCCCAGAGCCATTTTACCAGCACACCACTGCCTCCCGGGTAAGTTTAAGGATAAAATGAGTTAGTTTATGTAAAGCGCTTTTCATAGAGCTCCCCATAGACAAAGCATTCAGTAAATGCTAGCTACCATTATTGTTATTATTATTTGCCATTGAAAATAAATGCAGCCAACTCTCAACTGTTTATCAAATTGATAAATCATCTATGTCCTATGTTTGTTTGCTTTTGTCCCTATTTGACAATTTTACTAGCAGCATACAAGGGAATATGTTCGGGCATAGGAAAAAAAAGCAGTGAAATCCTAATCAATCCATGGTAGTGCTTATTATTATAGCATTGTGATCTTGACAAAATATTTGCTGAGAGAGAAAGAATTAAAGTTGAAAAAAATGAAAATGGGATTATATCTAAATTTAAAATATTCACTCTATTTTTGTCTTCCTTAAAACAGCTCATCGAAATTCCATTATAAATAGAAAATGATAAAATAATAATTTTGAACAATTGTAGAAAAATATGACAAGTCTGTATTTCAGTGATAAATCATAGAATTCCTGACACACATTATCTTAGGCCAAAAAGGGAATTATTGGTTCTTGTAAATCTCAAAGGTAAAAATCAAAGGATAGGTCTGTGTTTGAACACACCTTGATGCAGGATCACATTAGGCCATGAGTGCTCGGTTTCTCTGGCTTCTATTAGATTATTGCTATTTCCAGTCTCCACGTGGCAGCCTCAGCAGCTCCAAACTCTGCCTTTAAAGTGGAATGCTCTTCCCAAAATCATGTCTCTCAGGAAAGAGAAACTCTTTTTTTTTTCTTTTTTTAAATAGTTCCTGTAAAATTCCTGAAGTTTATTTTGATTGATCTGGCTTTGGCCACACATCTGATGCCAGTTTGGGAGAATATCTAATGGGGTAAAGGTAATTTATTTAAAAAAAAAAACTGTAAGAGTATATCTAACAGGGTAAAGGTAATTTGTTCCCCCTCCCCATCAAAAAAAAAAAAAAAAAAAAAAACCTGTGGTGTTATTACACTAAGATAAAATGGATGTCATGCAACCAAAATACAATTGTCTACTCCAAATTATCTTCATTGTAATTGAATTCATGTTGATGGCAACTCATGTATACATGTAGAGCTAGCACACTGCTTTCTCTTGGAACACAGTTCTGATAATAACCTTCTCAGATCAAGTTTCAGCCCAGGGCACTTCTGAAGCCATTAAAGACCCTAGTCATAAAGAGGCAAAAATAGAGATAGTATCACTACAGGAACTAATTTGAGAAACCCGGGTAAAAGAGTGTTTTAAAAAGCAAATGCTAGCCAAAAAATAATTTATAACACCTCCTGCCAGGCAAAGTTCAAGTTTCAGCTAATAGGAGAATATTCCTGGTATGATCTCGGTGCCTTCCTTAACCAAGAATTAGAGCCCCATGGTACAATGACCTTAGAAATTTTGAAAGCAGTAGCACCAGGAAAAGTGAGAGGTCAAAACTCTGTGTGTTCTGTAATGGACACAAACCTGTTGGCATTTAAAAATTCCACAGTGTTTTGCTGTCAAATTTGTTTTAGAATTTCATTTCAGGAAAGTAAGTTCTAACTCTAATGTTATGGAGAAGTTTAAATATTTATACCAGAAAAAATAAAAAGCACAAAACCCTCTACCCTAGAGTCTCAACCATTGACAAGTTACATAATTCTAACGAGTGTAAAGTATCAAGCTCTGTACATCTTGCTCTCTGCTGGGAAGGTGATGCTTCTGTTTCTCTTGGCTGTAAGTTTGTTTGGCCTGAGCTGGATGTCAGCCTGATTCCTAACCCTCCTCATGGAGTCACAGGCTGTAATGCATGAGTCACAGAGGTTAAAATGCAGCCTTTTCTGGTTTATATTGTATGTGGATTCTGTAATAGTCTTGGAATAGTGTTCTGTGATTCATATCCTAGTCTGGTATGCCTTAGCCAAATGCATCTCCTGGTCTGGTGATGTATATTGAGAGCCCTACGACGCTTATTGAGTATGGAGTGATTTAAGGAAACCATTTTTCTATCCCCTGGGAACTTTCTTTCTTATAATATCCCACCCAAATGTGATTTGTTTAAAACATTGTGATGCTCACCTTTATCTTCACCATTAAATATGTCATACTAAATAATCTTGTGGCCATACCAAGGAAACACCAAATATAAGAAGAGCATTTATTTTACAAAAAAGAGGAGACACATCTGTAAGTATTTTGGAGGGTGAGCATATTTCCCGAAGATCTTGAGATTGGATGTTGGCACCCTGTGTGGCCCTGAAAAAAAAAAAAAAAACTATCTTGGGTCTTTTGTAATTGAACTAGAAACTGTACCAACCCAGAGTTTATAAACAGTATCATATAACATTCATTTTGAAATATACAGAAATGTTAATGAGGTGATGGATGTGAAATCAGCTTTTACTAAGAAATACAATGTGTGCCCGCATCAAGCAGTGGGAATAATTACCAATTTATTTTCTCCTATGAAAAAATGATACTCAGACATTAGTGGGATCTTGGAAAGGGATCTGCGTTATTTGTGGAAGTATCACTAAGGCTAAACAACTGTGGCACCAAAGGACAGGCAGCATAATTTTCTAAAATATAGAAAAATTTAAAAGAGGCATTGCCAGAAAATAAATGAGAATGTTCATTCTCGCTAAGTTCTATGAGTAATGTAAACATATCTGGCATTTGTCCCCACTTTCTTCCTGGGACCTTTAAAATGAAAGTTTAGTGATTTATTCTTAATCGCCCACAAGCTGTTAGGTACCCTGTGGCTTGTAGCCATCAGAATTAATTGCAGGTGGCTTTGCGGGTCTGCAGCATGCAGTAAACATGATCATGATGGATTCCTAACACAACCTGGCTGGCTTAGGGTAATTAGCTCTGGATCCCTTCTTCTTGTTCTGAAGTATGTTTAATTCTCCGTGGATTTCTGAAGCAATATTTTGTCTTTCTTGAAAGAAAATTGAAGAAAGTCTGTGAAATAGAAAAATAATTGGACTAAACTCTCAATTTTTTGGAAGGGGAAATGTGGGGGAAACGGGGAGATAAGTTAAAGGCTGAAGCACTTCTGTGAAACTGTTTCTCTAAAGCAGAAAAAGAAGAGTGAATTTAGTGATGGTATATTTACCCTGGAATTTAAGAGGAATAACTCTTTCTGGTGTTCAGAAGTCCATACTTACTGATGTACTGTAAAACCTTGCCCTTCTAAGTGTGGTCCTGGGACCAGCAACGTCAGCATCACCTGGGAGCTAATTAGAGATGGAAAATCTTGGCCACTCCAGACCTGAATCAGAATCTGCATTTTAACCTGGACCAAGGCGATTGGCATTCTTATCAACATTTGAGAACCATTGATGTAATCCATGGTTAGAATATTTGATTTACTTAGAGAGCTTATCATTCTGTCTAGAAGGCATTTATATTCCAGTTATGATTGCCAGAAAGTCCCAGAAAGAAGCAGGTGCAATGCTGTTCCCTGGGAGACCAGGCTGTGAGGGCAGCAGCCATGCCTCTCTGGTCTTTGGATTCCCAGCACCTAGCTCAGTGTATGAAATGTTAAGGTGGATGAATGGATAGGTGAATGGATGGATAGATGGATGGAGGGATGGATGGATGAATGAGTGGATGAAAAGCGTGGTAAACCCCTGAAAAAACGAAAGATGAAGTGAATATTTTTAAAAAATCAATTACAAGCAGATTTTTTGTGTTATTCCATAGTATAGGCTAGCTTAATATCACAATCACAGTAGATTACATGGCAGGCTAACAAAGTCTTATTTTGAAAATTGGACAGTTGTAGGCCTCCAACAGCCTGTGGAGCGAGGTTTGGTTTGTGGAAGGGTGTTATTCCAGCAGAGAAGAATACCTTCCCTTCCCCGAACTCATCTGCTGCTGCATTAGTGCCCTCTATTGCTATGTTCCTTTTTTCTAGCTAGGCCCTATTTCCACAGCTGGAGTATAAACTTTTTTTTTCTTTCTTTTTTTTTTTTTTTTTTTTGAGACAGAGTCTCGCTGTCGCCCGGGCTGGAGTGCAGTGGCGCACTCTCAGCTCACTGCAGGCTCCGCCCCCCAGGTTCACGCCATTCTCCTGCCTCAGCCTCCCGAGTAGCTGGGACTACAGGCGCCCGCCGCCTCGCCCGGCTAGTTTTTTGTATTTTTAGTAGAGACGGGGTTTCACCGTGTTAGCCAGGATGATCTCGATCTCCTGACCTCGTGATCCGCCCGCCTCGGCCTCCCAAAGTGCTGGGATTACAGGCGTGGGCCACCGCGCCCGGCCAGCTGGAGTATAAACCTTTTAAAGGCAGGACTCTGCCTGCAACATTGACTCCCCTGCCCCCAGCACATGTCCGCTAACCTAAACCAATGGCTTTTTAATTTTTGCATATTTTTAAATAGTGCCTGTCCTTTGGTGCCACAGTTGTATAGCCTTAATGATACTTCTGCAAATAATGGGGATCCCTTTCTTTCTAAGATCCCGGTAATGCTGCTCATGCCACATTGGCTAATGCTGAGAGCTTATGACAACATGAAGAAATTCACTCCAGGGAGTAACAATCTGTGTCCTCTTTTCTCATCCCTAAATCCACCATTTCTTTTGGAAATAGGAATGATGTCTTTTTATTTTTTTAATTTTTTGTTTAAACAATTACTGGTTCTGTTGTCCAGGCTGGAGTACTGGGGTGCAATCATGGCTCACTGCAGCCTTGGCCTCCCTGGGCTCAAGTGATTCTCCCACCTCAGCCTCCCAAATGTCTTTTTATCATTGGCTCATTTTATTGCATTCAATGAATTGTTGGAAATTAGAGCCAGCCAAAAATTGTATAAATATTGGGCTGTGTCTGCTTCTCTGACACTAGATGAAGATGGCATTTGTGCCTGTGTGTCTGTGGGGTCCTCAGGAAGCTCTTCTCCTTGAGAGGCCTTGCCAGTGCCAGCCTCATCAGAGGGCAGCTTGGGAGGAGACCCCCCCGCCATGCTTATAGCTTGAATGGATTCCTGAGATGATGTTTCATGGTGCAGAGGCAGAGGAAGGGCGGGATAGTGAGTGGAAGAAGCATTGGCCATGAAATCAGAAAACCTTGATTTGAACTGTAACTCTCCTACTCACTACTTGTGTGATCTTGGCAATTTTCATCATGTCTGTGAAATACATTGTACAGTGCGTGACAGGGAGTCAGCATTCACCATTTGCTAGTTTCCCTTGCCTCTCTGAGCCTGTTTCCTCATTATGATGCATAAAAATATCACATACTTTAGCACTTGTCACATAAAACGTGCATAATGAATGCTTTTGATTCCCTCCCCGTTTGCTGGTCCCGGGTACCACCCACACTGTTTGGCACTCCCTGTTTCTCTGTGTTGGATCTTCTTAAAGTGTTCTATTGGATGACCTTCACTTGTCCCTTGATGCCATGGTCAGAAATCATGGTCTATCTGCCAAGTGGACTTTCTTCCATCCAGTAGTTTCTGTCCATCCCTGACCACCCACTAGATCCTCCATTTACCCAGCACATGTTTCAAGATCCAGGATCTCCCACTACTAAGTAAAAAAACTTGTGCTATTTGCCACTGGAAACTGACTTGAAAACACCGGAATCCAGAAGGTTTATTCTTGGGGCACTTCCTCTTCAAATTCCAGTACTTTTGGCATTTTTGACACAAATACAAATTTTATAAATTATTTCTTTAAAAATAAAGTATATAGGTTCATCGTAGAAGAAAAATTGACTTAAATATAGATAGTAAAAAGGAAGAAAAAGTTCAGTTGTAATCCTATTATACACAGAGAACAATTATTTGTCACCTTGGTGGATAGCCTTTTAATTTTTATATATGACCCAGCACAGTGGCTCAGGCCTGTAATCTTAGCACTTCGGGAGACCAAGGTGGTCAGATTGCTTGAGCTCAGGAGTTCAAGACCAGCCTGAGCAACACAGTGAAACCCTGTCTTTACAAAAAATACGAAAAATTTATCCAGGCCTGATGGTTTGTGCTTGTAGTCCCAGCTACTTGGGGGGCTGAGGTGGAAGGATGGCTTGAGCCCAGGAGGTCAAGGCTGCAGTGAGCAGAGATCAGGCCACTGCACTCCAGCCTGGGTGACAAAATGAGACCTCTTTAGAAAAAAAAACTTTATATAAATGAATATATAATATATGTAATACATTTTATACAAATATACAAATAAATGCATATAATATAAAATGCATTAACATCTATTATATAAGTATATGTTAAAATATTTTTAGTATATAGGTATGTATTTGATCCATTGGCCTCTAACTATTCCATGTTTTCAGAAACACACACACAGTCTTAATGTTCTTAGAGTTTTATGGCTTATATTTTTTCCACCTGATTATCCCTTGTGCTACTGAATATAAATTATTGTTTAAACAAATCAATGCCTAGAACATTGCCTAGCCTATAGTAGTGTACAATGAATAAATATTTTGAGAATAAATGAGAAAACATATCCTAATGTAATTTTTGTGTAAATTTTGAGCTTTCAATGTTGGATTTTCTTTTAAATGGGGTAAATCTGTTGATAAATTGTTATGAAAAGTTCACATGGAAAAAAAGCCTCATTTAAAGGGAGATTAAGATAGATCTTTACTAACATCTGTTGGTGAACCTGTCTGTCATAACTTTTCATTTTAGAACCGCACAGTGATTTAGCGTTGAATCCTATTTGGACTAATTTAAGCCTGCAAATCTGAAAACTATCTTTCCTTTAAAATTTGAGGGCTTTAAGTGCAATGTTTTTAGGGATTGGACAAACAGTTACAAGAGGGACGAGTAGCCTTTGAATTCCCTGCCAGTAGGCACAAACCCTGATGCCCCTAGGGGCTGGCAATGATTTCACAGGTTAAGTGGCGCAGATGGGAACCCACTGCAGTCACTCTGCAAAACTGGAGTGCGATGCATGACGGAGAGTCAGCGTTCACCCAGTGCTAGTTTCCAAAAGGCAGCCACTACTGAACTTTCATGTGGCAAGGTGGGGTCCAATGGCACCAGCTTGTTTTCTTTCTTCAGGAGAAGTAAAAAACTTGAAAAATTATGTGAAATTCTTGATTCTGAAATAATGGCAGCTCATTTAATTTAAAATATGAAACTATGCAAGCAAAACAAAATCCACCTGAGAACAATGAGCCTCTGGGTTAAGCTGAGGAACTGTTTAAATTGCCTAAAAGACCCCAGTTACTCAAATGCCAGGTGGAAGACTGCTTCAGAAGACTGGCTGGGTCTGCCTTCCTCAAGGGTGCGACACGTTGCTCTCATGAGCCAGATCTAGGTTCTCAGTGGCTCCTGCAGGAAGTCGTAAGTGGATGCAAGAAGTCCCAAGCTGGCAGTCTGCCAGGTGATTCCAGTAGGTAATGTCAGTTCAAATAGGGGAGACTGCCAATACCTGTGACCTGGCACAGTGAATTGGCAAGCAGATCAGAAAGAGATCTTAATACATTGTGAATAAGTCCTGATTTCTAGAGAGATCTCCAAGGTTGAATTATTAAAACCCTCACATTTACCTCCTCTTGGAGCTCTGTTGGAGTTAAAAGTCTCTACTGAATCTTAAAAAGGACGCAAATGTCAAAAAGAGACAAATCCCAGCCAAGTGATGGGAAATGTGATTTCAGGATAATAGCATCTGCTCATTGGTCATTAAAATACATTATTTCCAATGAATGCCCTTAACTCTGCAGGATGGGAACATAGCTTTAATCAGACAGGTTCCCAGATCAGAGTACATCAAAACACAAGCAGCAGATTCTGTGCTGCCTGATCAACAGAGGAAAGAAATTCAGAACATTTTCTTTTACATTTAAAATGCTTTATGAGGGAAATGGGTAGTTAGTCATATTTATTATTGAGCATTTATAAGAATACTTGCTTATTGTTTTATTTCCTTATTATTTATTTTGAGCTGAGTTTCTGGTTATTAAGAAAGGGTCCTCTTTCTTAAAGGGTAGATACCTGATTGTGCAGCTAAAAGGAGCTAAAAGGTGCATCAGAACTGAAACACCTGCCTAGAGGTAGGAAAGGGATCAGATTTTCTCTAGGGATACCTACTGATCAGTTCTAAGAGACACAAGTTCCTGAAGGAGTTCATTTTTCTGGTGGCTTTTTCTAACGCTGCTTTGGTCCTGAAGGAGTTGCAGATAATGAATAGCTAAGAGAAGACGGTGGAGTTTACCGAGCGGATGAGGGGCAGGCTGTGAATTTAGTAGGAAAAGAGAAATGGGTCTGTGAAAATCTCTAGGAAGATGAGAACAAACTTGTACTTGAACATCAAAATAGCACCCTAATATCTTATTAGCAGCAAGCATACTTGGTGCCCAGGTGTTGATTTCCAAGGCCATTATCCAATAAAAAGAACCAGGGATTCTTGGAGACACGAATGATTCTAGGGCTGGAGCAAAAAAATATACAAGATGAACCTAGGGCACCCTGTAGAGCCAGAAAATAAGCAAGTTCTAAAACAAAACAAAGGCCAAAACTTACAATGATGAGACTATATTCAAAGGAACACAGGAGCCAACTGAAAGAGCTCCCAATGGCCAAAGCTGGAACAATTTGACAAATAAAATAAATAAATAAGCATTTGGATTATATCTCAAAATACAAAATAAATATCCATGAGTCCATGTTATAAATAAATGATTGAATAAATAAATAGTATAAAAGAGACAAATCTCCCAAGCAGAAAAATTCCATATTTTGTGGAGATACTCTGGCCTCAAGGAGATGGAATGTAACTCCCAATTCCTTAATTGAGGCTGTGTATAGTAACTTCCTTCCAAAGAGTATAGTCTGGGAAGAAGCAAAAGAGTAACTTTACAGTGGGGAAACCTTACAAACAGTACCTCAACCGGGTGCTCAAGATCACCAGCACAGTGACAAGTCATGTTGATGCTATGTTATCCTTGATATGATGTGATGAAAATGGCATCTGTGGAATCTGTGACTTTCTCCCCAGAATCCATGACCACAGTCTAGTCATGAGAAAAACATCAGACAAATCCCAATAAAGGGACATTCTACAAAATATCCGACTGGTACTCCCGAAATTGACTGTTCAGGTCACTGAAAGCAAGGAAAGCCTGATAAACTGCCACGGCCACGAGGAGTCTAAGGACACATCCAATTTCCATTCGCATCCAAAATGGAATCCGAGACAGAAAGAGGACCTTAGGTGAGAACTAAAGAAATGGGAACAAAAGTATGGACTGTAGTTATTGACACTGCATCAATTTTGTTTCTTTAGTGCTAATAAGTATACCGCAAAATGTAAGATGTTAATAATAGGAGAACCTGGGCACATGGTACATGGGAACTCTGTGCTATTTTCACAATTTTTCTGTAAATCTAAACTGTTCTGAGACATAAAGTTGGTTTTTAAAAGAGCCATCCTGGCCTGCACTAGGAAATACTTACTCGATGCATTGTGGACCCTTCCTCCAATTCAAGATGTCTCAAGTAGCTTTCTTGGTTAAAAGGGCAGTGATGTAAAAACAGGCATCATTTTACCAAAGGGCCACCAGATGGCTGTCATCTGGCAGAAGTCTACTTCCTGGGCTTTCTAGATGCATACATGACTATCACCGGGAGCATTCAACCTCCAAAGAAGAGTTCTACTAATTATGTCTGTCTAAATAATGTGATAAATTTAAGTTTCAAGTGATAGCAGTTAGTTCACATTGTAAATATACAACTCAGTTTGTCTGTACCAAATTTAAAACAAATTTGCCTACTGTGTCCCAGGAAATATTTCAGCCAGGTACCTTTGATTTTCACAATTGGGCTATGTAGAAATTGCTTTTGGAGACAATTAATTGGAAGCACTTATAAGGTTGTAGCTTTAATTACATACTGATGTAGTCTGCTCCTGGTTAAAAAGGCACCCCATAGGTCAGGCTTGGTAGCTTACGCCTGTAATCCCGGCACTTTGGGAGGCTGAGTCGAGCAGATCACCTGAGTTTGGGAGTTTGAGACCAGCCTGACCAACATGGAGAAAATTTGTCTCTACTAAAAACACAAAATTAGCTGAGCATGGTGGCATATGTCTGTAATCCCAGCTACTCGGGAGGCTGAGGCAGGAGAATCGCTTGAACTTGGGAGGCAGAGATTGCGGTGAGCAGAGATTGTGCCATTGCACTCCAGCCTGGGCAACAAGAGCAAAATTCTGACTCAAAAAAAAAAAAAAAAAAGTTATCTGATAAGTAGTAGTGATACGTTAAAGAAAAAAATACTACTGTTGAAGTTGCTGTTAATTACATGTTGGGTACTGCTTACTTCCTATGTAAGGTCCAAATTCTTTGGATGATTTGTTCAAAAGTTGGAACAAGAGATATGCAGAGGCACTTTATAATCACCTTTTGCCTTCTGAGGTAGTCATTTGTACCTACCTCAGCTACTCATAATCTCCTTCAAAACTAGGGCTAAGTATTGATGGCCTTTGTGTTTCCCATGCAACTGCCAAAGGGCCTTGCATCAACACATTTTGGTGAATTAGTTAAACAAGGTACACCTCTGCTGTTCCTAGGACTTAACTGAAGGCTTAGACTGGAATCACAGAATAGTCAGAATGTGCCATCTTGATTACTGCTTCCTTTCTACCCACAGACATCAATGGTAAAATCAGACACTTTTGTTCTCTCAGATTTCTGTATTTTAATGTACTATAAATTACATATTTGAATGCACTGTATTCATTTTTCATATCAATCACTGAATAATTAGAAGGTATTTCTTCTTAACAAGTGTCAAAACATTTCATAGCCCCAGTTTACTTTGTAGAATTTCACATTGTGAGTAGGTGAGAGCCTTAATCATCAGAGTCAAACCTTAAGTGCTAAAATCCGCTCTGTGGTGACATTTACTTAATTGCTTTACAAGACTGAGGCTCAGTCAAGTTTGTCTTCCTCAGCAACTCTTCCTTTTTATCTAATTATGCATTTAGATGGAGTCCCTGGTGGTGGGGAGGGAGGCGACAGGGGTATTGGCCTTAGGCAAAGTTTCTGTTCCAAAGGAGATTTAGTCCGTTATTATGTCTAAACTTTCCAATTCGTAGTCCATTCTAGTTTTTAGGAGGATTAATGTACATCCTATCTGCAATATAGTAATATTAGCCTTATCCATCATTGAAGAGTGAGCTCACCACCTAGTTCTTTCCCGAGCTGCCCCTGTCTCCTTCTCTACCCCTTCCACCATAATCCATAGCTTCAACCAAAACTTTATTCAAGTGGCTTCCAAATCCAGATCTAAATCTCTGACCTTTATTCTAAACCCAAGATGCCTGCTTTTCCAGACTCACAAATTTTACTTTTTGAGGAACCATATTATTTTTTCCTGACACTTATCACGATGCTTTGCAGGCTATAAGAAAGTAATAAACTGGGCATGGTGGTATGTGCCTATAATCCCAGCTATTCTGAGGCTGAGCGGGGAGGATTGCTTGAGCCCTAGAATGTGAGTTTAGCCTGGGCAACATAGTGAGACCCTGTCTGAAAAGAGGAAAAGAAGAAGGAAGAAAGGAAAGAAGGAAGGAAGGAAATGAGCAAATGAAGCATTATCCACAATAGCCAAGATATGTAATCAACCTAGGTGTCCATCAATGGATGAGAAAATGTGACATATATATATATATATATATATACACACATACATACATACATACATAGGAATATTATTCAGCCTTTAAAGAGAAGAAGGAAATCCTGTCACTTTCAATGACATGGATGAACCTGGAAGACATTATGCTAAGTGGTATAAGCCAGGCACAGAAAGCCAAATACAGCATGATCTCACCTCTTTGTAGAATCTAAAACAGTCAAACTCAACTAGTGGGATAGTGGTTATCAGGGGCTAGGGCAAGGCTAGGGCAGGGTGATGGTAGGGGGAGCCAGGGAGAGGGGTTGGAAAATGTTCTTCAAATGATACACAATTTCAGTTAGACAGGAAACATAAATTCAGGACATCTGTACAACACGGTTACTAGAATTAGTAACAATGTATTGTATACTTGAAAATTGCTAAGAGAATAGATTTTAAATGTTCTCATCACAAAACAAAATAAATATGTGAGGTAATAGATATATTAATTAGTTTGATTTAGCCATTCCCCAGTGTATTCGTATATCAAAATACCATGTTGGGACACAAAGAAGGGAACAACAGACACCGGGACCTACTTGAAGGTCGAGAGAGGGAGGAGGGTGAGGTTGGAAAAACTACCTTTTGGGTACTAGGCTTACTACCTAGGTGACAAAATAATTTGTACACCAAACCCCTGTGACACACAACTTACCTATATAACAAACCTGCATGTGTGTACCCCTGAACTAAAATAAAAGTTAAAAAAAAAAGACAATTGGTAAGGAAAGTATGATTATTATTTGAAGTTTTCATGAAGATACCGAAAGATACAAAGATGATTTTTTGTTAATAATTTGTTTACAATTGTATAGTTGTCTTTTATTCTCAATAAATTATTGAATTCCTTAAAAAAATGTTGTAAACCATTAATATATACAATTTTCATTTTTTAATAAATACCTTTTTAAAAATTAAATGAGGCCGGGCACGATGGCTCACACCTGTAATCCTAGCACTTTGGAAGGCTAAGGTGGCAGATCACCTGAGGTCAGGAGTTTGAGACCAGCCTGGCCAACATGGCGAAACCCTGTCTCTACTAAAAATACAAAAATTAGCCAGGCATGGTGGTGCAAGCCTGTAATCCTAGCTACTCAGGAGGCTGAGGCAGGAGAATCACTTGAACCTGGGAGGTGGAGGTTGCAGTGAGCCGAGATTGCACCACTGCACTCCAGCCCAGGCGGCAGAGCAAGACTGTCTCAAAAAAAAAACAAAAAACAAAAAACAAAACTAAATGAGCAAATGAATAACTGAGTATATAATATGGAAAACAAAAGCCAACTCTCTTAGGAGCTAAAAATTTTAGCCATTTTAAATGAGAAGTCTCCAAAAATGTCATAATATAGTATAATTATATAATTACATGCCTTTCCCAATAAAATCTACTAAATATAATTTAATCTTTTTTCTTTTTACTTAGAGACCACCCTTATGAATATCAGTTACTATATAACATGTGGTAACATAGTAGCCCTTAGGTGTTTTAACTATTTGAGAAAATTTGCCCTCCTCTAAAGGAGTTTTTTTGTCTGCTTTTCATATTCTTCACTGTCAGGATGCCACCTGTCATTTCTTGCTATCACTGGTGTCTGTACCTCCAGCATCAGCCCCACCCTTGTTCCCTGATTGTACCACTCTTTGCCAAATTTTATGACTTAACTGCTATGAGTTAGGAAACCCTATAGCTTTGCTTTTAGACATTTCTAAACAAAAAGTAAGCTCTAAGCAAGGCCTTGAGGAGCTACTTTATGAGTACAGTGTGTGGATTGGTTTCAGTCCATTTTATCCACACTGAAACATTTTGTTGCCACATTTCTTAGTTTAACTGTCCTAGATAAATGAAGTTGCTAGGTGAGAGAAAGTTGCATATCAACATACCCCGGCAAATAGGCCTTCATTTGATTTGGTACCTATTCTCTGATTCTAGAGAATATACTAACTCTCACTCAGAAAAGAAATAAGATCTGTAAATGTAAATTCAATTGGAAAATGTTATTTATTCCATCCATCTCCCTATTTAAAGGTCATAATTTTTGCCTTCTTCTGCAAGACTTCAACCATCATTGTTTTCAGTGTTTCTCAAAGTGTGGTCCTTAGACCAGCTGCATCAGAAACACTCAGAGTGCACGTTAACAAGCAGATTCTTTGGTCCTACCCTTGGTCAATCCAATCAGAATCCTCCGGTGGTGATGGTATATTCCACGTTACTTTTTTTTTTTTTTTTTTTTTTAAGCAAGCCTTCCTTGTGATAAATTCTCAGGCATATGAGAGTTTACATCACCAAGCTAGAATGACTCCTCTGACATTCTTCACAATTCCCTTCCACCAACCCTTCCTCCTATCTCTATGCTTTCTTTTCCAGTTTCATACATTCTGCTTATCCACTATTTCTTGAATTTTTCTCTTCTCCAGACCTCCAAATTCAGAACCTTCCTTTGAATATTTTATGACCATCCATCTTTCCCTAATCAAGAACAAATAAGGTAATCATTTTTTCCTGAACATAAAATTTCTGCAATATGCCTATCCCCTTCCCTGAGCCTGCAAGATTGATAGATGGGTTATACAAAGTGGTGGAAACACTTTTTCTGGAAGTTTTTCAGAAGTGAGTATAAGCACAGTCATGTTCATAGGTAGAAAGAGAACTGGATGACTTATAAAGCCATTTCCAGGCGTGCCTAGAGTCTTTACATTGTAAATACTAACTTAATTTATTAATTTTCTGTCCATTCCTTTTTAAGACATTTCTGCTAGTCTTTTGTCTTTATATTTTGAAGCTTTTCTATCCTGGGACTATACTTTATAATCATGTTGTATCTCTTATAATAGTAGACACTAGCAATCTGCAATACATTTATGGACATGGAATAAATCCATATTGATCTATACTTTGCATTCTTGTTTTCTGTATCACAATTGAGGTGTGAGAAGGCAGAGTCTCACCTAATACAATGAAATAAACATCACCCAACACAGAATTGAATTAAGTTTTATCCTTATTTAAATTTTCTCTGATGAAAAATTCGTAAAATAAAAGGTTTTATATCAGTGTCATATATTTATGTACCAAATTACACCCTGAATGGAGTAGTAATAGTAATATTCATGTAGGCCGGCAACAGTGTTTCAGAAGCTGCATGGGAGACAGACAGGCTTGGTATAACAGCCAAGTGGGCAGGTGATCTCTGTTGACATCCCACTCCTTTGCATTGATCCTACTTTGTTTGTCTGTTTTTTGAGACCAAGTTTCGCTCTTGTTGCCCAGGCTGGTGTGCAATACCATGATCTCAGTTCACTGCAATCTCTGCCTCCTGGGTTCGAGTGATTCTCTTGCCTCAGCCTCCCAAGTAGCTGGGATTACAGGCATGTGCCACCATACCCGGCTAATTTTTGTATTTTAGTAGAGACAGGGTTTCACCATGTTGATCAGTCTGGTCTCAAACTCCTGACCTCAGGTGATCCACCTGCCTCAGACTCCCAAAGTGCTGGGATTACAGGCGTGAGTCACCGCACCTGGCTGATCTCACTTTTTTTAGTTACCCAGAGTCCTCTCAAAGGTGCCCTTCCTACATCCTACCATGACCTGTTCACCCACAAATTTCTCCAAACTCCAAAATTACTCTTGGTCTCTCTTTAATAAAAGTTTTGGTAGTAGGGAGAAAGTAATCTGATGTTTGCATTTTATTTAAAAAGTTTATTGAATAAAATTAATGTTGGATTATTGACATCTATGTGGTCCACATTCTTAAGCCCCTCTTCCTGCTGTCAGAAGACTATGAGTTAGTAACTTGCCATCCCACTTGAAAACATCTTGGTTTGGGGAAGACAGAGCTAAATTGTGGGTACAGAATATTTGCCCTTTGAATCTAGGTAACTTAAGATGAAGTCTTTCTGTAGGAGGCAGTTACACCAGCTGCCTTTCAAGGATGAATCAGGATTCAGATGAATTCAGCCTCACATGATTTCTTTATATCAATGACAACATTGATTTCTCAGACTATCAATATGGTCTTTCTCTTGTGGCCTCTAACCCTAACCCTGTAACAAAGAAGGCATTTTTAATCACTGAGGGCTAAAATATAGAATTGAATGAAGGCAAGCAATTCCATTTGGAATGTCCCATCAGCATTGGAAGGGACCTCCTTTGTACTGCAGCCTGCTGTGGCTAAGCACTAAGAATGTATTGTGAACTACCAGTGCTCAGGGAGCAGCCGGGGAAGTATCTTCTCTAGACAACAGAGGCTGAAGCTGTGAATCACGCATTTAAGTAACAGAGTTGTAGGCAAATAGCAATAGACTTGTAAGCAAAGATTATATTGAATTTGACAACAGGCTTGGGTGTTTTGTTTATTTATTTATTTATTTTGATGACTTCAACCTGACATTGACCTGATGAGCTCAGAAAAATAGTCTTGAGCTGAAGAGCACTCACTTCCCAGCAGAGATTTCCATGTTAATGGATATGTCAACCTTATTCAGTGAAAAAGAAGGTCAAGGGCATCCAAATAATACATATAATCCTTTCAGGCTATTTTAATTGAGTTTTTCAGTATCATAGTTCACTAAGAAGAAAAAGGGGAGAAATCATCACAAATTCATTTTGATTGTTATCCCAAATGAAAAAAATATATATTTAGTTTATCTTTGCTAGAAAATCTGATCTTGTAGAACAATCCTGGTGTTAAACCATTTTCTAAAACTACATTTCCAGAATTAGCCAATTCAGCTTCTTTTTCTATTCTGTAGAATTTGGCCAGAATCAAAGATTCCCACCGTGGCTTTTTTATCTGCCTTTTAGGGCCCAAGTCCGGCATCAATTGCTCCTTCAACTCCAAGACGAGTTGAGCGATGAGTATTTGAGGAAGAGCACTGCAAAGTAAATTTCCATCTTTCACCCCCACATTTCTATCCCGCCCATCCCTGCATCTGCAGGCTCTATGATCAAAAATAAATATCTTGCTTTCTTAATCAGAATTTAGGTATCAACCAAAGATTGCCTGCATCCAGGGACTAATGGGAGTAGGCCACAGGAGATTAGATCTAGATCTTACCCAGGTTGACAATCTCTATCTAGGAGGTCATGCATGGTAGCATTTATCAGGAAGCAGAAGATAGCATGCATATTGCTCAGGCCACATGGCACCCTGCGATCTTCAAGCTGGCCCAGGTATATATACTGTGGAGACACAGTTTTGTAAAAACTCTGATGCCAAAGTAGTTCAGAATGAGTACGAGTGGGAAGTCAACCATGCGTGGGGACTGCATGAGCCCCCTGAAGTGTTAGTCTAGATAAAGCTTCTCCAGTTTATTTCTTGGCAAAGAGCATTCCCTCACTCCAACCCAAGGGCAATTTCTATACAGTGGCTAAATATCTAAACAGGTTATCATAATGGGTTGGGAGAATATATTACCAAGAAGATTTGAGTCAGTACAGCTTTCTTCCTGCATAAGACTTGATAACCTGAATTAAATTAAACATGATGGGTTGATTAAGAAACACAATTTGCATGGTAGTAATTATTAATGGCTCCAGCTACTATTGCTGCACAGGAAACCACCCCAAAACTTAGTGGCACAAAATAGACATTTATGATACTCTTGGATATAGAATTCTCTGCTGGTCAAGAATTCAGACGGGACATAGTAAGGATAGTTTGTCTCTTTGCACAACGTCTGGGACCTCAGCTAGGGAGACTCATGACCTGGGGGTGATTTGATGACTCAGGGCTGAAGTGATTTTGAGGTTTCTTTCTGCCATGTCTGGCAGTTGATGTTGACTGTAGGCAGAGAGCACAGTAGGCTGCTGACCGATGTGTAGCATCGCCAGCATGGCAGCCTCAGAAGAGCCAGACTTCTTCCACGGTGACTAGCTCCTCCCAGAGTGAGTATCCCAGGAGAACCAGGAGGAAGCTTTATGGTCTTTTCTGACCTAGCCTCATACAGCATCATTTCCATAGTAAAAGAATTATCGCTTACAAGTCCAGATTCAAGGGGCAGAGTGAAAGACCCCATCTCTCAATGTATCAGAGAATTTTTATATAAGATTTAAATGTTTTCAAATTGCCTCATTCATATAAGGCATAGCCATCAAGAGCTAGAGCCATGGTAGAAAAAAGCTACTGTGGCCGGGCGTGGTGGCTCATGCTTGTAATCCCAGCACTTTGGGAGGCTGAAGAGGGTGGATCACTTGAAGTCAGGAGTTCGAGACCATCCTGGCCAACATGGCAAAACCCCATCTCTACTAAAAATCCAAAAATTAACTGGGCATGGTGGTGGGTGCCTGTAATCCCAGCTACTCTGGAGGCTGAGGCATGAGAATCACTTGAACCTGGGTGGCAGAGGTTGTAGTGAGCTGAGATCATGCCACTGCACTCCAGCCTAGGCAATAGAGCGAGATTCAGTCTCAAAAAAAAAGAATGAAGAAAAAAGCTTCTGTGGTTGCAATACAACTTTGATGTAATGCATAGCTCAGTAACAACTCAGAAGTGAAGAAAGTATACAGAAGGTCTATGATTATACTAATGGCTATGAAAAATGCTTAATATAATCAAGCTTGGAAAGTCCATTTTTATTCACTGATAGTAAGGTTTCTAACTGTACACTTAGAGATATTTAGAAACAATTTTATTTTCAGAATTCCCACAAGATTAATAACTTTGCGATCGCAAGTCATAAACTTTCAAGTTCTAACCACTTTTACCTCTTGAAAACAATTGTTTTATTACCATTTCTAAAGTTTTTATTACGGAAAATTTCTTTCTGGGTATGCAGCTAGGTACTGATTTCATTTATTACAGCTCTGGTCACTATTTATCCTACTCCTTGTTCAATATTACTTCACACCCCCACAGATTGGCCCGATTTCCTCCACGAGCCTCCCTTGGTCATGTTCAAGTTTCACACTGCATTTGATTGAGCCTCTCTTTACACAGTACTTATATTTGTCGTTACTTTTGAACATGTAAATTCCTAAGCTTGGAGAGTCTTCTCATTAGGACCAGGGAAAATGCATTCGTGTTGCTGTCTTTGATCTCTGAGGCGGTATGTGATTTAAGTTTGCCTCAGATCCTCAGTTTCCTGTCTACAATAATGAATTTGGGCAGAACCTGTATGATCTAGTTTTAGACCAAAATCTCTTTTTTAAAAGTTTTAAATGAGATGAAAAAGAAATTGGCCTCTTTGAGAAGAGAGGAAGTAAAAATGGAGCGACCTGAAGGGACCCAGGGAGATTAAGCGGCCTCCATTTTGAGCAGGCAGCTCCGGGGTCTGAGAGAGCTGACCAAGGGTGGCTTTGACAGAGAGAGATTATGGACAGCAGCAGCTCAGAATAATAGGTGGTTTAAAGGATATAATTAACAATCCTCTTCTGAAAAGCAGCACAACAGCCTTAGAAAGAGAGGTCAAGGGCTCTTTTGGAAAGGCCTCGGGGCAACAACCTCTTCTAAGCAAATGTTTAAATAAGCAGTTCTCCTAACAGTTAAAGGGTGACTTCACTTACATGTAGGAGCTCGCATTTGCTAAAAATCAGGTACCATGTCACTCACAGAAAGTTTATCAACATGTGGGATATTTTCCTAATTAAAAATATAGGAAAAGAAATGTGTGTGCATTTTCTATGTGTATATATTTAAAGAGAATCAAAAACACAGGGAAGTGATTTTTCACGACAGTAATAATGGCAGACCTGTTCATGATGTTTAACTTGCCACGGTCTGTTGTCCAGCTTGCATTCATTTCTGTTTATAAAACCCATAAAAGTCTTGAGCGAAAACTTCCTTGGAAAAGTTTTTATAATTCAAAAAAGTCATCAACTCAAAACCCAGACCGGGTTTGGCTCCTTGGATGGCACTGCCTCAGGGCCTCCTCCCTTTGTTCTTCTGTGTACACAGAGAGAGGAGGTGGAGCCAAGGAAGATGAAAGTTCTTGACACTAATGCCTGGCAGGACAAGTCTGGCAACTTTCAGAACAATGCAAATTGAATGGCCAAATTAGACAATTTTTCCCAAACTGAAATGACTTCTTCACAGAAACTTGTAACACTTGGCTTACACGTGCCGAATACTAGTGTAACCCACTTGGGGGCAGCTGTAGTTGAGCTCTATTAAGCTTCAAGGTGCTGCTAGAACAATACTGGATTAGCCCACTGGATTCAAATACCAAGAACTGATGGTATGAGGTGAGGCATGCTCTTCTAGGCTTCTTGCCCAAAGGTAGTTTGGGTTTGTTTTTAAATATTTGAAAAGAAACAACCCTTTTCACTTTCAGTCTTGAGAAATAGACGGAGGTTTTTGATGGGGGTGATGGTGATGGTGGTGGTGCTGGTGGTGGCGGTGGTAGTTGTGGGTCGTCCTTGTTTTGTTTAAATGAATCACCAAGAGCTAGACAATGCCACGGTAAATATGGGCTCTGAAGATCTAGCCCAACCACCTCCATTAACTATGAAGGAAATGGGGCCTCAGGGAACAGCAGCAGTTCTAGAGGTGGCGAGGCCTTAGATGGAAGTCATGAATTGGGGCACATTGTGTTGTTATGTTCCCTCATTTGAGGAACAAAAACCAGGAAAGTTTAATGGATCTCTCCAAGTTCACAGAGCTGTTTATTAAAAAAGTCAAGACAGTGGCCGGGCACGGTGGCTCACGCCTGTAATCCCAGCACTTTGGGAGGCCGAGGCGGGCAGATCATGAGGTCAGGAGATTGAGACCATCCTGGCTAACATGGTGAAACCCCGTCTCTACTAAAAATACAAAAAAATTAGCCGGGTGTGGTGGCGGGCGCCTGTAGTCCCAGCTACTCAGGAGGCTGAGGCAGGAGAATGGCATGAACCCAGGAGGTGGAGCTTGCAGTGAGCCGAGATCATGCCAGTGAACTCTAGCCTGGGCGACAGAGGGAGACTCTGTCTCAAGACAAAGCCCACTGGGCTAAAGAAATGTATGCATTTAGGATAGTCAAATGAACAAAGGAATGACCATTCCAGTACCAGCATGAAAAGTCATTCCAAATCGAACACACGCAGCTTGCATTGACCAGCCACTTGGATGTGACACATACATTTCCTCAGAGCAAACAGTAAAGAATCGATTGTCCAGAGTAAAGACCCATACAGATGTGTCTGGCTTTATAGAATACACAGTGCTACTTTTCAGGTAGATTTGACCATATTTTAAATATATATGAACAACTTTGCTTTTAAAAATTCTTTGTAAAATAGGGACATTTTCTGAAAAATAGAATAAGCAACCTCAATTTATCCACTTTCCAATCTGAATTTTCCCACGTAATATTTGTTTCACCTGGGTCTTTTTAAATTCAATGAACTGAAAGAGTTAATGAAGCTCCAGCCTTCCTACACAGTAGCCAGGCAATCCACCATCCTCGAATATGCATTTTGAGTCATTATACCCAATGTATCCGGTTGGTGCGAAATAATTGCAGTTTTGCCATTACTTTTTACCGCAATTACTTTTGCACCAACCCAATACTTTCAAAACCAAAAGTTAAACTATTTGTATGTGTTGTCCATGATAGTTTCCTCTCTAGACTAAGAACAAAGTTTTGTAAAGTATCCTTCTGTGTATAAGTTGTTTTACCTTGCAGAAGTTGGACTGAGAGGGCAGGATCGCTTGTTTTCACAGAATTGGTTGAGGTTGAGCATTTGTCACAGGCCCCCTATGCAGGAGGCTCTGTTAATGCACAGCAGGCATTGAAAACTCAAATGCCCACAAGAGCCAGACAGCTGCTACAGATGAGCAAAGCAGCAGGTTAAGTGGGAGAAGCAACAGGAAGTGGTATGGGAGGTGGGGAAGGAGTAGTTAGTGCCCCATCTGAAGGGATGGGTGCTACTCAGCTCCGGTTCATGCAGAAACATAGGCCAGTTACCATGCAGAAACGTAGGCCAGGTTTTGACAGACTCGTCATTTTTTAAAAGAAAAAATGTATTTTAATGTAAAATCTTCCAAGTTGTTAATGTTGGCAACTAACTCAAATTTGTTTTGAAACGAGTGAAGGTCAAATTAAAAAGTCCCTTGACCCTCTGGTTACCAGTATGAGACTTCTAGATGCTACCATGACTACCCATCTGTTTTTGGTTTTGTTTTCTTTTAGGGACAAGGTTTCACTCTGTCACCCAGACTGGAGTACAGTGGAGGCATCATAGCTCACTGCAACCTCCAACTCCTGGGCTCCAGTCATCCTCCTGCCACAGTCTCCTTAGTAGCTAGGACTATAGCCATGTGCCAACATGCCTGGCTAATCGTTTTGTAGAGACAGTATCTTGCTATGTTGCCCAGGCTGATCTCAAACTCCAGGCCTCAAGCAATCCTCCTGTCTTGGCCTCCCAAAGTGGTAGGATTACAGATATGAGCCACTATGCCCCGTCCCACCCATCTTTTTGTAGAAATCATATGCATCCTTTATTTGCCTTAATCACATCCTTCTTAAAGCTATCCTCAACACTCTGACATAGTACATCTGTAAGGTCTGTACTGCACAGTTAATGCTTAACTCTCTCCTTTCTTTGTTTCTGATTATTTCATATGTACAGATTTTGTATTCAGACTTGATCATAAGCACTTCCAGAACAAGACTCATATCTAATACTTCTTTTATAGCTATCTCAAAGCTCAATAAATGTTTGCAGTTGGTATTTTTCTTAATAAAGGGAAAAGAAAATAGTCTTTGCTGACACACAAATACGTAGTTATACTAGGAATGAGTTTCGTGTCTCGAAGTTCCTGAATTTCTAGCCTAGGCAAGCTAACAAGTTAACATCTGTAGGCATCTTGCCTTGACGAGCTGAGAAGCACTGGCTTGCCATAAATGTTTAAGAAGAAAGCACTTGGCAAAATAGCTATGAGTTCATTTATGTCTTTTCTAGAATAAAAATATCATAGGCTATATTTAGTCCCATGGAGGTGATGTTGTTCCTTACAAGCCTTGACTGTGAATGAGAAATTTTCTGAGCCAATTCTTGTCTGCAGGAAACCTTCCATTGATTTAGGCATTAGAAGAATGATAGGTCCAGCTAAAGAATGTCAAGCTCCTGTTTTGCATTCACAAGTCAGAACTCTCTGGGCCTTCTTCTTACAGTGTTTTGGAGGAGTACAGCGTGAGCTGTAAGCAGCCTTAATCCAGAAACAGGTGTAATGGGAGGAGAAATGGAGCAAGCATTGAAGTTCAAGAAATGAGTGACCACTATCTTTGTCCCTATGTGGAAGTGAGGAGAGGTGACTAAGAAATGGCGAACACTGCAAGAAACTTTTTGCCTTGTACTGGCCTGTTAAAGTTATCTCTCTGTGGCCAACAGTAGGCCAAAAATCCAGAACAGCTGGGCATGTGTGCCAGGCTGCCCAAGGATGGTTCTGGGAGTGGTTTGAATTGTCCAGCACCATTTGTGAGTGAAGGAGAAGTATGGAAACAATGACCTCTACAGATCACTAAATCCAATGGGCTTGATATGATAGGGAATCAAGAGGCTGTGGTGAAGGGACCAGCTCTGGTATGAATTGATTGCCTGACCAAAGGAAAACATTGTATTTCTTCCCTTACCTGGAAATGCTAATAAAATATCCAGAAAGGCTTTTACTTTTTTTTTTTTTTTTTGAGATGGAGTTTTGCCCCTGTTGCCCAAACTGTAGTGCAATGGCGCAGTCTCGGCTCACTGCAACTTCTGCCTCCCGGGTTCAAGCAGTTCTCCTGCCTCAGCCTCCTGAGTAGCTGGGATGACAAGCAGGTGCCACCACGCCTGGCTAATTTTTGTATTTTTGGTAGAGACAGGTTTTCACCACGTTGGCCAGGCTGGTCTCGAACTCCTGACCTCAGGTGATCCCCCGACCTCTGCCACCCAAAATGCTGGGATTACAGGCGTGAGCCACTGTGCCCAGCCAGAAAGGCTTTTACTGAAGAAGCCCTGTCTTCATACTAGCCCTCACAAACGCTACACAGACGTGCCTCTCAGACATTTCTGTATGGTTCTCAGAGTTTCCCAAATTGTTTGGTAATCAGAAAAAGAAATAAATTGTCAAATAAACAGACAACAGCCTTGCATTAGGAAGCAGACTTTGGAATGCCAAAAAAAGAAACGGTAACCAAAATAGTTTGGTTACTAAAAATAGTGCCTTAACTTAGGCAAACAATACCAGGGTCAGAATAAACACTAATTAACATTGTTTAGAATACTTTATTGTAACTCTGACATTATTGTCACTTTCTATTTAATAATAGAATTTTCTTTTCTTTCTTTCTTTCTTTTTTTTTTTTTTTTTTCTGAATCTCACTCTGTCGCCCAGGCTGGCGTGCAGTGGTGTGAACACAGCTCATTGCAGACTTGACCTCCCGAGCTCAGGTGATCCTTCCACCTCAGCCTTCCTGGTAGCTGGGACTACAGGCATGCCACCCTGCTCAGCTAATTTTTGTATTTTTTGTGGAGACAGGGTTTTGCCATGTTGCCCAGGCTACTCTCAAACTCCTAGGCTCAAGTGATGTGCCCATGTCAGCCTCCCAAAGAGCTGAGATTACAGGCTTGAGGCATCATGCCCGGCCAGAATTTTCTTTCTTCTTTTTCTTTTTTTTTTTTGAGACCGTCTGGCTCTGTCGCCCAGGCTGGAGTGCAGTGGCGCGATCTCGGCTCACTGCAAGCTCCACCTCCTGGGTTCACGCCATTCTCCTGCCTCAGCCTCCCGAGTAGCTGGGACTACAGGTGTGCGCCACCACACTCGGCTAATTTTATGTATTTTTAGTAGAGACGGGGTTTCACCATGTTAGCCAGGATGGTCTCGATCTCCTGACCTCGTGATCTGCCCACCTTGGCCTCCCAAAGTGCTGGGATTACAGACGTGAGCCACTGCGCCCGGCCCATGAGCCACCGTGCCCGGCGGAGAATTTTCTTTTTAACTTGTCACATTGTTAGTCCAATTGCATTTTCTTCATCTGCAAATTTGTTCAAGTTGCTAATAAAAATGGTGGAGAAAATAAAATTGATGTATCTTTGGAATGGTGGTGTTTAATCTGTCTAAAAGTAATGCTAATTATAAAAATAGAGACATTTATATTTCTTTTCTTGATTGTTCCTTATTTTTCTCTCAACAGCCTTCATATCTGTTTTTTTCTTATGAAGCTTCTTCTGGTTGGAAACTTGTCAAATTTCATCAGGTAAGAAGTGCTAAAGTGAACCTGTAAACTTTGTTTCAAAAAACAAAAACCGAAGTTTAAGAAATCTAAAGATGGTGTCAGCCTTAGACAGATCTCTGGACTGTAATCTGGGAAAGGTCAAATAAGATCTCCAATCGTGTACAATTCCAAATACATTTGAGAGCAGTGGGTCTGAAAATGTGGTTCCCAGACCAGCAGCATCAACACCATGAAGGAAGTTGTTAAAAATGCAAATTCTCAGGCTCTCCCCTGTGCTTTAATAAAGTTTCCAGTTGACTCTGATGCACATACAGTTCTGAGAACCAGTTTTAGATAGGTTTCGTAGGCCAAAGGAATAGAAAATATCTCTCTGGGTCGATTGCATTTAATGGACTTAATGTTTCTTCCTTTCTTTTCTCCATTGCCTTTTCTTCCTTCAGATTCATCCATTCCTCATTTAACAAGCTTGCTTCATAAAATCATACATTATTCCAAACATACTATCTTTGTGACAACTTAAATTCTATCTAATATGGGACTCCGTCAAAACGATGTGTTTGGTAGAAATTGTCAACTAATGAAATGATTTATATCCCTTGTTAGCTTTGAGGAGGAAAATAGTCATGGAAGACACATCTATAAATGGGTGTCCAGCTACTAAGATGGCTGCCTTTTATAATTAACATAATTAACATCCACAGCATGGCTGGGCATGGTGGCTCATGACTAACCCCAGCACTTTGGGAGGCTGAGGCAAGAGGATTGCTTGAGGCCAAGAGTTTGGGACTAGCCTGAACAACATCGTGAGACTTCATCTCTATAAAAAACAGAAAATAAAAATTAGCCAGGCCTGGTGGCACACACCTGTAGTCCCAGCTACTTGGGATGCTGAGGCAGGAGGATCACTTGAGCTGAGGAGTTCGATGCTGCAGTGTGCCTCTGAAGCCATTGGCAAAGGATTGTGTCGTCCTTTATGAAGGATTTATGTTGTCACACAAAATGTGATTCTGTCCTCTTGTAGTGTTTAGGGTATGCTGGAGTTCTCCACACTATCCAGTATCACCAATTCTGAAAAACAGCCTGGATAGCTACCCAGCAGAAATTTCATCTCTGATCTGGTGTAACCCTGGGAATCCCTGTTAATTAATTATCTGCTAAACTTAAAAAGAATACATATAAAGATACTGTCGTTCTTAAATGATTGGTAAATGTGGCTCCCAAGAGTACCTTTGCTGAAGATGATGCCTCATTTGCAAAGATATGCATGATTTCTTCTCCAAATCATACATATTTCTTGACGAGTAGGTATCAGAGTCTCTTAGACTCAATTTCCTCATTTATATAATGAAGATACTAATAGACTGTACTAGTGAGGATTGCTCTAAAAAAATAATGCAGATAATCCAGGAGTACTTAGCAAATACCTGGCTTAATAAATATTAGCCATGATTAAAGATTTTATTAATAGACTTATAAATTCAAAAAGGTTACATCAAACTTTGTCTCATTAAAAACAAGCAGACAGGGGAGATATCAAGTGTCTCTCCTTTGCATGGCTCACCTACCTGTAAGTTTTCTCATCCCCACTAGACCAGCAGCAACACCACTACTATGTTTTATCTTCTATGAAGGTTTGTTATTATGTCACCTCCCTGTTCTCTGCTCTTCTAGTTCCTTGGCCACTGCTGGCACTCCAGCATAAGGCCAGATAGCATTAGGGACGTGATAAAATATGGAAAAGCATCATTCATAGCCTATCCATAGTGCTAGGAGAGTAAAGAATAGTGCCTGCTATTAGCTCCTCTAATGTTCACCAGCCCTTGGAGCAAAATTTGAAAAGCCAGCTGGGTGACCCCAGTGCAGAAGATCAAAGGACCAGAAGAGGATCTTGAAAGATGATTTATTTCCCTTACCTCTATTCAATGTACAAAGCAAAACACGTCATCAGTTGGCAAATATTTCAGGAGAAGGAACTTTCCCTAATCTTTCACATAAATGCTAATATGAATGAATAACAGTTATATATGATTAGAAAATCTCATTTTAGCATAAGTTGAAATATTTCATAGCATATGCTGGAAAGGTACAGTTGCATCTATGACATATTGCCCTGTAGATGGCTTTGGTGAGAGAAGGGAGACAGAGAGAAAGGGGATTCTTAGAGGAGAGGTATGTAAAACATTAGGATTAAACAAGTGTCCAATAAACAAGAGATTTCTGAGTTTGAATTAGTGATGTAGAAAAATGAGAGACATCTGGAATCTATACTTCTTTTGCAGTCAGAAACACAGTTTTGAGTTCCTTTGTTGAATCATTTACTTTATAAAGACTTATTAAAAACGAATGCCTAAGATGGTTGAAAAGGGAGCAAAATTGAATTCGGAAGGCCAAATCCTTTAAGGGAATCATTTCAAAGAGCTTTTACTTTCCATCAACTAAGCTTAATGTTGTCTCCTCAAACTAGTCCTTTTGTTCTATTTCAATACATATGTGAAGAGTCAGAGGCTTATAGACTCACTTGAAATTTAACAGTAAATTTTTGGAGACAGAGAGAAGACTAATTTTCTTCACATTCTTAGGTTTTATCATATGATGCTTTCATAGACAACACTTTCCTCACCCTACCCCCACACACAAAAATCATCTGAGAGAAGGGGATCTATCTAGACATTGGTTCTTCAGACACAGCTGAGATATAGAAATGAGGTTGTTTTCTTTGTTGATTTTGGGGAAGACTCAGCTGCCCTTGATAGTCCTGTGACAGGCTTCTAGCCAAGATAGACTATGGAGGATAAAGGGGGGTTATGCATCACTTAAACCCCACTTTGTCCTCAGTCAGTGCTTTCAAATGCCCTTGCTGGGTCCCATAACTAGCCACTTACTGGAAGGAAAGCAGGGGTTATAGGCCAATAAGGTGACCTGGCGTTGGAATTCTGAGGAGACCACTGACATTTCAATGCCCCACTGGCCCTGTTATCACCTCTTATGCCAATGAGAGACAAAGGAGCAGGAGAGAGAGAGGGGAGGAAAGAAGGGTGAAAAGGGACAGAGGAAATGTCTTAAGGTGAAACAGATATTCCAGGAATACACTCCTCCCTCATCCATTTGCTACTTTCCTTCAGTACTTTACAAGAAAGTAAATATTGTGAGGAGCCAGATCCCAGGGAAGGCACAGAAAGGAATCCTACATTAGGCTGAAGCAGTATTTTTGGTGCTCTGCTGGCATACTGAATTCTTAGGATGCTACTGTGGAGCCAACATCACGCTGGTCGTTTGTATTCAAGTTATGGTGATGAAGACAGTCCCCGTGTCTCAAATCTCTATGTCCAAGTTATTAAATTCAGGAGACTGGACGCTTACCTTAAATGAAGCAAGGTAGGAGGCAGATGACTACTTACCAAGACCATCATTTGCATAAAGGAGTCAAAGAATCACCGTGTATCAGTCAGACCACAGGCTGGTTGTCTCTCTAACCAAGTAACCTGATGCTATTAATACAATGACAACTAGGGATATTTAGGGAAAGAAACGAGACAAGATTGCTTTCTAGGAGGCATTTCCAGAATCCCATAATAATTAGTTATTACTAAATTCATCACCCTCTTCAACCTATTTTTTTATTTTCTATGAAGCATCTCTTGGGTAACAGTTTTCATAGAATTGCTAGCCACAGGGTGACTTCATGCTTCCTTTTATTTGTGCTAAAGCCACCTTTGATTAACCCTTGGGAAGGTCTTCCTGTGCTTGCCCTGCCAGCCCTGCCCAGCCCTTATGGTTTTGTAAACATCAATCCTCTCTGACCTTAGCCACCACCTTTTCAGAGTGAAGGGTGCAATAGGCTCTCCCTCTCATTGCTCAACCTTTCTAGTCTCTTCTGGTTGTGCCCTGGAATTTACTGGACCATGGTTTTCCAAGCATAGATCAGGGCACATGCAAAAATAGACTCTATCCACAGAGCCTTTAAAGCTACCCTGATAAGAAGTCTTCTTTTTTGAGATTTATATTCATTTTGAATTATTAAAATACAAGTGTCCATCATGAGACAAATGGATAAAGAAAATGTGGTATGTATGCACAACGGAGTACTACTGAGCCATAAAAGAGAATGAGATCCTGTTATTTGCAACAACATGGACAGAACCTGAGGACATTATGTTACATAAAACAAGCCAGGCACAGGAAGACAAACTTCACATGTCCTCACTCATTTATGGGAGCTAAAAATTAAAACAATTGAACTCATGGGTATAGAGAGTAGAATGATGGTTACCAGAGGTTGGGAAGGGTAGTGGGTGGGGTGGGGGAAGTGGGAATGGTTAATGGGTACAAAAATATAGTTAGATAGAATGAATAAGAGCTAATATTTGATAGTACAACAGGGCGATTCTGATCAACAGTGATTTATTGTATACTTTAAAATAACTAAAAGAATATAATTGGATGGTTTGTAACACAAAGAAAGTATAAATGCTTGAGGTGATGAATGCCCCATTTACCCTGGTGTGATTACTACACATTGCATGCCTGTATCAAAATATCTTATGTGCCCTATAAATATATACACATAGTATGTACCCATAAAAATTAAAAATAAAATAAATTTTTAAAAGGATAATAAAGAAATACAAAGTAAATGTGTTGCTCTCATGTAAGAGCAGTTTGGCCTTTTTTATCACAGCATGGAGCCTATTGAAAGACCACTTTTATGCCTAGAGAGATGATGCCCCACCAGTCACTCAAAATGGCTACTAGGAACATTATCAATCCTCTTTCATTGCTGAGAATGGCTTAAATTTGAATTTTAAGATTCAATTTGTTATTTAATTTTAAAATATGGCTTACATTTTAACTTTAAGATCCAGAGGCAGTCTGAATTAAAAACTGGGGAGAAAGGAATTAAGGCAGATAAGTAATTCCAACTTATCTATCGACATGAAATAACCTTTACAAAGATGGGCTGTGAATATAAAGAGAGCCTTGTCTGTGCTCCCTGAACATCAGGACTTTGGATCTTGCATCAGCGGAGGGGGCCACCTGGCTCTGACTTTCTCCTGCAGATGCAGATGCTCCTTGGTTGAGCTAAGTGGAAATTCCCTTCTGGAGTCTCCCTAGGTAAGGGCCGTTAGAAAGTGTCAGAGGAGTGTGTGTGACTGTTTTCTGTTTTCGTGAGATATTGTAGAACTTTAAGTCTGCTGGTCATAAATGTTTTCTTTTTGAAATCCTTAGAGATTTTTTTTCTTCTTCGTCACAATGGCAGGAATACAGAGATTTCGCATGATTTCTTAATGGGATTCAGCTGCCTACGCTGCAGTGCTTTCAGCTGTATTTGAGAATGCACTGTGTTTCTGCCTTGTTTTACGTTTGCAGATGGCTGGAACTCTCCGTGTCTCCTTTTCTTTCTGTCATGGCTGGCAAGAGCTCATGGGCCATGAGCTGCATCTTTATAAACATGAACAGATTAGCAGGTATTCCCAAATGGGACAAATGCTACCTTATTGCAGACAGTTTCTAGTATAGTCCCACATTCTTTGAGAAAGTAGGTGGAGACCCCATCAGCACCAGGCCACTGGCAGCAAATGGTTGTAGCCAGGAGCCAGAATAGAGCAAGTCCAGCCTGAGCCTGTGGTCGGCAGTGGAGAAGAGAGGGTCGCAGACCTGAGGCAAAGGGCAGCCTGAACAATCAAGAACCAGAGCAGCCCTGGCACCCGACACCCAGGAGAGTGGGCTACAGGAAGAGGATCTGAGACCAGAGCCCACAGAGTCTGCAGAAACTAGAGGCACAAGGCACGAGGAATCACAAAGCAAACTTAAGTGCCGACATCAAAGAAGGCATTCTCACCCTGTTTCCTGCTTCTGGGTTTCTCCACATTCCTATAGCCTTACAGACAGTAAGCCCAGTGTGGTGGGAACAGGGAATTGAAGTGGAAAGCACAGGCCAGGGGATCTGATGGGTCTCTTAGATCCCCTGGGAGGGCATGACAACATAGAGAAAGAAGAGTCCTTTAAAAGCATTCAACATAACGTAGTTTGCCCAGGCAGTTCACGCTGACTGAAACCTCCTCTGTCTTCTGAACTCGGGCATGCCTATCTCATCTCTTCTTTTGAAGCAGAATGCTTTAAATTTTTATTTTTATCCTGTGAACTTCAATATGCGACCTCCTTCTGTGACAGAGCTTCTCTTTTGGTCCCCCATGAGTGGATATCACCTTGTACTCCCCTGCACCCCTAAGCTCACGTTCTTCATCTTCTCTTTGACCCTCAGCATGTTATCCCTTGACCCATTCTTCAGTTTTCATGTCTATCATCTGCAAAATCTTTTCTGCCTCATAGTACTTAGGAGATCAGACATACGCACGCTGGAGACAGGAACCTCCCAATATCAAATTAGCCACTTGGGCCATCTTGTCTGGCACGTTGCATAAATGTTGTATGGAAGACAGGTCCTCCTCCCAATTTCGTTTTTCACTGGCCACATGATGTTAGACAAGTCTCTTTCTCTCTTTGAGCCTCTCCTGTCTGATCCAATGGGTTGTAAGAATCAGATGAAATAACAGAGGGGAGAGGATTACACATTTTAAAGCACTATGCAAATGTAAGGTGTTGTTATAATAAAATATGGATCATGGCTTATGTTGGGGTGGGGCTAAGCCTCCTTTAGTCATTCTTTCAGCTTGTTTGTGTAACCTCTGGTGAAATTTTAATAACTGTTGCAAGGCATAGGTTTCAGCACGTTCTTTGTTTCTTCTGTTGGTATTTGCAAGGCAGTCACATCTGCCATGAGCTAGTCCTTCTCAGAAGGGAGTGGGTGGGAAAACATGTAGCTAAAAAGGGCTTAGGAGCCCTGAGACATCTTAAATAGGAGTCATTTAACTACTCCAATGGAAAAAAAAAAAGAACAGCAAAAATATCACCAAACTCATGGCACAGTCAGTAGCTCAGCACTATGGTTCTTACCATTTGAAATTTCCATTCAACCGTGTTTCATCTCCAGCCACTATCATCATCATGATCATCAAATTTAGCTGAATTACTAGTTCAGTTAAGACTCAATGTATAGTGTTGTGTATCAGATATGTGCCAAGCCCTATGCTAAGTATACAGCCTTGAGTAATTCACAGATTCTTCCATACGAAACTCGCGTACAAATAAACACACACATAAAAATAAACAACGTCAATTTGATAATTGCTATAGATCTGGATAATTGGTACATTTAAAGTACTATGACAGTACCTAGGATGGAGTAACTAACTCTGCATGGAAAGTAGGAGAGGAGGTAACATGTGACCTGGCCCTTCAAGGATGAACAGAAGTTGGTCAGAAAGTGAGTATAGAGCTATACTCACTGTGTATATAGGCTTTGGGGCCAGCCACCTAGTTCAAATCCTAGCTCTGCCATTTCTTTTCTCTTTTTTTTGTACTTTAAGTTCTGGGATACATGTGCAGAACGTGCAGTTTTGTTACATAGGTATACACGTGCCTTTGCTATTTCTTAACTACATAACTTGGCTAGTTCCTTGATCTTTCGTTGCCTCAATTTGTTCATCTCTACAACAGGCATTATACCAATAGGGCCTACTCACAGGTTATCATGAGCAGAAATGAGTTCAGGCACGTAAAACACTCCTAATAGCTCCTGTCCTATGGTTAATCACTCAATAAGCAGAAGCCATCGTTGCTGTTATTATTGTTCTTTGCCAAGTCAACAAGCAGGAAGGAAATTCCTGGAACTTTTAGAGACCTGGTCTCTGAATTTAAGAGACTGATAATAGCATCATTATCATTATGAATAACAGGAAAGCTACCGTTGATGCCAGGCACTAGATTCTTGACATATGTGATTTCACTTGGTTATCATAGTAATCCTGAGTGTCAAAAAACTTCCACTGAAATATAAATAATGCCACAAAGAATATAAAGTAAGTGAAAAATAAGTGGCACAAAGTGGCCACTGGAAGAAATAGAATTACATAAGAAGAAATATTTACCATCTAAGTAATGAGGCAAAAGTCAAAAGGATTCCAAAGTGGTGGGTTTAAACCAAAAGAGGTCGGAGGCATTTTTGTTTGTGTATTTTCATTTTTGTTTCTGTGCATGTTCATTGCCTCTAAGCAGAGCATGCCCTTGCTTATTCGCTCTGGTTCTCACCACTCGTGTGATACCCAGCCCTGAAAACACTTGAGTATTGAAGTTTGTGACATGCAGACAAGGATCTAGAACTTGAGTTTTGCAAATGCTTGCATTTGTTGAATGATGTTTTTTGTGCCAGGCACTATGCTGTGTACTTTCAGACACATGATCTGTGTAACATCCTGAATAAGATATTATGATCCCCAATTTATAGACGAGGAAACTGAGGCTGGAAGAGGGCAAGACTAGAAAGAAAAACAAGATCAGAGGCACCAAAGCAGGGAGGTACATATCATGTTCTGCAATCCATTTGACCAGAGAAGAGGACCCATGCATGGGGAATAGTACGAGTTTGGGTGGAAGAAGTTAAATGACCTTGAAGGCCAGGCTTAGGAATATGAATGTGGCTATGGGAAGGTAATAAATGATAGGTTTCCTTTTCTTCTTTACAGCTTTATGAAAACCCAACCACAGCAAACATACAGGCTGGCACAAGGTTTGCTCTAAAGAGGAAGAGATCTAGGTGGGGCTGAAGATGTATCACTTCCCTTTGGAGAGTGCCCTGCCACAGGCAGGGACAATCTTTCATCTCTCATAGAGGAAAACATAAGGGAGGAGGCGCCTTCCAGTAAATATCCTCAGTTGAGTTTTCATATTATATATAATATATTCAAGGAGACAACCACCCAATTTCCCTCCCTGGATTCCAAGCCTTGAGATATAACTAATATTTAAGTTTTGCATTGCAGAGTGCCCTGATAATAAAGAACAAATTCCTTAACCTTTGATCCTAAGATGGTTTTTATAATATTGCTCCTGTTTACCTCTCTATCCTCACCTCACTTTACTCCCACAGTATACCCCAGCTGTGCTGATCCCATGGCTGTTCCTGAAAGCAACAAATTTTCTCCAAGAAAATTTATCAAATCACTTGACACCCCCTCATATCCATAATGCCTTGCACTTACTTCTAGGATATAACTTCTCACCAATAATGTGTTTATTTGTTTACTTTAGATGATAGCTCCATGAAGGTAGGGATTCTGTCTTGTTCTTTGTTGAATACCCTGCATTTAACACATCCCAGCACATAGTCAATGCTTAAGAACAATTTGTCAAATGAATGAGTAAATGATTTGGTGAGAGAAGAGGTGCTATGATTCTCTGGTCCTTACTCATTGTTGAATCCTGCTTTTCAACTTGCCAGTGTATTCCTCCTCTCTCACTGTTCACCTGACCCTAGACCCCTCTCCCTTTGCAACTTGATCATTGATTTCCAGGTCCTCTTCAAATCTGACATATTCTCTGCCCCATTTACAATCTGACACATGTACACACTCACCACCACTAAAAGCAACAATAAAACTGTCTCTTCTCTCCTTCTGGGGCTCATCCTTTACCAAAAACCACTGTTATCTGCCAGAGCTCCACTGTTACCCATGAAACGTTCTGGGGACTCACATATCCCCCATTTCCCTCTCAAACCCAACAATGATGTTTGAATGGACTAGACTGGAGAAAGAGACAGGGAGGAAAGCCCTAACAGCATCCTGATTTTGTAGCATTGTTGTTAGAAGTTTCTGAAGTAAAAGGGAAGTTGTGTGCACCGTGTGTGTGTGTGTGTGTGTGTATGTTTGTGATCTGTCAACCCATAGGTGGGGATTATCTGGCTACCTCTCGTGGAATGAACAACCTGGGAGGAATGTGGACACCTGCCCTGCTCATTGGAAATGGACAGGCTCTGGATGGGCAGTCCCAGCTATAGGGGCACAGGAGGAATTCTGCCCAGCAGGCTCAACCTGGAAGTCCAGTATCAGCAATAATAATTTAGTAGCAGAATTGCAAACACCTATGAGCACTCCCTATGTCACTGTGCTAAGTGCTTTACATAGATTATCTCAATTATTTCTTATATTAACCCTATAGGGTAGGAGCTCTTATTATTCCTATTTTACAACTAAGGAAAATGAGGCACAGAGAAGTTAAATAGTTTGCACAAGATCACACATTAAGTGATGGAGCCAGAATTTGAACCCAAGAACTGCAACATCAGAATCCTACCCAATATAGAATGGTTGAAAATAGGTACCCTTTGATTTTTGAGAGTTAGAATGTGGAAGCATCGTAAAAAAGCAACACAATGTTTTCTGTAATATAACCCTCACAGACTGAGGAAAATGAAAGAATCAGGGGGTCTTCAGGACTATATAATGGGTAAAGAGGAAAGATAGTTAAAAGTATTTCTCAACGTGTTGCACTTCCAGCAATTTATCAATTTGTAAATGTATTTCATTACAAATATAGGGAGAATGAGGGAGCACAGCACTGTCATGCACTGTACTGGATCTGTAACTGTTCCTGGGAATTGTGCAGTGCACAGCCTGCTCATCTTTACATGGTAGCCCAAAAATGCAGGCTTCTTTATATCCCTAAATTAATATAGGAACCAAACGAAGACCTATTACTAGAGCTTGAGCTAGTGTGGCCTTCAAAAATTAAATAAAACAGAAAAGATGTGGAAATGATAGACTGGCTGCCACAGTACCATAGAAAGCAGATATATAAACCAATGTGGCCCCAGAGTCTTTCTGCAGCCTCCTCTGCCACCATGCCTTTCCATTCAACTACACTAATATCATGTAACCTGCCCCCATTCCCCTAACATGCATCCGCCCACACTTCCCACACTGTACAAATGCTTCTCTCTCATCCTCAGTCTCTCCCCCATCTTTCTTTATCTACTACCTCCTCTCCTTCAGGACCTAGACATTCATCCATGGCTCATTCATACATTCATTCAACAAACATTTCTGGAGCGCTTGAGGTAGATTCAGAAGTGACCAAGATGAGTAAGGCAATTCCCCACTCTCAAGTTTCTAACAATCTAAAGGGAAAATTAAACAAAGTGAGTCATCTCCAAGAAGTTTTATAATCATTCTCCTCTTTCTTCCCAAGCTAGAAGAAATTCTTATCTTTTGGAGGCATTTACAGTGCATATCCTTATCAGTCAAGTACCAATTCAAAAGACTTAAAGCAAAACAAACACATGGTGGAGAAACATAGAAAATATTTTGAAAGCTATAAATCACTAAGTTTATATGTCTTTATCTATCCTTGGTTCATTTTGTGAAGAGGCAATAAAATGCTAAGTTAAAGCTCAGTTGATTTTCTCCAGATACTTGCCGAATTCTTGGCATCACATTCTACCATGTTTCCAGGATTCAGAGTGTCTAAGCAGTGCTAGTGAAAAGTTCAGTTGAGCAAAAGAACTTTATGTTTCATTCTAACCTGGAAATGCTTTCCCTACCCGCATTAAATGTATGAAGCTTGAATCAGACAGCTATACATAGAGTGAAAGTAGTGTCATCCCCAAAGAGTAGCAAATCCTCATAAGGGAACCACAGTAGGTGAAAGACTTTGAAAAAAAATCCTCTGTTGTGAATATTAAATCCCAGCTCTTCCATTTTGAGACAAAAAGGGCTTATCTTTTATCTTAGTAGACTGTAGGCTCCTTTAGAATAGGACCTGTCTTATTTATTTCTCTAGCCCAAGCTTCTAGCATAGGGCTCAATAAGTATTTGTGACTACGTCATACATACTGACTAAAGTGGAAGCCTATGCTATTTTCTAATAGCTTGTCATACTCCCTAGTGTTCTACAGAAAGAGTCACTAGAGTTTGTTTCCATTTGGTTTGTTTATGTGGGGAAGGGCAGAAGGAGAATTATTTTGCTTTGTTTTTGAGATGTGTCCTAATCCAGTAGAGATCAGGATGAGAGCAATGACCTTGTCCGTCAGGATAGTCCGTCGTCCCACTTAATGAGGGAAGACATTGGATGATATTATCTTCCTTGTGATCATCACTCAAGAAAATAATTGTGGACTCAGCTTTAGTCCACATTACTTTGGAGTTTTGCTGTATTTTCACCTCAAGTATTGTAACCACACCATTTTGTGGCTCCAGACCCACCATGGCTTCCAAAGGCTATGCAGAATCATTAGGAAGCTACAAGCCTTCCCACTAGCCCACACTGCTGCTGCAGTATGCACTTATCTGGATCACCCATGAGATCAACTTGCAAACAGGAACTGGCTTATGAAGCCATGCTTGCTCTGAGAAACATAATGGTCATCTCACTGCCAGTGGAATGTAATATTTGATGTCATGACACCCTTCCTGTCCAACTTGGCATTGGCAGTTGGTTTGACTTGGTGGTGAGAAATACAACAAAACGATGAGAAATTTTCCTTCTGGAGCACTTCTTAAGGGAGCTTGGTTGCTTTATTGGAAATTCGTACTTCTTAGCTTTCATGAAATGTCCCTTTGGTACATTAGTGAGAAGGTTCAAGGCAAAATAAACACATTTCATCTTGACCATATTTGGAACTCACAATATAAAGGAGTCAAAAGGTAAGCTGATGAAATAAGAATATTTTATCCTTTTATTCCACACATAGTTTTTACTTTCTCGCCTTTCCTGCAATAACTGCCTCAACATGGTGGCACTCATATGCGTTTTCAAAAGATTTTCATTTTATTATGTATTGAATTATATAAAGTAGTGTCAGTAAATCCATTAGAAATTCTCATTCCCAACTCTTAGAATTCATCTACAAAGAGTCAGAAAGAAACCAAGACATTAAGGAGAAGCCAGTGGCTGCAGCTGCAGGGTCTTTATTATGTTTATTTGTGTCATAATTCTCTTTATTTGCCGAACTAAAATGGTTTAAAGTTGCAGTGCACCAGGTAAGGCCTCCCTTACTGTCTTCAGGTGTTTGTTTAGAATAGGTTTGTTTGTTTGTTTGTTTAGGAATAGCTGCTGTAATGCTTTGAATTCCCTTGCCAGGACACAAAGTCATAGAAAATAGCGAAGATCCTTGCTGTTTACTTGGGGAGACATTATCTACATGCACGAAACAATTTAATTCTTAAGATTTATTTAAAACGTGTGAAATGTAGTTGCAATAATAATAATAGATGATATTTACAGAGCACTTACTATGTACCTGGAGCTCTTCCATGTGTTTTCATATATTAACACATATATTAAACTTCACAACAATCTTACCAAGTAGCCACTCTTACAATCCATTTTACACATGGTGAATCTGAGCCACAGAAAGGTTAACTAACCAGCAGCTCCTAAGTAGCAGAGCTAGGATTTGACTCCAGGTGGTCTGGCTCCAGGGCCCAGGCTCTTTGGCTACCATGTGTATACACTTTCTGAAGAATTACAATGGTGCAGCCCGAAGTCACTCAGGAAAGCTGTTAGTGGACAACTTGGTTCTGGTGCAGAACCTTAATGATGGCCTAAGGTTTGAGCTGTGAAGAGGATGGAATTGGAGGTTTTAGGAAGCAAGAATAGCAGAAAGAGAAGCTGGGGTTTAGAAATGAATAAGGCATGATAGGAGGAATAGCCATCTTATAAAATGGTGTGAGAAAACTTTTATATAGAGCCTTGAGCACCAGGTTTAAAGTTTGAAACAGAAATCCATAGGCAGGTATACAAGCAAGGAATTCATTCATTAGTGCATTCATATACTTATAACACTAGAAGGACCTTAGAGAGCATCAATGTCAACTCCTCCTTTTATATTTGTAGAATCTAAAGATCTAGAGGGTTGAAATGACTCCCAGTGTCACTCACCTAGTGGCAGCATTAGAATACAGCATAACTCTTCTGATTCATCATTTAAGCTTTAAGCCTATTTCCAATGTTCCAGGACACTCTGAAAGATTCTCCTGGCAGAGGCATTTGGTTGAGCCTGGAAGGGAGAGACAAGAGGCAAGGTGACCTGTGAGGCATTATTGCAAAATCCAAGTGAAGTACAAGAGGTACACTGGGCTCAGTGAAAACAGTAGAATTTTCCAGAGAGGATTGAGAAAACATGATAGGATATCAATAATAAAGGAGCTAAGTTGCCTCCAAGCTGGCATAGCTTTGGCAGAAATAGGGAAATTGGGCAATGGTACCACTTGGGCATAGACAGCATCAGTTCAGGTTTGGTACCTGTGAGAGGGAGTTGGCTTTATTATAATTACTTCTGTATGGAACCTTGTGTAACATGATGATCACATTCCAAGGCCCTTTGCAATTTTTCCATTAATCAGTTGCCACCATCATCAGCATGTGAGCAAGTCCTTGTCAACCCTGAGATGAAATTTAACTCAGTTTTGCTTTAATATCCATTAGGCTCCATCCTGGCCTTTCCTTTTCTTAGTTTCTTTCGCTGCCAATCAGCTTCATACGTGTCCACTTTCCTCAGAGTCTGTAAATTATAGTGGTAAAGGGTATAAGCTCTGAAGGCAAATGGCCTAAATTTGAATTCTGGTTCTACAACGCTTCTGTGACTTGGGCAAATTTAATTCTTTTTAGAATTAATTCTTTGTGGCTCAGTTTCCTCATTCATAAAAAGATATTGTGATCAGTGCTTATCTTCTAGCAAGAATGTGAATATTAAATGAGTTAATACACATAAAGCCCTTGGAATGGTCCTTGCACGTAGTGAACACTCAATACACAGTAGCTGTCATTGTTGCCATCCTATCATTCCCCTTTGCTGCATTATAGTTTCAGGGCGTTCTGTCTCTAGGACAGCCTGGCAAGATGGAGTTCTTCCTTTCCACCAGGCACGCTGTTCCTGTGACTGCTATTTTAACATTAGCATGTTATTTTCGCCCCTAGAAGCTCCTCCTGTTTCTCCAGCAAAGCTATCCTAGGCCCCCAGTTCCTCACCACATCTGAGTCTCTCCCCAGTAAACCATCTTTCACCTTCATACATATACACATACGACTTAAATTTGTCCCAGCGGAGGGAGGGAGTGACCCCTTTCTCCTTTTTTATGCAATCTCACAACCTGAAATTGTGATGAGGCTACAATTTAAGTGTTTACCCAATTTAAGTGTTTACAATTTAACTGTTTACCCAAGAAATATCAGATTTAGCAGATTATAAATTGTCTGCTTCTGAAGCAAGACCAAGAAGGGATTAAAAGCAAAGACCTGAGAGGCAGCTGAACCTAGGTTCAAATCCAGGTTTCACATTTATGAGCTATGTGACTTTAGATCGAATAACAACTGAGTCTTGGTTTCCTCATCTATAAGATAGGAATACCTATCTTGCATGTTGTAAGGATTAAAGGTTATAAACTTTATAAAGTAGGTAATTTTTAACCCCTTGCCCGATTCCCACCCTCTCACCTTTCATAGTCTCCAATGTCTATTATTTCACTCTGTATGGTCATGTATACCTATTATTTACCTCCCACTTGTGAGTGAGAATATGCAATATTTGACTTTCTGTTTCTGAGTCATTTCACTTAGGATAATGGCTTCTAGTTCCATCCATGTTGCTGCAAAAGACATTATTTTATTCTTTTTATGGCTGAATAGTATGCCATGGCATGTGTGTGTGTGTGTGTATATATATATATATATATATAACATTTTCTTTATCAAACCTTTGTTGATGGGTACTTGGATTGATTCCATGATTTTGCTATTGTGAATAATACTGCAGTAAATATACAATGCAGGTGTCTTTTTGATATAATAATTTCTTTCCTTTTGGGTATACACCCAGTCATGGGATTGCTGGTTTAAACGATAGGTCTGTTCTAAGTTTTTGAGAAATCTCCATACTGTTTTCTACAAAGGTTGTACTAATTTACATTCCCACCAACGATGTATAATCTTTCCCTTTTCTCCACAACCTCACCAACTTCTGTTGCTTTTAGACTTTTTAACAATAATCATTCTGACTGGTATAAGATGATACCTCATTGTGGTTTCAATTTGCACGTCTCTGGTGATTAGTGATGTTGAACATTTTTTCATATGTTTGTTGGCCACATCTATGACTTCTTTTGAAAAATGCCTGTTGATATCCTTTGCCCACTTTTTAAAGGGGTTGTTTTTCTTCTTGAGCTGTTGGAATTCCTTACGGATTCTGGGTACTAGCCCTTTGTTGGATCCATAGTTTGCAAATATTTTTCCCATACTGTAGTCCGTCTACTCTCTTGATTGTTTCTTTTTGCTGTGCAGAAGCCTTTTAATTTAATTAACTCTCATTTGTCTATTTTTGTTTTTGTTGCATTTGCTTTTGAGGACTTGCTAAAAAATTATTTGCCTTGGGCAATGTCTAGAAGAATATTTCCTGGGTTTTCTTCTAGGATTTTTATGGCTTCATGTCTTATGTTCAGGTCTTTACTTTATCTTATTATTATTATTAATCATTATTTTGGACATGGCATCTTGCTCTGTTACCCAGGCTGGAGTGCAGTGGCATGAGCATGGCTCACTGCAGCCTCAACCTCCTGGACTCAAGCAATCCTCCCGCCTCCATCTCCTAAGTAGCTGGGACCACAGGCATGCACCACCACACTCAGCTAATTTTTTAAAAAAAGTTTTTTAGAGACAGAGTCTCGCCATGTTGCCATGTTGCCTAGGCTGGTCTTAAACTCCTGGGCTCAAGCAAACCTCCTGCCTTGGCCTCTCAAAGTGCTGGGGTTATGGCCATGAGCCATCACTCCTGGCCCAAGTTCATCTTTTTCTATGGTGAGAGGTATGGGTCCAGTTTTATTCTTCTGCATGTGGCTATGCAATTTTTCCAGCAACATTTGTTGAATAGGGTGTCATTTTCCCAGTATATATTTTTGATGACTTTGCCAAAGATCAGTTGGTTGTTAGGTATGTGGCTTTATTTCTGGGTTCCCTATTCTGTTCCATTGATCTATGTGTCTATTTTTATACCTGCAGCTAAATTTTAGTAGTAGATTGAGGTGGCTTCTCTGAAAATACAGATGAGGTAGCAGTGACACCTCTGAGTGTCACCTCCTCTTAGATGGAGTTTAGCTTTATTGAGGGCAGACCTTAAACACTCTTTATGCCAAGTTTTATTAGCTTGGGTTAATTGTATGGCCGCGGTGGCTGGTGCGAAATTGACCAACCCTAAATATTAGTATAGCTTAGTTAAACTTTCGTTTATTATTAAAGATTTATCACTGCTGTTTCCCGTGGGGGTGTGGTTGAGTAAGGTGTTTTGAGCTGCATTTGTGTGTGCTTGATATCTGCTGCTTTTGATCTGGGTGATCTAGAGGGCATTTTCACTGGGATGGAGATGCTTGCATGTGTAATCTTACTAAGAGCTGATAAAAAGGCCAGGACCAAACCTATCTGTTTATGGGGTTGTGCAGACCCATCTAGACATTTTCAGTGTTTTGCTTTGAATAGTTAAGCTGCATTAACTGTAAAAATGCTTAAGTATAAAATTAAAATATGAAGAAGAAACAAGTGGTCCCTGTCCATGAAAGTAACCTTGAGGGTCCTTCCTACTGACGTTAGCGGCAATGACGTTCTTATCACTGTTCTGTGCATTCAATAGAACAAGAAAAAGTTTAGGGTTACAGCACGATGGAAATGAACTCCCCTGACCCCTGAGAGTCAAGTGCTGTTTGGATTAGGATTTTAGCTATTTTTCCCCCATATTTTCTTTCGTTTTCATTATGTTCTCTAGCATTACTATAGTCTGTATTACTGTGCTATTTCATATTCTCTCTTGTAATTTTTTTCACTGTTGAAAGTAATAAATATTTATTGCAAACTTTAAGTAATATAGACATTTAAAATGAAAACTTACTTTTCTCCTAATACAAAAAAGCATTTCCCCCCCTCCCAAACCTGCAAATGACTCAATGTATATGCTGGGAGTTTTTTTGTTGTTCTGTTTTCTGTTAATCTTTGTTTTTTGGTTTTTTTAATTTTATTATTATTATACTTTAAGTTTTAGGGTACATGTGCACCATGTGCAGGTTTGTTACATATGTATACATGTGCCATCTTGGTGTGCTGCACCCATTAACTTGTTAAAAGATTAATTTTTATTACATCCTAACAAAACTAGCAGAGAGAGAAGTTTAAAAGAAAAATAGGTGTTCTGCAGGTCTCTACTTGATTATGTAGGAAAATTATAAATTATAAATACAAGGAGCAGAAATACCCTCCCCTGCTGAAATATCTTCTACATCTACAGGAACACGACCCAAACAGGGGACATGGTTCTCCCATTCCCTTTGAGACAAATTTTAGTGATCAGCTTGAATGCTCACATGAGGAGAGTTTTAGATCTCCTAAAATGACTTCCACCCCAGGCTGCCCCAACCTCACACTCTGATATGCCACCATCTATGCCTAACAGTTCTCACTTGAAATAATTCTGGCGAACTTAAACTGTAAAGCATTAAATCAAAGAACAAAGAGAGGCTCACAGACTCATGGGAAGGCCAGAGAATCAGACACAAAACCCACACAGGGGACAAAGGAAACTCAAAGTCTCATGCCACATGAACAGTGTGGCTTGGTCACTGCCATTTCTGGGGACTGTGCGCCACGGCTGATGCCATGTCACTGAGTGGTGACTGCACCATGACCACCATAAGCCCTAAACTGTCCAGGCTTCTCTGGGTCACTCACTCTGATATTAAACACCCATGGGAACATGCAGTTGACCTTCTACCTCACAGTTGATAATGGGAAGGGGATTCAGATGATGGAGAGCTGAAAAATGACAAATATTTACTTTCCTTCCTGTCCTTCTCTACCTGCTCACATTCTACCTTGAACTAAGTATGCAGCAAGCTTTCATTCTTTTCCAAAAAGAGTTTTTAGTCCCCACAGCATTATCAATCCCATTTTACAGATGGGAAAACCAGAGGATAAGTGACTATAGAAGGTCCTAGAGAGTATTTATCACTCCTAGATTTTTGCTCCATGTACAGGTTTTAAAACACCACCATCCACTATTGTTTTGTTTTGGTTGGGTTTTTGTTTTTGGTTTTTTTTGTTGTTGTTGTTGTTTTTCTTTTTTCTTTTTTTGCTGATGGAATCTTTTTTTATTTTTCTAATGAAACCTTGCAAGAAACTGCAACATCTAAGGCAGATCAAAGCAGATCTGCTTGGGTTGAAGAAGGGTGAGGGAGAACAGAGCCCCATCTGCTTGGCCTCACACTCCTCATTTCACATACACAAAACACTCTCCACTGAGGGATGAAAATGCTACTGCCAGCCTCAGCCAGAGAGCCTGATCATTCCTGGCTCATTTTCTGTTACTACCCCTCTGGTTCTGGAATTGGGGACAGGAAGTAGCTCTGAGTTCAAATAGAGTTAGCTGTGCATAACCAACTGTGTCCATGACCATGGTCCAGCTTTCTTAAAACAAGTTCCATAGAACACAAGTTAGTCCAGATATCAATAAATGATCACGTAAATGAGGCTGTGCATGGTGGCTCACGCCTGTAATCCCAGTGCTTTGGGAGGCTGAGGCGGGTGGATCACCTGAGGTCAGGAGTTCGAGACCAGCCTGGCCAACATGGGGAAACCCCGTCCTACTAAAAATACAAAAATTAGTGGGGCGTGGTGGCAGGCACCTGTAATTCCAGCTATGCAGGAGGCTTAGGTAGGAGAATTGCTTGAACCTGTGAGGCGGAGATTGCAGCAAGCCAAGATCGTGCTACCGCACTCCAGCCTGGGCAACAAGAGCGAAACTCAAAAAAAAAAAAAAAAAAAAAAATCAGGTAAGTGAGAATTTTTTAAAAAGTTTTGTTAATGTTGGATTTCTCACCTTGTCTAAAAATATAGAAAAAAATAGGTTTGTAATTCCCAATAAATTGAAAACATTTTTTACCTACAAAGAAGGACTCTCCGAGAGTGTCATGACACTGCAAAGAGGCAGAATGATGGTGAGATTTTTCCAGATGTTTGACCAGAGAACTATTTTTCAAGTTCTATTTCTCAGAGGCAGCCTCTTCGATTTTTTTGGTTTGTTTTTGTTTTTAAACACCTACCAATATCATTTGGCTATTTTTGGAGGAAGGATTAATTGGTTTGTACCCAGCAATTTTTTTTTTTACAAGTGTTCCTCTAAAGCTTGTAAATCCAAGAAGAAATGCTAAATTCACCCAGGAAAGTTAAACCCCTGACTCCCTAATAGCTGAAGGATCTGGTTTATGCAACAGCATTTCTCTGTCAAGTAAGAGTACAGACTGTGTGGCTTAGAACTCAGAAAAACCCTAGGCCCAGATACTCTCAGAACAGTAACGACAGTAATTACAACTCTCTAAAAGGGGTCTGTAAAGTTCAATTACAAAAGACAGTGAGGTGAAGGGATATTTGCTTTCAGACTCACTTTTTTAAAATCCTGGTGGCTGTATATTTACTCCTCAAGGAAAATGGAGATGTCTCCAAAGATCTGATCCAAATGCAAAAAGTGACCAAAGTTTTGGAGAAGAAATAATTTAACTGGTTGGAAGGCATCAAGCTGCCCAGAGCAATCTCTTCCAGGTGGACAGCTGTGACTTACTGTTTTACTCTGTGGAAGTTAATGTGTAGCCTGATTTATATATACCTCGCAGTCCCCTGTTGCCTTTTTCTTCAAATGAAACCTGCTCAGCCTGGATTCTAATATCTTCCTCAACTGCATCTTTATCTCACCAATTCATTCTCAGCTTAGATAAATCACTGACCCAATGGCAGCTGCTGTGGGGTTTTTTTTGGTTCATTTTGTTTTGTTTTGTTTTCGTATAAAATTGGAGCAATCAGAACTTCTCTGTCACCTCTGAGGGCTGTGGTGAGAATCCATCATGTTGATCAGGGCCAAGGCCAGTCCATACTGCGTCTTTGTGTAAATTAGGTAAAGGCAGCCCTTCTGGAAGTATGTGGTGGTGTTGAAAACACACAGAAGAAGTGATGCTGGCAGAAAACAAAACAAAACAAAACAAACAAAAAAAAACTTTACATTAAAGGAACTATCAGAGATAGTTCACCTCATTGAAAGTACAAAGGACAAAGTGGTGGAAGCTGATCCAGACTTAGAAGTATGACAATTTGCAAAAAAGATGCTTGCTCCACATTATAAGTTGTACAATGAAAGATAGACCAGCATTATTCAAACTATTTCTGATAAGTTTTTTACAAAGAAATAAAACACTTTAATTCTCAACATTTCTATATTTTAAATTCAGAGTACTAAAGATTAATTTTACTGTTTTTTCTTTTCTTTCTTTTTCCAAGACGGCTAGAGTGCAGTGGCGCAATCTCAGCTCACTGCGACCTCTGCCTTCTGGGTTCAAGCAATTCTCCTGCCTCAGCCTCCCAGTTAGCTCAGATTACAGGTGTGCGCCACCATGCCCAGCTAACTTTTGTGTTTTTAGTAGAGACGGGGTTTCACCATGTTGGCAAGGCTGGTCTCAAACTCCTGACTTCGTGATCCACCCTCCTTGGCCTCCCAAAGTGCTGGGATTACAGGTGTGAGCCACCACATCCGGCCACTATTTTTTATTTTCTTATACATTTATAAACAACAGTAAGAGAGTTTAATGACAAAATAATTTTAAAGGTTACAGAACAATTGGATTTTCTCCACTGATTGTTAAGATCACTTTGCATGATTCTAGCTTTCATGGTCATTTTTGCAGTCTCACACTATCATGCAAAGTGACAACTGCCCATACCTATATATACTCCATAGGAAAAAAGTTACCATTACAAATACACCAAAAAGTTAATATAGGAGTTGGAATTACAGCTGGTTTTAATTTTCTTTTCTGAAATTTTCATATTTTCAAATGTTCAACAATTAGCACATGTTGCTTTTGTGATCAGAGAGGAAATTGTGATTTACAAAAAAGCTTGGTTTAAAATTCAGCTCCATTGAGAGTTTTAGACCCCTTTGACTGGCTCTCTCTGTCCTCGGTTCAGAGTCCTTTGATCAAAATATTGTTAGGATGCCTTGTTGCTGAACTATAGCTCTGTAAAGGCATTTGGGTTATTGCGTGTGTTTTAAAAATTATCTGAACTAAACTAAAATTTCTCGTGTATAGAAACTATGTATTTATATGTTATCCTTCCCATCCCTGGAGCCCTGTACAGTGTTTTAAATAAGTAGTAGGTGCTCAATAAATATTCTAACCTATCTCTCAAAAACTTGCCAGCAGTTGCTGAAAAAATTACCCAAAGAGCATCAAGGAACACATTAGATGACATTTGAACACGATGTAATAAATTTCCTGTAAAATTACTTGTGTTCTACTCATTTAATTAAAAATTTAATTTCCCTGCTTCAAACAACAAATTATTGAGAATCTAGAGGCTCCTAAATCATAATGGTTACATTTTTTGGTTTCCATCGTAACTGTAATTCAGCCTTAGAGCCTTAACACATTTCTTTAGATTACAGCAAATAGGGTTAAATTTTTAATCTGTATGTACATATCAAAGCAAAGTTCTGATTTTTATAGAAGCCACAATTTCTATTTTTAAATGTTCATTTAAAATTAACAAAATATCTTACAAATGATTTTTTAAATATATGTCCTTTATTAAAAATATATGAAGTGCAATGAAAGACAAAACCTGTGCATTCCTCATTGTAGCACCTATTTTTAAGGCTTCCCTATCTGAGTCAGCTCAGTCTTTGATGTGGGAGGAAAGGGATATAGGCAGAGCTGATGGTTATGTGATGTTATTTTGTCACTCAGTTTAGTAAACAATGCCTTTCGTAGTTTTTACCTAAACCACCTTCTTATTTTTTATGGCATCCTGATGAGCTGCATTTCATTGCAGGGTCCTCGGTGTAACTGATGGGATGTTAACATATCTGCACCTGCAGAGGGAAGTCATGTGGGTGAGGAGAGTAGGCAAGGGACTCTATAACACTGCCCCAGCGAACAGCTCCAGATTTCCCTTCTGACAAAGAGAGGGTATTTGTAATGTAGCCTCTAATGCAGCCAAAGAAACATGCTGACCTTCTTCTTGGATTTTACATTCACCCTTTCCTGAAGAATGTGAATAAGTGGAAGCAAAGACAAATAAATCCTAATTTCAAAATATATCTAGAATTTTTAGCTCCCCTCTCACAGCTTTTAAAATAAAAACTTACTTGCCAGATTACTAAATTGTACCTGTGACAACAGAAAAATGAATGTCAGCAGAGCAAGCTGTGTTGTACCAGCAGACAGTTGGCTGCTGCACGTATATTCCTGTGCCTCTGAATGGTCTTGCTTCGCATCCTCTGCCCTCAGCCTTGTGAGACTGTAGTGAGCACATGACTGTGCCAGACAGGGGTGAACTTGTGCTTTCTAATGACGAATCCAGCTGTTTTGATTCTGTCTTCTCTGCTGGAGTTCGTGGGCTTCATTCTCAAAGAGAATAATCTAGGTAAACCCTGACTCCCGTTTCTGGATACCAGACTACTTTGATATAGTAAGTACAAAATTGAAGATGGCAATTTGAAATATGTTATGTGTATATATAAATACACACATATATCTATATATACATACACACACACACATATATATGTATATATATATGAACCACACCCCCAACTCTACAAAATTTTCATTTCTCCTTTCCAAGAATAGAATCCCCCTACTTTCTGAAGCAAAAGTAAGACCAAACGGCTTGGCATTTACAGATATACTCAGAGGGACAACAGAACAGGGTGTGTGAAATGGGAATGCCACAGTGAATTACTGATGGAACCTAGATGAACTCACGACATTTCTTATACCCCCTCCAGAGATTTACTAAGAACAAGAAATGAGTACATGTTTTGTTTGTTTGTTTTTGAGATGAAGTCTTGCTCTGTCACCCTGACTGGAGTGCAGTGGCGCGATCTCGGCTCACTGTAAACTCCACCTCCTGGGTTCAAGCAATTCTCCTGCCTCAGCCTTCCAAGTAACTGGGATTACAGGTGTGCACCACCACGCCCAGCTAATTTTTGTATTTTATTTTTATTTATTTATTTATTTATTTATTTATTTATTTTTTTGAGACGGAGTTTCACTCTTGTTGCCCAGGCTGGAGTGCAATGGTGCGATCTTGGCTCACGGCAACCTCTGCCTCCCAGGTTCAAGTGATACTCCTGCCTCAGCCTCCCCAGTAGCTGGGATTAGAGGCATGTGCCACCACGCCCGGCTAATTTTATATTTTTTGGTAGAGATGGGGTTTCTCCATGTTGGTCTGGCTGGTCTCGAACTCCCGACCTCAAGTGATCCACCCGCCTCGGCCTCCCAAAGTGCTGAGATTACAGGTGTGAGCCACCACGCCTGGCTAATTTTTGTATTTTAGTAGAGATGGGGTTTCACTATGTTGGTGAGGCTGGTCTAGAACTCTTGACCTTAGGCGATCCACCTGCCTTGGCCTCCCAAAGTGCTGGGATTACAGGCATGAGCCACCACACCCGGCCATGAGTACATGGGTTAACCCTTGTCCACCCCAGGGACCCAACTCCCCACTGTGCTTGGAAATGGGAAATAAAGCAGGAAGAGTCCCTGTTATTTACCGGTGGCAAGACTCTGGCCAGAATTGTTAAGCAAGAGCAAAATTGGCTGCTTTGGATATTCGTTCCTTCCTTTGGAGATGGTGCCTTCAGGAAAATTATCAGAACTTGCATAGAAGAGAAATAAAGAATGATGAGCTGTTGGGTTAACCCTGGATACTCAGCCTCAACGGAAGGGGTAGGGAGTCCTGGATTGTGCTAGACACCAAAGGAGGGAGCCTGTAGTTCTCATCCCGTTCTGTGCTAGGAGACCACATGGACCAATGAGCCAAAACTCTTGGAATAGGTGGACTAAGTAGATGCTTAAGCAATGTGATTTGAGAGCGACCCGTCTTGCCAAAGCTGCATCAGTCCCCTAACTCTGAGTGCCTGGAATTCTGACTTTCAGAGTACCACTTTTAGGCTAAGGCATTATTGACAGAAGATCCCTTTGAACTCAAATCTGTACCCTGGAAATATGATGTATTTTGTTATTAGATCCCATTTTCTCAGATTATTCTACAAAACACTTTAGCATTTCCTTAACAGAGTCTGGGAAACAGGATACTCTGAAATCAAGGAACATGGGACTGGTAAACTTTGATTATGTTGGAAAGGTAGAGACCAAAATCTACTTCCAGGGCAGACAGGGATATGAAAGTATTGTTAACAGTGTGAAGGCTCATCTCTGGAGTGAGTGAAGTGTCAGAAAGAAAAAGAACATTTATAGGGGAGTACATAGGGTGAACCCTGACAGCATGAAATCCAGCCACATCTGCCAAATCAAAGATGGCAAGGGGAAGCCCTTCTGTTTCATGGAAAAGCCAATTAATGAGGATGAATTGAAGATAATATTGTAGATCAATTACATGCTGTAAAATATAATGTACTAGCTTTTCCATATGGCTATAGACTATGGTTCATGAAATTTTTCAGTAAACAACAGTTTGCCTTCCTTAGAGTCTCAGGCAATAATGAGTCTTCTCCATTCTGGTTTTATTTTAAAACTAAACTATTGTCGATAATTAATTAATGGTATTCTAATGTAAACAGAATATAAGTTTCACAATCTTGAATTTATTTTTCCTCTTCTTTGGGGTATGTAGGGTTTTACATATTTTGGTTTGTGCTTATGGAAAAATGTTTTACTTCTGCTGTTGAAATCATAGCCACCCGCTGTTTTCTATAGTTATGAAATATTATAAGTCTTGTCACTTGCAGAACTAATGTTCCCACTGAGATGCCTCTCTAGCCTTTTTGATTAAAAAGCAGCAACAGCAAAAGACACAGCCTGGGACTGAGTGACCTATTATTTTTGTGTCTCATTTGGTCACAGTAATTCTCAACCCATGCTTCACATCAGAATGAACTATGCAGTTTTTTGGAATTGTGGAATTTCCAAGAGGAGAGCCTGGTGTGTGTGTGTGTGTGTGTGTGTGTGTGTATGGGTATGTGTGAAATTCCACAGGAAATCTGATACGTAGCCAGAATCAAGCACCCTCACATTACTGATTTCAGGGAGTATTGCACTGTGAACCGTGTAAGCCTGAGGTTGGGAGGTGATTTAAATTCTATTATAAGCTGATACCTACTATCTAAGACCCTGTCAAATGATCATATCAAAATATTTTGTGTTCATTGCTCTCTCTGCCTGATTGTTTCTCTGATACTTACATGAAAATTAGAAAAAGTGTACTCCTTCGTAAGTTTACCCATGTGGCTGAGTGTCATCAATAATGACTTTGTGTAGCTTTATGTATGGGAGGAAGTGTTTTGCATCCTGAGGGTGGTGGCCTGAGCTGTGGCTGAGTCTCAAGGCTCATGGTTAAGCAGTGACGCTTCTGTGGCCTGTGAATACCACTTGCAATGTGGACACATTGGTGGGTGAGAGTTACTCTGAGCAGAGCCCCACCGCCTGGTTCAAAAGTTCATGGGCCCAGAAAGAGCAATGATAGTGTAGAGACTCAAGAGAAAAGCTGTCTTTCACACAAGAGCATTCAGAGAAGCCATGCAATGACCAGCTCATCCAAGGCAGACAGCACCCCGCATGTATACGTGGGGTCCTCAGATCTGCTGCTCTGTTGTTGCAAGTTTATACATCACACAGATGCCTCCCCACTTAGGAAAAACTGCATCGCATTTAACTAACACATGTAAATATTCATTTTATAAATATGCAATTTTATAGGAGCCTGATTGCAATGTGTCAAAGAGGGCATTTGCTCATGAAGCAATGTTACCTATGATGTGCATAATCATTCACACATTTTTTGTACCATGTGGTAAATACAGCAACAGACATTATCTAATGTGTGCCACAGAATGCACTAGGTGATATGGGAGCTGGGAGATCATCACACATGCATTCTACCATAGAGAGCTTATCTTATGTTTAAAAAAATGAAATATATGCATACATAACTAGAATGCAGGGCAGAATATGGCACATGCCACACAGTACAATGGAAGTACTTCGCTATTTCAGCATAAGGAGATTGACCCTAGCTAAAGGCAATTAGGAGTCGCTCCCTGGAGGAGACAGCATCCGCCCTTCATTTTGAAGGCTATATAGGATTTGGACAATGCAGAGTTTAGGGGAGGGACCAGATGTGGAGGCTTTCCAGGCAAAAGGAACAGGAGTGAGCAGAGGCCTAAGATGGAGACCTAGAGCCTACAGCACGTTTGGCTGGAATGCAGAATGTGTAACGAGGAAAGGCAGCTCTGCCACCCTGTAGAAGGCCATCCTGGTCAATGACTCAGCTTCTCTGTGCCCCAGTTTTTCATCTGTAAGTGGGGATAATGGTGCCTACTTGATAGGGCTGTGTGATGAATGAATGAGCTAATATATACAAACTACTTAAAACATTCCTTGGTGCATAGTAAGTGTTCTATAAATGTTCAATCCAAGTTATTAAAGAAGGGGGTAAAGAAATTCCAAGACCAGATGATCTCTAAGATGGTTCCAATTCCAAGGTCTAGCACTCAGGGCCACTGAGAGTTCTGACTGGTCTCTGAGGGTGGAGTGCAGCGCCCAAGGCTGCCTTGCCATTAAACCTGATGACAGTTTGGAGAAGTGTGGGAAGAGACTGAGGCCTGGAAACAAGGATGATTCAAAACAGATGCAGACGGCTGCCCCCCAACCATCCATTTTTGCTGTTAATATGAATATGGAATTTGAAGAAAAGGGCAAGAAGCCATTTTATGCTATTCCCTGATTTCTCCCCAGTGGAAAATTCCCTATTTTGAATTGCTTTCAACTGTCTTTTGTGTTTTCATTGACAATGAAATTATTTAAAAAGAATGAGAGAAAAACAGCTTTGCTCCAGAGAGGAGAAAAAATTAAAGAAAACTAATTTCTCCCCCTAGCCCCCAAAAAACCAAACCAGAAATTAACATTATAATCTATAATCACAGACACAGAAAGTGGTCCCAAGAGCCAAACCTCCTCCATTCCCTTCCTGCAGAAGCACCCCAAGTGTGATTGAGAATAAATGAAGGGAGTTGTCAGGGTATGGGGTGAATATCAGTCTGACTGCTTATTGTTGCATGTCATTGCCTTTCTTCTTTCTAAAATAATTTTAACTTTTAGTTTAGATTCATGGGGTACATGTACAAGTTTGTTAAGTAGGCATATTGTGTGATGCTAAGGTTTGAGATATGAATGATCCCATCACCCAGGTAGTGAGCACAGTACCCAATAGGTAGTTTTTCAGCCCTTGTCTCCTTCCCTCTCTCCCCATTCTTGTGGCCTCCAGGGTCTACTGCCGCCATCTTTATGTCCATGAGTACCCAGTGTTTAGCTCCCACTTATCAGTGAGAACATGTGGTATTTGGTTTTCTATCTCTGGGTTACTTCACTTAGGTTGCATCCATGTTTCTCAAATAACATTATTTCATTATTCTTATGGCTGTGTAGTATTCCATGGTGTATATATAACACATTTTCTTTATCCAATCCACTGCTGATGGGCACCTAGGTTAATTCTGTCTTTGCTATTGTGAATAGTGCTGCACTGAACATACAAGTGCATGTGTCTTTTTGGTAAAATGATTTATTTTCTTTTGGATAAATACCCAGTAATGGTATTACAGGGTCAAATGTAGCTCTGTTTTAAGTTCTTTAAGAAATCTCCAAACTGCTTTCCACGGTGGCTGGACTAATTTACATTCCCACCAGCAGTGTATAAGCATTCACTTTTCTCAGCAGCCTTGCCAGTATCTGTCTTTTTTTTTTTTTTTTTTTTTTTTTTTAGTAATAGCCATTCTGACTGGTGTGAGGTGGTATTTCATTGTGGTTTTGCTTTGCATTTCTCTGATTATTATGATGTTGAGCATTTTTTCTATGTTTGTTGGCTGCTTATATGTCATCTGATCTTCAACAAAGTTGACAAAAATAAGCAATGGGAAAAGGACTTCTTATTCAATAAATGGTGCTGGGATAGCTAGCTATCCATATGCAGAAGAATGAAACTGATCCCCTCCCTTTCACCATATACAAAAATTAACTCAAGATGGATTAAAGATTTAAACATAAGGCCACAAAGTATAAGAATTCCAGAAGAAAACTTAGGAGACACCATTCTGGGCATTGACCTTGGGAAAGAATTTATGACTAAGTTCTCAAAAGCAATTGCAACAAAAACAAAAATTGGCAAATAGGACCTAATTAAACTGAAGAACTTCTGCACAACAAAAGAAACAATCAACAGAGTAAACAGACAACCTATGAAATGGGAGAAAATATTTGCAAGCTATATATCCAGCAAAGGTCTAATATCTAGAATTCATGAGAAACCTAAACAATTGAACAAGCAAAAAGCAATTAACCTCATTAAAAAGTGGGCAAAAGACACAAACAGACTTCTCATTGCCTTTCTAAGGCAGGCACAGGTTTCCTTAGTTCTGGCTCTTTTTTCTTCAAGCTTTGTAGCCAGGTTCTGAATGAATACCACCCCCCAGGTAAAATTCCTTGTTAAATGCTGAAACACATACCTTTGAGAACCTCTCACTTCTCTGTAAATGGTTCTTTTTGCATCTAGTGTGGCCTCTGAGTGTACCCATGGAGGCTCCTGGGTCCTCAGAGTCTGGACGGGGAGCCAGGAGTCCTGGCCTCTATTTCAGCTCCCGACGGCCAACCTGGGCTTCAACCACAGCACAGACTCCTGACTACTCCCACCCAAAAAGAGTTGTTGGAAGACTTGAAATCACAGATCTGAGAACTCCTGCACTTTGTAAATTCAAGATGACATTGTTACTGTTCTAATTTTTTTAAAATTACAGCACTCTCACTTTTTCTCCAAAAAAGGTATAAACAAGAAGATAGTTTGACTTGTTTACCTAAAGCTCTCCTTTGAGTTGCCAAGAGGAGTTAGTTACTTGAACACAGACACAGAAATACGGTCGATAGCAAAATAAGATATGCTGAGCTCAGGAGCTTAATTTTTTTCCCTTCATTGAGTAACATTTCAGAAAAGCACCAGTAATTGGAACATAATTTATTTATCAACAGGAATTCAGAATACTCCCTTGCAGTTGATTTTGGAAATCCATGTGACCCTAGCAGAGTGCTATAACCAAGGTGAGAAAGGCTAGAAACAGACGTAGAATTACAATTACCAAAGGGAGAAGAGTTCACTGTGAATATTTAACACACACTGGCATTTGGCCACTAAACTCTGGGTCTTCCTTCAAAGTTCCTGACATACCCATTTATAAAGGAGGTTAATAATCCCTTTGTACCTACACCCCCACAGTTACAGCTAAATAACAATTTTCATGATAAGCCTTTATTTTTCTGCAACTTAGAATTTAAGGCAGCAATTTCATCTACAATGTTTAAGCCCAGAATTTATTTTTGGCCTTTTCAAAAGAAAGTTGTACCCATTTAACTTCGCCTGGCAATATAAGAGAAAAATGTTTTTAAAAGTACAGATTTTAATTAACTAGGCAATTTGCCTTTCTCTGAACAATCAAACCCTGGCCATTGCCAAAGGCAGGAAGCCAGACTAAGCAGAACCATGGTTAGATACAGGGAGGCAATGTCAAGGGCTTGCAGCAAGCAGCAGTTGCCCATAGCCTGGGTTAGTAATATGCATATTATTTTAATATCCTATTAGCACTTGGCTTTGAAATGAAAATTGGGTGACTAAAGACAAAGATTTTTGGGCAGCAATTTTTAGAACATAGAGGTAAGATGTGTTTTTCACCACTTGCTTTAAGAAGCACCCTGATGCCCAGATGTTGACCTTTAAGCTACCTCTCCTAGCTCTGGGGTTTCCTGGCATTTCATGGGCAGACCTGTCCCCCAGCATCCACTATGCTTTGGGTAGAGCTGAGCTCCAGCTTTTGAAGCCTCTGGTCAGGGTTGGATGAATGGCAAGCAAACACTGCCACAAGAGAAAACCTGCTGGCTGGCAGCCCCTGGGTCAAAGCTTGTTTTAGTTTCCCGAGACCACCTTTCTATGAGACCTCAGAGAAGGGTTTTACTGCCCCAGGGGTGTAGGATGTGATTTTTAGGAAAAAAGACTCTTGCAATTTCAAGTCTGGGTAACTTATCTTTCTTTGCCTACCTGGTGAGAGGATACCTTTGCAGGAAATGCTGTCACATCAACCCTCCATTGCCCTATTTCTCTTTGCCTGTCCAAGGGTTACCTTGGAATTAGTGGTGAAACTTCCAGGTTCAGTCATATGCTAAAGGACTCATGAATGCATTTTGTTTGGAGCTTTACAAATCTCTAGAAATTTAGTAAATGGCTCAAGAACTCCCTCTAAGCTCAAGTTGTTTAAATTTTATTTTTCTTTTTATCATTTATGCACAAGTAAAACCATGAAGTAGTGACTTCAACTGGATAAAAGGCTTAAGACCCTGAGGATATTGTGAAGCCATTATCCATGAGAGGAAGAAGGCAAGGTCCTATGTCTACCAACATGCAGACAAATGTCCCTGACTGCCTAGGCTTGGTAACATTGAGCAATTATTTTTGTCCTTATCATAATTTAGTCATTTAATTTCTTTATCATTTTCTTGGCAGTTAATAGCCTCTGATTTGAATTTTTATTTTTTCTTGTACCACAGTTGTTCTGCCTCCCTGATTAGATTGTAAGCACCAGTAGATAAGTCATCTTAGCCTACTTGGCAAGCCTTATAATACCAAAATCAACTTCCTAAATGAAGAGCTGGGTATCCAGCCACTCAAAAATGTTTTCCCCAACATTCCGTTAGCCTCACTGGTACATGTTCTTTTAAATGGAAATTCTCAAAGGGAGAGTTGATCCCCACTAATCACTCTTTAATGTGAATTAATTCAGTCAGATAATCAGATGCTCCAAGAAATAGAATTAAAGAAAATAGAAGTAATTTTTGAACATATGGAACTCTGGGAGAGGGTGGCCAGCTTACTAGGAAAGGACTTTGGGGTAATCAGGAGTGTATGTCCGTGTATGTGTGTGTGTAAATCCAGGAGAAGGGAGGGTTGGAAAGAGAATTCTCACAATCCTATAACTTTGTGGCTAGAAACAGATGTAGGCTTATGTCTCTAAGGATGAATGGATGATTTGGAGCAAGAAAGGACCAGTCACTTGCTTTTGTATGACACACAGACTAAAGGTAGTTTTCACATTTCTAAATGATTAGAAAATAATCAAAAGAAGAAGACTATTTTATGACACATGAAAATTATATGAGAATCACATTTCAGGGTCTATAAATAAAATTTTGTTGAAACATGGCCATGCTGATTCATTTATGGATTGTCTATGGCTGCTTTTGTGCTATGATGGCATGGCTGAGTAGTTTTGACAGAGACTGTATGGCCCAAAAAGCCTAAAATATTTACTACCTGCCCCTTTACAAGAAAAGCCTGTCAACTACTGATTTAGAGCAAAGTGTTTGTTTCTTTTTCACTTTCATGCATTTGGGTGAACAGTTTTTTAACACTTATAAAATATTTCTTCCCTTTCATAAAATATTAGAATATACAGAGATAATTACAGAGATGTTTATCCCAATATTATTAACATTCAAAGAAACAAAACTTCATGCTAACCATGTGGTACTGGTGAAATTATGGTATAGCTATACAATTGATTGCTGTGGAATAATTTATTGGTGCTATGGTCTAAATATTTGCATCACCTCAAAATTCATGTGTTGAAATCCTAACTCCCAAGGTATTAGGTGATGGGGTTTTTAGGAAGTGATTAAGTCAAGAGGGCTGAGCCCTCATGAATGAGATTAGTGCCCTTATAAAAGAGACTCCAGAGAGCCAGCCAGCTCTTCCACCACATGTGGATACAGCAAGAAGCTACCATCTACCAACCAGAACTCCAGCCCTCACCAGACACTGAATATGCCAGCACCTTGATATTGGACTTCCCAGCGCCCAGAACTATAGGAAAAAAATTTCTATGGTTTATAAGCCACATAGTTTATGATACTTTGTTATAACTGCCTGAATGGACTAAGACAAGTGGCATAAAAACTGTTTCCAGTTTTAACTCTTTATACAACATGAACCCATAAAAAATGTTTCAATCAAAAATATCATCAAAAAGCCATACCAACTTTCAGATATGTTGTATCTGAGTGGTGGATTGCAAGTGATTTTTTTTTTCTTCTTTTTGCTTCTCTGTATTTCTTGAATGGTTTACAGTGAACAAATACTACTTTTATAAAAAGGAAAAATACATAACGAAAAACTTTCCTTTGATACTAGAGATGGTTAGAAAAAAATAGAACAAAATTATAATATGTTAGATATTTTTTCATCCTTCCCTAAGGTAAAAATGTTCTCCTGGGAGACAGTGGAGCAAGGGCCTTGGCATCAAACTGCTCACTGGGGTTGAGAAACCAAGACTGCCAGTCACTAGTTACGTAACCTGGACTGAAGTGCTTGCTATCTCTGAACCTCAGTTTTCCGAGTTCTCAAATAAGGAAAATAACATCCTCTTAGGGCTTCTTCAAGCATTAAATAAAATCATACATAGAAAACAACTAACTCACATGGTGACAGGCACATAAGCACTAAAAAAATGACTAATTTTCAACATATTTTATGTAGAATATTTGCCATACGATGTCCTGCCTTCCACGGTAATTTCTCTTGTGATACAAAAAAAAAAAAAAAGTCCCTAAGATGAAATACATGGAGTGAGGAGCAGAGGAAGGTGAGGGAGTGAGTATCAGAGCAGTGAGGAGACAGATGCCAACTATCCTGAGCATAATGGAAAATGGAGCAGTTCAGAAGAGCCACTGGCTTTGTCATTTGGTCAGGAAGCTTTCATTACTACTTGCAATAGTGAGAGACCGCTAGATTGCTGGGTGGGGGCAGAATGTCTGCATGTGTGTGATGGTGCAGGTCTGGGAGGAAAATTTTTCCAACAGTTCACAGTATAGTTCCACAGTTTTGAGCACCCATTGCGTGAAAAGCACCGGAGATTCCAAGATGTGTAAGATACAGTACATTCCAGAGTGAGCTCTGGCCTTGTGGTGGGTTGGAAGGAATCGCTTTGGAGTAAGGCATTGAGCAATCACTTGGAATGCTACTTACTTGAACTGGAAACTATGCTTTCCAGATTATTATCATTATTATTATTAGTGTGCTTTCAAGATTATTATTTGAAGGAATTCACAGCAAGAAGGAAGATTCTTACTAAAATACTATTAAAATCTTCATGTTTTGCAGAAATCATTGGATATAATTGGGCCAGAAATAAAAAGAAACACTAAAAAAACTAATGATAAGTTGGGGGAATAGATGCTAAGAGCTTAAGAGAATGGGAAGAGGTGAAGAGAAAGTTCTATGGCCCATTGTATTTCTTCCACCAGATGCCAAGGAGCATCCCTTGGGTAGAACAACGTCAACTAGAAACTCTGAAGTGTGCCATATTCTTTTCATCCTCCTTGTCTATCTTCTTGTCCAGGGAATACTAACTACTCCAAGAGTTCATTTTCCACCTTTATACTCTTCCAGGCCCTCTCCACGCCTCTGTACTCCCAACCTCCTCAGGGGCCATGCTAATCTCTGTATCATTTCAATTTTAGTATATGTGCTACCAAAGTGAGCACTGCTTACTCTTAATACTGGCACAAGTGAATATATTCCAGTCCTGAGATTATATCGTTGAAGTGTAATGGCCTATGCGAGCTGTGATCTCAAGATACATGAGGGGTAAAACAAACAGAAACCAACCAAAACAACACCATTGCTTTGTGAAGTTCCCTGTATCTCTACCCCTGCCTGGCCACCCATCTAATTTGTTACATAGTCATTACTTTTTTATGCTATTTACTTCTCTGCAGGTTTCTTTTTTTTTTTTTTTTTTTATTGATCATTCTTGGGTGTTTCTCACAGAGGGGGATTTGGCAGGGTCATAGGACAATAGTGGAGGGAAGGTCAGCAGATAAACAAGTGAACAAAGGTCTGGTTTTCCTAGGCAGAGGACCCTGGGGCCTTCCGCAGTGTTTGTGTCCCTGGGTACTTGAGATTAGGGAGTGGTGATGACTCTTAACGAGCATGCTGCCTTCAAGCATCTGTTTAACAAAGCACTTTACATATATTTGCATTACATTATTTATTCCAATTTTAGGATGGGTTTGAAGAGGATGGGTTTGAATTTGCTACATCAAATAAGGGAAAGAAATCATTCTTTCTTAATGTCTCCACACGTGAAGTATTTGGAGTCCCTATAATTATGTTGCTTATGTCTTACCCCAAAAGATGTATGCTCTACTTGAATGTCCCTCGTGAAAATGCTGAGAGAGAATATATACCTTAAAAGGCACTTCAGGGAGGTGTCATGCCCCCATCTGCAGAAATGGCACCCAGCAGATCAAGACTATACAGGATTAGCTTTCTATTGGATCTGGAATATGACTCTTTCTATCATTGGAAATGGTATGTGCAAATGTTGCTAACAGGATGTGGGCTATACATTTTGAGACCTGTTGAAAGAGAAGGCAACCAGAGTCACAAGATATCACTTTATTCATCTGTAAAGGGAATTCAAGTGGTCATATCAGGAAGAGCTGTACCCCCGAGTCTCAGAACTTGTGTCCTTCCTACTGCTGAGGCTGGATACACTGAACCCACTCCACTTTATTACTCAGGCTCCATGCTGTTGTCTTCAGAGGGTCAGAGAAATTGGTGTCTTAATTGAAAATTGATAATGCAGCCAGAAGTATGATGGGTTAGTTTCTGAGGCTAGAGAAAGTGTGTTCTCTCCAGGGTAAGGTAAGCGTTATCCTTTGCCATGCCTGTGCATCACAGTGAGATGCCAGGAAGTTCTAGGGGGGTGGGTGTAGTCAAGAATGTGACATCAAGTCTTCAAGCACTTGGTAGCATCTCCTTGGCCTTCTGGCCTGGGGAAAGAATGATCCATTCCACACAAATATCCTCAAACTCACCAACTCACACACAGCCAGTAATACACATGGACATTCAGAAATACACAGGCACAGCCATACGTACAACAAGCACACATATTAATGTATATACACAGTCACACATACAAATATGCACATGCCCACACATATAAGCACATATATGTGAGACACATGCACATCCTCACATACACATGCACATATGTACACCCCTGCTGGGCACTCTGCAGGCCTTTTCCAAGGAACAATCTCTAGTCCCCAGCCCTCTCCCATCACCTCTGTCCTAATGATGCTCTGACCCTGGGATAATACTTAGGTGACCCTGGCTCTCCTGGGCTCAGTCCATGAATTATTTCTATCCCAATAGCTCTAGGATTGAGTGTCTGAAATGAATGCTGAAAAGCAGGGAGGTTGCATGTATTAGTTGGGGTCCTCCAGAGAGACAGAGCCAATAGGATAAATATAGGGAGAGATATGAGAGGGAATTTATTAGGGGAATTGGCTCATGCAAATGGAGGCTGGGAAGACCGTGACACGCCATACACAAGCTGGAGACTCTGGGATGCTCAGGAATGCTGACCTAGCATGGCTCAGCCCAAGTCCTAAGGCCTCAGAACCAGGGAAGCCAAAGGTGTAATGCTCAGTCTGAGGCCAAAGGCCTGAGAACCTGAGGTGGGGAGGGGGCTGGCATAAGTTCTCCAGACCAAAGGCTGGCGAGCCTGGAATTGTTGTTCAAGGACAGGAGAGGAATGGTGTATCCCGGTTCCAGCAGACAGGTCTGCACTTTCTTTTCTGTGTTTATTCTGTCCGGGTCCCCAGTAGATTGAATGATGCCCACCCACACTGAGGGTGGGTCTTCCCCCACTACTCCCCTGAGGCCCACATGCTAATCTCCTCTGGAAACACCCTCACAGACACAGCCAACACAGTGCTTTACCAGGTTTCTACATATTCCTTAACCCAGCCAAGTTGACACCTAACACTGGCCATCACGCTGCTGTGGGGGACAGCGGGAGAATGGAAGAAAGGGGTGACCACCCTTTCTTCATCCATGTATGTGCAGGATCAGACGACTTCTTCCATGTCTTCTGACTCACACTATGAAACTATCAATATTTGGTACCTTAGGGTGGAAAGTGTATTATTGTGTATCCAGTTTAAAACTGAGGGGGCAAACGGGGCATGGTCATGAAGACCAAAGAAAGAATTGGCCCTGCCACTGAGGTGCCAACTCTAATGTTGACTGACAAAGAAATGACTAGGTTCAAGTTTCTCAAATTTACTTGACCATTTTTCATCATCCAATAATACATGATTGCCATGTAAGTAATATTTCCAAAATACAGGTAAAGCCAAGGTCTCCCTCCCTCCCCCATACCACTCGCTCCTCAGGGATGATGGCTGGCAGCAGGAAGTGGATGGTCTTCCAGTCTGCACGCTTTGTTGGGCTTTTTGTCCTAACACAGATGGTACTGCACTACATGAATCATCTTAAAACTTGCCATTTCCCTTACTTAACTATATGTCTAAATGGGCTTTTTATTAAGTGACTTTAAAATGAAACAAGTCACCGGCCTTCCGGGTGGGGCCCCTTTCCCGGTTTCTGCCGAGTGCCACGCTGTGCTTGCGGTTGCGGTTCCGTCAGGAATCCCTGACTCTGGGTTCCTGCCTTTTCCCATCTCACAGTCACAGCACTTGCTTTGCAGTGTGTCTGGGCTCCTGCCTGTCTGCTGTGGCCACGTGAAGGAAGCGGAGTCGTCTTACTGTAATTATTTGAGGCTCTGGGCAGTTTTCTGTGCATCAGATCCAGTAACACAAAACAGAAGAAAACCATTATTCCCAAACCCAGCTATTTACTCTCTCCCACACAGCTTTTTCTGGGAAAAGGAGACTGCGGTGATTTGGGAGAGGGAGCTGTGCAATCCCCAGCTAGGAGCCTACGAGCTGTGATCTGCAGAGTGTGCTCTGGGCACCCAGGACTGCCGACCTAGGCAAAGTGGAACAAAATATGAGAGGTTCGGCTTGGGATCCTTTGCCAGAGAGAGTAGCCTGGTGATTAAAACAACACAGACATAATCAGACTTTTCCCTCAAATCCTGGTTCTGTGACCACCAGCTCTAGAATCTGAGGTCAGATACTTATTGTTTGTACACCTATCCTTATCACCTGGAAAATGGCTGTAGTAGTAATTACAACTTTATAAGGTTTTGTGAAGCTTAAGTAAGAGAATGCATGGAAAGTCCTTAACACAATGCCTGGCATGAAGTCATTCCTAAGGAAAGATGAAATCCTGAGTGACCTTCCACCTCCCCTTCCTTCTCTCAGGCTTTTTCTTGGTGGTTCAACCCCTTGCATCTGCCCAGTCACACTTTCCCTGTTCAGCCACGCTTGCAGTAGCTGTGAACCTGTTTATTCCCCCTAGCCTGGATCTTCCCTAGTGTTCCCCAGGGATATACCCTCATTCACCTTTTCCTCTAACCTCAGCAAAGCTTCCCCTCAACCCCCAGCCCAACTGAAGTTTGCCTTCACTCCTTCATACACATTTGTCATTCATTCTTTCAATACACATGTACGTTAGTGCACAGGATAAGTGATGGGGAGGAAGAGACAGTCCCTGCTCCAAGGAAGCCCAGCCTATTTATTGGGAATCAGTGATCCATAAAGTGGCTACCACAATGCAGGGTGACAAATAAATGCACTGGTGAGAAGGAATGTCCTACATGCTACAAGGAGGGCATGTGCACCAGCCTTGGGGGGTGGCTTCTCTACTTTCTGGGAGATTTTTACAGCTCTATCTTCCAAACCTCCTACTAAATTTTTGATGTCATCAATTACATTTTTAATTTCAAGTATCCTTTCTTGTTCTCTGATTATTCTTTTTTCATAGTGGTTCTTAAAAGATGTATAGGAATCAGAAATGTACATTTAAACCAGGACAGATTCTAACAACCTGGACAGGAAACCTAGTTATGAATATCCCAGTCTCTCGGGGTCAGGTTCTCTGTAAGATCCAAGAGACAGGTGGCCAAGCTAATAAATGGAGTCATTCATTTCTCACTGGTTGCATCAATATTATCGTTGTCTGTTATGTTCCAAGTTATGGTTTGGAGTGGTGAGGGCCATGGTCTGTGCTTTCAAGAATTCACAGACAAGTAGAAGAGAGCAGCACATAAACAAACAATGACTCTACCAAAGGGTGAACTCCACAGACATCGGTGTATGGATTGCTCAGGAAACGGTTGGGGAGAACACTAGGAAGGAGGGAGAGGGCCACAGAGGTGATGTTTTTGCTGAGTCTTAAAGGATAAAAGCAAATTCACCAGGCAGAGAAGGGGCAGAGGAAGTGGCAAAGGAGGAGCAACATTCCTGGCAGAGAGAAAGGCATGCGTTCAATCAGAGAGAGATTAAAGAGCTTATAGCATGTTTGAGATGGGATGAGAAGTTCTGTGGCTGGAATTTAATGTTCACTGAGTAAGGGGAGATGGGGGAGAGCCGACTGGCAGGAGATGCGGCTCAAGAGCGGTTGGTTAGTCTGGATTGTGTAGGGCCTCACCTGTCATGTTAAGGATTAGGGTTTTGTGTTTGTGGTTCTTAAACACTTAACATATACCCTTTTGAAAATGTGATGAAAATTATGGATCTTCTCATCCAAAATAGGCACATACACACAAAGTTTCAGGGCTTGAAGAATCCGAAGCCCATTCCTCTGCTCTGCTCAGTCAGCAGAGAAACCTCTGAAAGTTTTTAAGCAGGAATATCATGTTCAGATAGAGGATTGAGCTCTTCCACATCCAGCTGTATGTGGCTATAGAGTCATTTCTGGTGCAAGCATCACGTGCCTGCAGTCCGCCTCTAGTTTCATCTGCATTTGTGGTGGACAGTTCTGTACAAGTGCTGACTCATCTTTCAACTGGCAGTCCTAGCTCTCTTGACCTAGGCACAGGCTCAGTCCCAGGGCAGCCCTCGGCCAATGGACCCGGGGGTGGGGGAGTCAGTAAATAAACAGCGCAGCCTCCTTTCTCCAAGCCATTATTCCTCCAACCACTCCTATCTTCTAGAATATTCTTAACTCTCTCATAAGCTGATAGGTCCCATCCTATTCTTTTTTTAATCCCTTTTTTTTTAAAAAAAAAAAAAGCTGCAATCTTTGGTGACTTGCAAACAGAAAAAGAGATAAATGCTTGTATTTGGTTGGCCATTATTAGCTAAACATCTGTTTAATTTTTGTATCCTACTTAGAATAAAAAGTTTAAAATATATTTTAAATAAAAACAAATATTAGAAACCGAAGGAAAAATTGAAGGGGTTAAAAATGGGAAAAGATTAGAACCAGGATCCCCAACATTGCTCCAACTGAGTTTAAAGGTTGAAGAATTTTAAAAATCACTTTTTATTGGTCAAGTCTAATGCCAGTTTCCTAGGGTTCCATCATAAAATTCTCTACATAAGTCAAAATATTCAGAGTATGTGGTATGGTCCAATTTTGTGTAGAAAAGGGAAATAATACTATAACTTTCAGTTTTGAAAAAGTATATTTTCCCCAGGTCCCAGGGTTAGAAATTGTCAAACATTCTTCAGGACTTGGAGAACAAAGCCTTCCAAGTTGACTCAGGTGTTTGTTTTTTCAGTGGTCAATTGATGGAAAAGAAAATTAGAAAAACAACTGATGGCTATGACTTTGACTTTTCTTTCAACCCATGGTTGTGGCATTGTGTAGACAGAGGCAGAGTTTCCAAATCCCCTGGCTTGCTTAAATACAGGCATAAGAGAAATTGGATGTGGGTCTTGCAAGCAGGAGAATGTGCCAGAACAAATACAATTATTGAGAAGAAATCGAGTAATCTTTCTATTGCTTCTTGGCTCTGTGATACAGGAAAACCAGGCTTTGTGGTCTCTGAGCAGGATCTCCAGAGAGTGTCAAGCCAGGAATCTCTTTGGAGAGGGGAAAAATGGAGAAGGAGGCTAGGGAGGAGCAGAAAGGAAAACACGAATGGGAAATATAAGGAAATTTCTTAACTTAAATTTCCTTAAAGGTATTATGGGGTCTTATTTTACCAGAACTTCCCATAGAAATTCAGAGTTCTCCCTAGTAGAAAGAATTCTGGCACTAAGGAGAGTGGCTGCATAAACATCATCTAATCAGTTTGAGGTAGGGATTCTGTTCCTTCTTCCATGGCTCTTGAACACATTGAAATAACCAGGGCTGCTTTAAAAAAGACTGATGCATGGGTCCCACCTCTAGAGATTCTGATTTATTTAGTCTGGAGTGTAACCTGGGCATTGAAATTTTGAAGATCTTCCTAAAGTACGGTCAAGATTGAGAATCACTGTTTTTTCTCATTTTCTCTTCGACTTTACTGTGTCCACAAATCACCCAAGGATCCTACTAAGACACAGATTTGAATTCAGTAGGACTAGGGTAGGGCCCAAGAATCTGCATTTCTAACAAGCTTCCAGATGATGCGCATGCTGTCAGTCTGGGGCTCACACTTGGATACGCATAGCACTAGAGATCTAAGGTCCTTTTGAACTGTTAATGCTGTCATACTACCAACTTGCTGGATTTCATGCCTTTATATGTCACTTTATCAAACAACTCTAAGCATTATGCTGTGAGTAGCTGATGGACTATTATGTAGCCATGAAACATTATGCTAATGAAGATTATATAGCGATAATGGGGGAATGCTTATGTCATGATGTAAAATGAAAAAAAAACAGTGGCAGAAAAATTTTATATGATCACAAATATGTCAAAGAAAAACTGCATAGAGAAAACTGGGAAGAATTATATCAAATGTTAATAATAATCTTGAGGTGATCTTTTTCTTCTATTTATTTTTATAGTTTTCTAGTATTCCATAATGAACACCAATTATTTTCATAACAAAATATTTTCAAAAGAAATGCCTGAACATCTGCAAGTTGAAATAATATAGTGCATTTAATCCTTTCATATGTCTAATTTTATGTTTATATCCATCCTTATTTTGTATTAACAACAAATACAGGTAATTTAAATCTCTCCATTTAGTCAACTCTAGATGAGACTAGAGTAGCTAGTAATTCACAGAGCAAAGGATAAAACCAGCCTCATTGTTGTAATTTGGTTCTTTCCATGAAAACACTCCATCTCTCTGTACAAAATATATCATCATTGCTTCTGTTGAATAACTCAGGGAATGCTGCAAATTGTAAATAGCAATGTGAGACAAGGGAAAGATGCCTAGGCCAACTATAAGAAGACCTGAATTCTAATTTTATCTTGCCAGGTAACCGGCTACATGACCTTGGGCCTAAATTGCTTACATTCACTGAGGCCTCAATTTCACTTCTATAAAATGGGTATTAGTAGAAATGCCTACTTCAAAGGTCATTATGAAGATGAACTGAGATAGCAGGCACTCACTAAGTGATGACTCAACTTCTGTAGGTCTTGATTTTGCTCATCATGGAATAAGAGGGTAGACTAGAAGACCTCTAAGGCACCTTCAAACTCTTACTCATAAAGTTGGAGAACTGTACTTTTGAAAGATCTGCACAAACAAGACTACTTGGAATTTCTCTGGATATTAAATAAACCCCTACCAGTTCTCAGCACTAGGCAGCAAGGACAAAAAGTCAGAGTCAAATAAATTCAATATAACATGATAGATATGTGCCATAATGGGAATAGATAAAAAGTGCTATAAGAGTCCAAAAGTAGCTGTAGTTGAGCTAGTGATAATGTGGGGTTTGAAAGCAAAGGGGAGGAAAAGGAATTCAGGCAAAGGGACACACAGGTGCAATGGCTTGGAAGCATGAAAGAAAACCGTGGTGTGACTGGAAAGTATATAGGAAGGAGAGTGGAGACGAAACCAGAATTGAGACAGTTTATGGAGGACCTTTTTGGCCAAAATGAGGAGTTTCTAATTTAATCTTTGAACCAGAGAGTAATATAATCAGATTCATGATTTTAAAATGAACTGTGACAGCTGTGAGAAAGGTAATGTGGAGAAAGAGAGGCAAGTTGGGAGGTTATGACAATAATCTAGGCATTGGTGACAAAGAAACACAAACAGGTGTATTCAAGAGACTGATGGGTCTTAATGATTGTTTGCATGTGTGGGTGTGGTGAGGGAATAAGGAGAGGAGGAATTCAAAGATGCCTGTGACCCAGATAGAAAATGCAAGAGATGGAGCAGTATCGGGGTAAGAGGTGCTAATATGTTCAATTTGTAGGTGAAGAATCCAAGAAGACAGATTGAGCAGATTTGTGGATATGTGTACTTCTAAATCCGGAGGGAGAGATATTATGGAGTCTGTGTGAGTGGTAAAGTAATGAATGGATCAATGTGTATCTGAAAACACCAGCAATGTTAGAGGTTTCCAAGGCAGCGCAACTCCAAATGTAATCCAAGGACAGTTTTGTCAGCATCATAGCTCCCCGGTGCTGGGCTTGATTCAAGGCCCACTGAGACAGCATATGCAGCCTGAAAGATGAGCATTTACATCTTAACAAGTCCCTCTTTGCTCTAAGAAAAAGAGCCCTTTGAAAAACTGATGGAAGCTGTAGACCCAGTACCATTCAACAGAAATACAATGTGAGCCACATATGTAATTTTAGTGGCCATATTTTTTAAAGTAAAAATATATAGATGAAATTAATATTAACAATATATTTTATTTAGCCCAATACAGATATTATTTCAATATTAATCAATACAATAATTATTAATGATATATTTTATATATTTTTATCACTATCGCTCAAAATCCAGTGTGAATTTCACACGTACCACACACCTCAATTGAAGCTACCACGTATCAAACACTCAATAGCCACATGCAGTAGTGACCATTACATAGGACAGTGCAGCTACAGGCACTTCCCACTCTTCTGCCTGAAAAATACACATGCACACAAAATGTTCAAGAATTCTGGGGATTCTCATAGCTCATGAAACACATCTGCGCTTGGTTAAGAACTCTTTTTTTCTAGGAACTTTGGGTTGGTTGGTTTTTTTGTTTTTTTGTTTTTTTTGCCTGATTCTAGAAATAGGTGACTTTTCTTCAATGTTGCAAGGCTTAAGTATTCTAGTCACATGGAATACAGGGTAACATACACCGTAGAATGAGAATTCAATCTTACGAAACAAAGATTGTCTTTTTGTTTCATAATTCTACAGTGGACTGTCTACTCTAAAAGATAGATTCTTATATTTTCACCGGTCACACTATTGGTTGCAGACTTGGTTTATTAACTCTGTAATTATTGTTTCTAGGCTAAACAGAAACAAAGAGTTATATGCAATATTTTCTGGGTGGATAATTTTAAACAGGATTTTCAATTCAGTGAATTTTTAATTGTTTTTTGTGGTCTCTTTTCCCCATGTATTGGTTATATACACATTTCAGAGAAATATCCTGAGGCACTACCATCTTCAAACTCCCATGTATGGTTCCTTTAAAGCAGCACCCTCTTAAAGAATACTTTTTTCTGGATCTCAGGCAGAATTATTTTTAGAAGCAGCATCATGTTATAGTTGAAAGAATGACCCTTCCTTTAATTGGACTGCTGGGATGATTTGGTTGTGGTCTCACATAATTATAGACCTGTGACAACAATCTAAGGGCCATCAGCATACTTCCAATGCCTCTAAATCAAGGGTCTGTGGTTAATTGCTCACAGGTGTTTTCTTGTGCTTATGAATACATGCAGTCTATGAGTTATACAAAACTTGGCAGAAAGAGAGGCCATAAGGTTGAGGAGTTTCTTAGATTTACTCAGCTAATTAATCAGGCAGAGTAGGGATTTGACTACTCCACTGAAGGGGCTAAGCATTTAGAGTATGACTGAGGAGTAACCTGTACTGTATTTTTAAAGGAGAGTTTAAGAGGAAAATAAAAGGAAACAAAAACTTTTAGCAGCTGCTGCCACTAAAAGCTCAGTATAGTAGTCCAGCCTGTTCTAGCTGCTCTGCAGAGGTAGGTCAGCACTGCCTAGCTGCAAAGAAATGGTGTTGGATTCTAAAATAAAGCATTGACTGTGTTAGGATATGAATTTTAATTTCTAAAACTGTATATTAAGAGACAAGCCACATTGTTGATCCTTATTTCTTCTATTACTAATCATTATTGTCGGAGTTATGGCCTTAGAAAGTATGGAGATGCTAATGAGAAGATTCATGTATTAGATTTGTTTATAAATTCATCCTAAGCAAGTAAACATGACATTATTCTGTGGCATAATATAAAACCCCAAATAATGTCCCAAGAATTGCCCCAGGTAACTTCTCTAGCAGTTATCCATGAAAATAAAAGCACAGGGGCCTGCAGGAATGAAAATCACTCACAGCCAGTTAGACCACATCATTCTGCCCAAGAAGCTAGGTGGAAAATTGTTTTACATTCACTTCGACAAGCATATGGTGAGCCAGGTACTGCTGTAACAAAGGTGAAAATGACATGGTTCCTGCCCTCAAGGAGCTGATATTTGAAAGGAGAGGAGGGGAAAAACAAAGGAAGAACCTCACTTGAAAATAATGTACAGGAGAGTCATGATCCACCCAGTGAATTCTAGAAACATTTCATGGAGGATGTAGCAACTGAGTCAAGTTATAAAAGATTAGTTAGCTAAGAAAGTGTGGTATTCCAAGGAGAATATAACCAGAGCACAAAGAATTATGTGGGAAGTAGTTACATGTGGAACTAGAGATACAGGTAGAGGTGATGAGTTCCAAAGATACCTTTCTAAAGATGCAGGAGACTTAAGCTTGCCTATAATCTGAAAGGAAAGATCTAGTTGAAAGGAAGAGATTAGATCTTGGAAGATATGGGTATAAAGGCCATAGTTTGAAGTGTTATCCTGAAATAGAAAGAAGGACATACCAACCTCTAAGACTGAGGGAAGGACAGCAGGTTGGGGGTGGATGTAGAAAGGCGCATGAGAGGATAGGAAGTTGAGATGTCTGTAGTTGACAGCCTTCCATTTTCTGATGAAGTGGGAGGTGATGTTATTAGCTTAAAGCAATGGCTCTAATCCTCGGCTGTACACTTACCGGGGTTATCTAGGGAGCTTTAAAAAAGTACTGATGCTTGGATCCAGTGCCAGTGAATACAATTTAAGTGTTCTAAGATGCAGCCTAGGCACTGGGATTTTTAACAGGTCCTGGAGTGACTGTAATGGGTTGCCCATGTTGAGAACTACTGGCTTAGACTAGATTAAAGGGTTTGGAACAGCTGTGGAGGGGAATGGACAAGGGAGCTGAAGATAAGCCACACAGCTGTGAGGCGGTCTTAAAGATCAGGTGAATCATAAATGTCTGAGAGTCCCAATCTGCAAGGGATGCTCCTTTTTTCCTCCTCAGCAGCAGTGTTATGCTGGTGAAGGAAGCTGGTTTTGGGGCTGATCCTAAGGTGGGGTTTACTGGCCTGGGGTGGTAAAGAACACAGGCTCAAGGGAACTGAGGCATGAGAGAGGGCTCCAGCCATTTTTATGCATTCTAGGCTGAGCCTGGAAGAAAACAAGACAAGAAGCAGCCCATCCAGTTCCACCATAATCCTATATTTCTGCTAATGGAAGTTCTAATGAACAGGAACATGAGCCAAAAAACAAACTAGTAAACAAGCCACTTGGAGAAGCAAAGGAACCAGATATTCCACCACCTATGTAATTAGCTGAGTAACCTAGAGGTGACTTTGTGTGCATGCTTACTATGAATACGTGTGACATTACATGTCAAGAACTGCATTTTATACACTTCCCTTTTTGAAACTCACCTCATATGCCCATGAAACAAAAAGCCAGTATATGGTTTAAGATGGGTATAGCTTTCCCGTTTGTCATACAAAGCTTCTATTAAAGCATCAGGAGTGCCATGTGGAAGCCCCCTTATTTTCCGTAGGGACAGGCAGTGTTGCTCTTGCTAAGGCAGTGACCTATTATTGAACCGTTTTGCATGTAACACAGTGAGTCATTGTTCTGGCAGAATTCCCTGCTCTCCACACACATTTTTACCTACCTTTGGAATGTGGGAACACTGACCTTGTATATGATAGCCTGGCAAAAAAGTGGCTCTGTCAGAGATTTTACTACTGAACAGCAGGGAGTGGGGGGAAAAAGAAGAAAAGGGAAGAGAGAAGGCAGAGAGAGCAAGGGCTGGAGAGGTAGAGGGAAGACAGGGAATGATGACCAAGAGGAACCAGAAATCATTCTTCCAGATGCAGTGTTGCTCATAATGGAAAACCTGATTGAGAAAAGCTCAGTATGTTAGAATTGCTTGTCAGTGAGATAACGAACATGAATGTGGGCCTATTATGTAACATATATTTAATATGATATATTGCTGCACATATATGTTTGAGACCTTGGGCAAATTACCTAACTAGTTTGTACTTCCATTTCCTTATCTGTAAGAAAAGGATGGTTATAATGCTACCTACCTCGTAGGGTTGTTGAAGGGATTAAATGAGTTAATGTTATTGGAACACTCTTGCATATATTAAGAGAACAATAAATTTTAATCATTATAATTATTATTATTTTCTATGAATTAGTCAGCTCTGAACTCAAGGAACTTAAACCACCTTTCCTAACTTATTTTTCTTCTTTAAACCTGTTTCACTATCTGTAGAAGGGGGATAAAATCATCTGGTCAATATGTACCTTAATTTAGGGGTATTAGAACACTCATGCACTTTAAAATAAAACATGCAATAGATAAATGCATGGCAATAATGATCCATTTACTTGCAAGTGTTTAATGAAAATTTATTATATACCTGCACGGAGCCAGAACATATGTGATATCTGCCCTCATGGAGCTTACAGTCTATGAGTGAAGTTAGGCATTATATATATGGAATTATATATCATATATACTAATGCAGATTGTGGTGAGGGTTTTGAAAGAGAAGAACCAGGTGTTATCTGTGAGAATAACAATTACTTTCTCTGGGTACGCTGCATTACTTGCCTTAGTCTGGGTGTAAAACTTTTTAGAAGACTGACATTTTATTAAGGCCCAAGGATGAAAAGAAACTGGTCAGGGTCTAGGGCAGGGTTCAGAGGAGGGAGAGGAAGGAAATGTTTCAGATCACTTTCAATACCAAAAGAAATCCAAGGCAACTAGAGTGTAGAGAGCCAAGGGAAAAGCGGCAAGAGATCTAGACCTATGTTAAGGAAGTGGAGACAAGAGCACAGCTTGCTCATATTCGTTAAAAGGTCATTCTGGTTGCTTTGAGCAGAACAGACTGGAGAGAAGCAAGTATGGCAGGAGCGAGACCTGTTGCGAGACTACTGATGAGTGGTCCAGCAAAGAAATGATGGTGGCTTGGGAAGCCTGGAGTAAATGGAGTTAGGAGGGAAATAGGCAGAGTCAAAATATATTTTTGAAGTGAAATAACAGGACTTGCTGATAGGTTGAATGTGAAGGCTGAGGGCTGAGAGGTATCAAGAATGACTCCCAGTTTTCCAGCCTCAGGGGTTGGGTAGATGGAGTAGCCCCTGGCTAAAATGAGGAATCTATAGGAGAAACAGGTTTGGGTGGGAAGATGATTACTTGTGATTTGCTTTCAGAATCATTCAATTGAAATGGAAATTATTTTAATCCATTGCATTCAGTAAATTATTATAATACAATTATAAATGTATTTCTATGAAGAATTGACAGTTTCATCTGATGATGAATATATATTATTATATATGATATATTATTTCATATATAATTACATATATTATATATGTAATAATAAAGAAGTCCAGATGATTCTTGGTTTCTATATGTTTAAAGAATTTCAAATAATTTGTTGTAAGACAAAAAATATAATCAATCATTGGGTGATTTAGAATTCCCTTAACTGTGATTTTGGCACTACTTCAAATAATTGCTTTGCACATAACAGAAGTGTTTCATGACATAAGTTTTATACAAAAATGTCCTGGTCTTGATTCAGTAAAGCGCAAGTCTTCTTGTATTTACATGAAAACATGAATATACATAGTATCTATACAGAAGCTGAACAATATGAAGAAACACTTATTTTTAATACATGTACAGGAGGCCAGAGTTCAACAATTGCCCAATGGATACAGTATCACTTACACAAAGACTTCTGTGGATGTCTGTTTATTAAGTTAAATAGCATAGCTGGGCTTTAAGGTATGCAAGAGGAGGAGGATAAAGAAAAAAAAAAAAGAGGAAAGGAAAAGAAGAAGAAAGGTCCTGGCTTTCACCTTTAACGGATCCGAGGTCAGCACGTAAACAAATAGTTACCCTTTGGAAGAGTTGTCATAAATATGACCAAGAAGATTTCTTCCCAAATACCCCATAAAACAAACCTTCCTACATCACCACCTCACAGAAGCTTCCCTGATGACTCTGAAAGTACCAGAGACAGATGAGAAACCGTAGACTACTCCACACTAAGAGCATAAAGGCTTTTTGCTAGTGGACAGTGTATTACTGGAACCTAGGACCCAGCTCTGTCCAGATGTTTAGGGAGTTTTGTGCCTTCTAGCAGCTCGTCCATGGTACTTACCAAAATGAGGTCAGCTACTTTGTATGCTTTTTGGAATATCTGACATATCTCAACAGCTGGATTCCATATGTTTTCTTTAGGGGTATAATATTACTCCATGAGAAAAAAAAGTTAGAAGTTGAAAAGAAAAGATGAACTTGACAATAACAGACAAGGCCTTTCCTTATGACAGCTGTATTCAAGGTGTCGCAGAAGGCAACGGGGTAATTCCCCTGTAGTCTACAGAGCCACCCATACCTTGTTACTTTCAGAGGTGACCAGCAAATAGCGGTGAGATAGGACAAGTTAATTCACCTTTATGAGCCCCAAGTGCCTAGTTTGTAAAATGAGGTGACTAAACTAAAGGTCTATGTGAGATTTCTTCCAGGTCTGTCCTTCTACTACTTTGACTTACCACCCTGGGAATGCTGTGCTCAGGTGCCATGGGAATTGGCTTGACTTGCTCTGTGGAGGCCATCCAAACCTGATTTCCACTTAGTTTGGTCTGTGAATTCTACTTTTAAATTGGCCTGGGAATGTCTCCTCTAGAATTTACAACTGGATGAAAGAAATCCATCAAGGGCAGCTAATTAGCACAAATACAGCTGCCAGCAGTAACTCATGAAGGAAATTCTGTAGGGATGAAGGAAAAAGATTCCGCAAAACCACAAGGAAAGTTCCACTGATTTGGCGCATGGTTGGGGATTGGGCACCAGGATGAAGGGCAGAGGGGTGATGACTGAGTCCTCACCGAGAAAGGTATGATTCCAAAGTGGAAAAGGATAAATGGGCCCCTGTGTCCTTTTATGTAGAACAAAGTTAGACTACACCAGTCAGACGTTTGCTTGGGCCCATTACGACAGTGCTTCCAGAGCTAGAAGCCAAAAACCATCATCTCTTGACCCCTAGGAATGTCACCTTTCCCAAGAAGTCTTGTCCACTCCACCAGCCTTTCTCTGGATGGATGTCTTTGGCTTGTTGAGCAGTGGCAGTCCAGCCCCAGCAGGACCTGGTAAGACATGACAATGCACAGACCCAAACCACTGACACTCCTATGGGCCTCAGCTGTTTCCAAGGGCTCTCACTGCAAGCTGCTATGGGCCAAGGTCCCCAAGCCCTGCTGCAGACATATCATTGGTTACAAGCTGGCACCAGCCTTAGAGTGCTAGGCAGTGCACCACACTTGTCTTCAAGTTCTGATGTTCCCAGAGACAGTTCTCAAGTAGGAAGTAGTAAATTCAGGGAGAAGCATCCAGGCCAGCTGATTTGCCAGAGTTTGCTGATAGAATCAACTTTGTTTGCTGCAGTGGGGCTTTCACATCACTACATTCCAGGGCTGATGTATAATTACCTTAAACACAGAGTGGCATTTAACCACGCCACTGTTTATGTGCCCAAATCAGCACTCAGAGGAAGCTGCCTTTTAAACTTCAATTTTTTTTTTTAATGATACCTTGACATTGCATGTGACTTTGGCTGGGAAAATAAGCCTGGTTGTTTGTGCTTGATGTTATAACTCAAAGGCTCAGAAGTGGTGGAGTTGGATCCAGCAGCCAACCCACAATAGAGCTGTCTTGACATCCTCACTGGTCCAGCCATGCAAACCAGCTTCTCGTGGGGATGGAGCTTTTCGGCTTAGCTTTTCTGCCTTTCTCTTATAGTGATGAACTGACACAGTGTGACCACCAAGGGCAAGTTATTGCCCAGATATACTTCCTTAGCTCCACCATCACATTCAGATGCAATCAGCAACCCAAGGACAGGTAGCCAGAAGATCTTTTTAACTAGGCCTGAATGTCCTGCTGTTCCACCCTGTAGGTTGTTCGAGAAGATGGGTGGATCTTCATGAAAGCATAACAGAGAGGACAACATTTACTGGATTAGATGGTATTGCTTACAGATTCTTGCATCTCTAAATGACAGGTGCTGTACACACCAACGACTAATTTTTTTTAAGTCTAATTTATATGATACCAACACAATACCTTTAAAGAAGACAGAAAAACACAACAGAACAGAACCTTCCTTGCAACCCACTGTAAGTAGGTCAATGTGATTACCCCTACTTTAAGATTGAGAAACAGATTCTACCAGACCCAGCTGGGTCAGAAAGCCAGTGAGGGTACTAAAATTATAACTGAAACTCCCCATCTGGCCCCAGCTTGTGTGGTCACAGAGGGGACCAGCATAAATAGGTGACCATATCATTTATCATGCAAACAAGGACTGTTTTTAGAAAGGGAATTATTAAAATGTAGACAAGAGCAACAGGCATAACCCGAGACTGTTCTGGCAAACCAGGACTTTTATCCAAGCTATCTTCCTGCAGCCTTCATCAGTGATACCACATCTGGGTGAAGGAGGAAGCTGATGGAGTCTAAGCTTCAGGTCCCTCACTTGCACAGATCCCTGTGAGTGCTGGGAGTGGCTAAGACTTGTAGGATGTTGTCTGTGCAGAACAAAAGCCAGATTCCAATAAGGAAGTGTTTCTATGTAAGAACATCTTGTAACTCAGCTAAAGATATTTTAGGAGTCCCAAATTTCCAATCCTTCAGCAACCTGTTGTGATTTCTTTCCTTGCTCTAAATAATTATTCATTTTTATACCTAATTTTGCATATATAATTTGCACGAACAGGGTGCAAATCAGGCTATTTCTGACCCTCACTATATTTATACCAGTGAAATTAGGATAAAATGGTCACTAAAGGTAGCTCTAGAGAAGGAGCTGAGGGTCACCTATAAAAGAAGTGAGGCAGAAGCAGTCCTGACTCCTAGTCCTTGGTTATAGGAGGAACTAAAGAAGAAAAAGGTTCATTGTATGTTTGTGAGCTTCAAGTTCTTTCATAGTACCAACTGGTAGAGTTATTTCCTGCCCTAGAGCTTCACTCGGAGTCAATCCCTAACCAACCCCCAACACACATACAGAGTGCCTGCTGAAGTCAGATTCCAGAGCATTTACTCTTATTCCTAGTATCCTAAAGATTCATCCCAAACCAAGCTTTTGGGAGTCCTTCAATCTAATTCTTTCTCTGCACTGACGCATTGTGTGGCTTTGTTTTTGTTTTTTGAGACAGGGTCTTACACTGTCACCCAGGCTAGAGTGCAGTGGCACAGTCTTGGCTCACTGCAGCTTCAATCTTCAGGACTCAAGCGATCGTCCCATCTCAGCCTCCTAAATAGCTGGGACTACAGGCAGGCATCATCAAGCTCGGCTAATTTTTTAAAAGATTTTTTGTAGAGATGGGGTCTTGCCGTGTTTCCCAGACTGGTCTCGAACTCCTAGGCTCAAGTGATTACAGGCTTGTGCCACCATGCCCAGTCATGGCTTCGTCATTTGTCATAAGATCCTCTGTTTTCTTGGATGTACAATAAAAACAAATAATACTTGCTCCTCCAAAAAAAATAAGAGATCTAATTTTAGAATCAACTGGCCTCTGCACACACGTTAGAGCAACACCTTAGGTATATGGAATGTGAGAAAGGAATAGGTGGTTGTTAAAACAAAACAAAATAAAAATAATCTTGGTGGAATTCTTGATCATATGTTAAGAAATGAAATGAGATTATCGCATTGGAGAATCTCCTCCTCAATGAGTTTTACATTTTGAACCAGCCTGTCATTATATTTCCTGACTGGTAATCAAAGAAGTGGCCTTTAAAATGGGATCCTGAATGCCACAGATCCAAATGATTAGATTATGAAACCTAGACCTCTGGTTGGTCACTCTGAAAGCTGTAATTCTGCAAATTACTCAGCTGTCTTCCAGGTCTGTTACCTTTCATATTTTTGAAAGGACACACAGATTTTCTCATGCTTCTCTGTGTTTGGACATGCTGTTTCTCCAAGTAGAAAGCCACTTTACATCTCAACCTGGATGGCTCCTCATCATCCTTCAAAGTTTTCCCAGATATCACAGTTTCCTGGAAGACCTTTCTAACCACTGCTGCCCCCCTCTCACCATTCACGCCTTGTTCCATTAGCACTATTGGTATCACAGTACTCTACCATGTGTTAGTGAGTTTTATTGGCCCATCTCCCACCACTCAACTATGAACAATCTGAGTGTAAAGCTTGTGTTTACTATAGTTGTAGTAGACATTCAATACATGTTGAATAAATTGAAGAAATGAATGAAAGCAAAAAGATGCTGTATGTCAATTATAAGGCAAGAACTGTGGTTTAGTAGCCCTGGAAATAGAGTCAAAGAATTTTCTGTGAATGTGGTACATATACATGGAATACTATGCAGCCGTAAAAAGGAAAAAGATCATGTCCTTTGCAGGGACATGGATGGATCTGGAGGTCGTCATCCTTAGCAAACTAATGCAGGAACAGAACACCAAATACCGCATGTTCTCACTTACAATTGGGAGATAAATAATGAGAACACATGGACACACACGGGGAACAACACACTGGGGCCTACCAGAGGGCAGGGGATGGGAGGAGGGAGAGGATCAGTAAAAATAATTAATGGATACTAGGCTTAATACCTGCTGGGTGGAAAAATCTGCAAAATGAACCCCCTTTACAAATGCTTACCTATGTAACAAACCTTCACATCCAGCACATGTACCCCTGAACTTAAAAGTTAAAATAAATAAAATTGCAGAGAATTTTATCTGAAACTTACCCTGTTGTTTCCTAGCTTAGACACTGTAGCCCAAACTGGGAACAACATGTGAAAAGTACTATTCAAAAATTAGATAAAGGCAGATTCCAAGGGTCTGGGCAATCCTGAGTGAAATATTAAAAGGATAAATTGCACTCTTCAATTTCTGAACTATCCCCTTCTTTCTTCCTGGCTTTTAATACTGCTGACTTCCTAAAAACAAGATGAATGTGTAGGGTGCATGGTATGAGCGTGTGATCTCATTGTGGAATTTCTATATCTAGCCCATTGCTATCTTTTATAAAATGGCCTCTGTAAGGCTCTGCTTAGCGAGTGGACAAGAGTGTCATCTGGAGCTCCTTCATTTCTGGCCCCTGAAGCTCAGAGGGATGTTTTTCACTTACCCTTCTAAACTGCAGCGCTGAGATAGCTAAACACCAGCACCAAATTTTTTATGCTCAGCAAGTTAGTAAAATGAGTTTTCTTAAGTCCAAATCAGAGCTGAGAGAGGTTGGAAAAATGTGTCTGGAAGAGTAACTTGCCTGCTTAAAACTCACTAAAATAACTGTTCACCCCAATCTTGTACAAATTAAAAAACTGTGTAATTAAACACCCTGGGAAAATGTCAAGTTGTCCAGGTAGAAGAAAAATTGTAATGATAATGAAAGTTATATTGTATCTAGAAACCATACTTGAAGACTGCACAGTTAACACTCTGTTTCCTATTATGCTAAAAGGTGGCAAAATTATCATAATTTCAAAACAACATAATTTACTGCCCACTTTGTCTTCAGCATAGTATGAGCCAGAAGGGAGTGAAACAGGGCAGTTTGGGGGCACCTTCATGACCTAAATCTCCATTTTGAATACTTGGCATATTACTTCCAGCAATCTGCATATTTAGAATGGGATGAATTTGTGTGTGTGTTGGAGGTGGTAGTGGTGTTGGAGGAGGTGGTGGTTATATATTTTTCTTACTTAGCAGAAACTAATTCAGAAGAGGTCCGATAATTTCTACTGTTGCATTTTCAGAAAATAGATGATGAAACTGAAAACAGAACCCAGGAATAAATTCAGATTTCTAAGCCTATATTTGTCCCATGGCCCTTTTGGGATTCCCCTTATCTTTTTTTTTTGTTGTTGTTGTTAATGATGGTGAAAAAAACAGACATATTTCTACCCACAGCAGGAAGCAGTACCTGGATAACTTTTCCCTGGACCCTGACTGGAACTGATTTTTGTTAGTATCACAGTGAGCTGCTGTAAGATAAATTGATAGAGCCTTCAAATCTTTCTGCTCCCGAGCACAAACCCCATCATTCTAACCAGGTCCTCATTGATCTCTGATCCAACACGCTCATTCCAAGCTGGAGGTCTTTGTAGAATGTTCTTCCCTCTCTTCTCTGCTTATCCAAACCTTGCCTTATTTTAGGTCCACCTAGATCTCACATCATTTGAGGAAGCTTTCCCTATTCTCCTCAGCTCATGTTAACTGTGCCCCTCTCTAGATTCCCCTAGCATTTACTGTCTGAATCATTCTTTTTAGAACTTAGTACTCCACCACGTGTTAGGGAGTTTTATTGACCTGTCTGTCTCCCCCGACCAGACTATGAATAATCTAAGTGTAAAGCTTGTGTTTACTATAGTTGTAGTAGACGCTCAATAAATGTTGAATAAATTGAACAAATGAATGAAAGTAAGAAGATGCTGTATGTCAATTGTAAGGCAAGAACTGTGGTTTAGTGGCCCTGGAAATAGAGTCATAGAATTTTCTATGAAGGTGGTACATACACACCATAGAATACTATGCAGCCATAAAAGGAACACGACCACATCCTTTGCAGGGACATGGATGGAGCTGGAGGCCATGATCCATAGCAAACTATTCCATTCTCCTTTTCTCTTTACTGAATTTTGAGATCCAGAAGAACAAGGTCCATGTCTTATTTTGGAGGGGTTGTCATTTCCTAGGTTCCAGCTAGGCATTAAATAGGCAAGATAAATATTTGTTCAAGAAGCCAAAAAGTCATCTAATTCTTGGTGGTACTCCAAGGTTTGATGAAGAGCATGATAGCATGAGGGAAAGCACGTGGATTTTGAGTCAGACAGAATTTTCTAGTTTCCCTTGGCCCCAGTTATGTTTTTTGTTTTCTGCTCTTTTTTCTTGTAAATAGGAATAAGAATACCTACTTTGCCACGTTATCAGGGTTAAAAATAATAAATGTGAAATCCCAAATACAGTGCCTTCTATATAGCAGGCTCTCAATAAACAGAAGTTGCTATTTAACTAAGGGTGAGCATTTTTGAAGAATATTTATTATCATGAGGTCTAGTTAGACCCATGGAGTAGGGATTGAGGACACTGGGTTTGGAGTCTGAAAGACCTGGGCTTGAATCCTGGCTGTGCTACTTATCAACTGCCACTTTGAACAGAGACCTCTTTACGTCTTTTCTCATCTACAAAATAGAGATAACTATTGTACCTACTTCAGAGTCATTGTGAAGATTAAATAAGGTGTCTGGAACATCACAAGTACTCAATAATTATTAGCTATAATTTGTAAAGTACAATAAGCTTCAGGGAAAAAAGAAATCTATGTAATTCTAACTCCAAATTATTCAACTGGCAGATAGGCCTGAGAGAGCATTTGCAGTTTTAAGGAGGTTTTAAAACTACTTTCACTTTTAAAATGTACCACATGCCTAATGATCTGATATTTAGTCGATTCACACAATTTCTGATTTTTTTATATGCCTTTAGAACTGCAACCACCACTATTACAAGTGTATTATATTTATCTGCATGAGATAGTGAATTCTCCCTCTTTATAATCTTATTCTGATGTACTGTGACTGGATGAAGTTGAAAGGGAGCATGATTAAAATATCAAGCCCTGCACTAGCCAAACTTCCCTATTCTTTGAGATCCTAAACCACACTTATTTTCTTCAATAACATAAATTGCAAATTGATAATCTCAACTTCTTATGTATGTTTGTGGATGAGATTAGAAAGGCATTTTATAAGTGACTGAAAAATAATGATTGAAAGATAAGGTTTTCCTTGGCTTGAAATGTTGCATATAGGGATTATGCCATGTCAGAAGAAGGTCTAGCCAGAGAGGACACCCTGGTGTACAGGTGACTGAGGGACCAAGAGATGAAGCAGCACAGCCCAGAGGAGACCAGAAATCAACACAAAACAGGAGTGGGAGAGCACTGGGCAGAGATAGGCTGCTGGGCCAAGACAGGAAATGGCAGAATGGACATATTGGGTGCTGGTTCTTGAAAGATCAAACAAAGCAAGCACACTCCATTTCCATTCCTGATGCTTGAGAACAGAAGCAGCTTCTGGCCTGTGATCATCTCCCTGTGCTCTCTCTTTGGCTCTCCTGTTACCCGACCTGCTTCTCCCCTTCACTCACTGCTCCATGCCTTACCCAATTAGAAAGTTGGAGCACTGGGGATGTTTACCATCAGAGTCACAGGACAGTGAATAGTCATCCCTCCATATCCTTGGGGGATTGGTTCCAGGCTCTCCCCTCTCTCCTGCAACTGCAGATCCACCGGTGCTCAAGTTCCTGATATAAAATGGTATAGCATTTACGTGTAACCTACACACATCTTCCTCATATATTTTCAATCATCACTAGATTACTCATAATACTTAATAAAGCATAAATGTTATGTAAGTAGTTCTTAAACTACATTGTTTAGGAAATAATGACAAGGAAAAAAGTCTACATGTTCAGTATAGATGCAATTTTTTTTCCAAACATTTTTCATCTGTAGTAAGTTGAATCCACAGATGCAGAATCCATGCATATGGAGATCTCACTGTATTTGAGCTAAAAAAACAGATATGTGCCTATTTCTAAGAGTACAATCTATGATATTCTCCAGTCTCTGAATGCTACTTTTAATATGAAGATCACTTTATGAATTATATAACAATAAATATTCTTTAACAACTTGAGGTATAATTGACATACTATAAAATTTATCCATCTTACATGTATAATTTAATGACTTTTTAGTACCCTTTTAGAGTTGTGTAATGATCACCACAATCCAGTTTGAGAACATTTCCAACATTCCCAAAATAACTCTCATGCCTGTTTCAATCAATCCCCATTCCAATCCCCAGCCAACCATTAATGTACTTTCTGTCTCTATAGATTTTAAATTTAAATGGCTTGGATGTGATGGCTCACGTCTATAATCCTGTAATCCCAGCACTTTGGGAGGCCAAGGTGGACAGATCACTTGAGGCCAGGAGTTCAAGACCAGCCAGGCCAACATGGTGAAATGCCATCTCTACTAAAAGTACAAAAATTAGCTGGGCATGGTGGCATGCCCATGCTCGGGTGGCTGAGGCAGCAGAATCACTTGAACCCAGGTGGCAGAGGTTGCAGTGAGCCGAGATCATGCCACTCCACTCCAGCCTGGGTGACAGAGCAAGACTCTGTCTCAAAAAAAAAAAAAAAAAAAAAAAAGGCAACATACACATACACTATGCCTTTTGCATCTACCTTTTTCTTTTCTTTTCTTTTTTTTTTTTTTTTTGAGACGGAGTCTCGCTCCGTTTTCCAGGCTGGAGTGCAGTGACGCAATCTCGGCTCACTGCAAGCTCCGCCTCCCGGGTTCACGCCATTCTCCTGCCTCAGCCTCCCGAGTAGCTGGGACTACAGACGCCCGCCACCACGCCCGGCTAATTTTTTGTATTTTTAGTAGAGACGGGGTTTCACCGTGTTAGCCAGGATGGTCTCGATTTCCTCCTGATCTTGTGATCCGCCCGCCTCGCCCTCCCAAAGTGCTGGGATTACAGGCGTGAGCCACCGCGCCCAGCCACATCTCCCTTTTTCACTTGGCATAACGGTTTTGAAGTTCATCCACGTTGTTGCACATATCAATAGTTTGTTCCTTTTTACTGCTGAACAGTCCATGCACCAATTGAAGGACATTTGTTTCCAACTGCTATTATGAATAATGCTGCTATGAACATTCACATACATGTCTTGGTGCCAATGTATGTTTCATTTCTGTTGGGTAATTCCTAAGAGCAAAATTCCTAGGTAATATTGTAGGTCTAACTTTTTAAGAAACTACCAAATTGTCTTCTAAAATAAAATATATTTTACATTCCTACCAGCAGTGTATGGGGGTTCCAGTTGTTCCACATCCTTGTCAACACTTCTTATTGTCTGTCTCTTTAATTATACTCATTAAATGGGAACATAAGCATTCTACGGTGACTAGAGTCTACTTTTCAATTTGTAACAGACCCTTTGATGTCTTTAGAAGCAGAAAGGGATGCTTAGTTTCTTGTGTTAGTTAAATAATTATAATAAATAAAAAAGAAACCTGGCACTTGATATGGGCAGGCACCCAGGCTCTGTGCTGACTAGCAGTTTTCTTTCAGCCAGCTGGCCAGTTGCTACTAGTTAGTGATATGTAACCTGGTAAAGCCACATAATTGCTTCAAGCCTCAGTTTTTTTCATCTATAAAATAAGAACACTGGATTAAATTATCTATATGTTTCCTTCCAGCTCTAAAACAAGGAGTCAATTCTGATTATTCTTCTCCCAGAGGCTACTGGTTGTTAAGCTGCTGTTGCTGCTTTCTTTTTTTCAAATGAGACAGGGCCTTGCTATGTTGCTTAGGCTGGTCTCGAACTCCTGAGCTCAAACTTCTCCTCTGCTCCAGCATATTGAAGTAGATTCCTTTAGTTATCTAAGCCTCTCATGGCCTATGATATTATTTCAAAGAAAAACCAGCAAAATCAAGAAAGCCTTTATTCTTTATTTTCTTCTCAAAATGATGGGATTGGCTACTAAGTTATATTTGCAGAGGAAAAGAGAGGAAAGCAAAGAACCCAACATTTGTTGACTGCCCATATACTAGATATGAAATAAACATTTTCATAGTTTTAATATCATAAAACTCATAATCCCTGAGATAGTTCTATAATCGTCATTTTACAGGTAAAGAAGCACAGGCACAGAGTGTAGGCAAATTGCATAATGTTACACAGATAGTGAGTGAAGCTGGGATTCAAGCCCATGTCATCTAGTTCGAAGTTGGATTTTATTTCATTATGCCAACTGAGAATTAAAAAAACAAAGAAGAAACATTTTAGGTTGAGTGCAGTGGCTCATGCCTGAAATGCCAGCACTTTGGGAAGCCAAAGTCAGGGGACTGCTTGAGGCCAGGCATTTGAGACCAGCCTGGGCAAAAAAGACCCTGTCTCCACAAGAAAATAAAAAAAGTAGCCAGGCATGGTGGCATGCGCCTGTAGTCCCAGCTACTTGGGAGGCTGAGGTGGGAGGATCATTTGAGCCCAGGAGGTCAAGGCTGCAGTCAGCCATGACTGCACCACTGCACTCCAGCCTAGGTGCAAAATGAGATCCTGTCTCTAAAAAAATACATAAATAAATAAGCCTTAATGAGCAGGTGGAAGAAAGTGCATGTAAATGTCAACTAATGAGAAAATGTAACAATGGGATTTTACAATGGCCAATTATTACACCTAAATTATACAGCCAACAATTATCTTGTAGTACAAGGCTTCCACTCATTTCCACACTCTGCTGCCATATGTATATGCATACTTCAAACCCTGAGGACCAAGAGTCAAATTGGCAGTTTCAGAAGGAATGTAGAGGAGTGGGATTCCTGCTTATTGAAAAGGCATTTTAATTTTCTCCCACCAAGAAAGGATTGCTCATTCTGAGTACTTGCCCAGATAGTGCAGAGAAAATCCACAGAGACAGTTTTGCTACCCAAGGTGAGAAACTGAGAAGTTCCAGAATTAAACTGGTACATTTTTTGAGTAATAGTTCTGCTTCTCTTGGGTAAGACGAATCTTTACTGATGTCATTGCCACCCACCACCACCTGGTATCTCTGCATGGTGGAAGCCAGAGCAATATATAGAAGGAACGGAGCACTTACAAGAAGTTACAGGGCACTTGGAGGAATTCTCTCAAAGAAACACATTCACAGATTCCACAGTGAATGCCTCCTTAATCTCTGTCTTTAGGAACATTTGATTTATGTGTCTCACACTCCATTTTTTTTGGTAAATGTTTATATGGTCATCGAAAGAGGAAAAAGTAATACTTTTTATCTTTAGAATGTCTACTTTCATTAGTTCTGTTCCTTCTAGAATCAAGCTAAGGAAGCTAAGGGTTGTTCATGCTTAGGTAGAGAAGGTGGTAAAAGGGACAGAGAATGGGAGGTGCAAATACGAATAATATGCTGTGAAATCACTTTTTCTCTTTACCATTGTCAGCACAGCTTCTGGTAATTGGGGATTATTTGAATTTTTAACAACTCAAATAAGACTCAAGTAAGATTTTAAGTCTTCAAATTTTAGGGCTTTAAATGCAATCCTAACTCTGGCAGTAGATTTTACTCAGCTCGTATCATGTATTTAATATCAGTTATCTTTGAATGGGAATAAAAATACTAGTTAACACCACAGGGTCTAAGAGTGAGAGTGAAAATTAGCAAAAGTGACTACATGGTGTTTTGTCGCAACAAATTCTGATTGGTGTCCCTAAGAAAAGCAGTAATAACATTAGCATAGATCGATGTTCTTCCCAAACTATGCTCCAAGTGATATGATTTGGCTGTGTCCCCACCCAAATCTCATCTTGAATTGTAGTTCCCATAATCTCCACATGTGGAGGGAGGGACCTGGTGGGAGGAAATAGAATCACAGAGGTGGTTTCCCTCACACTATTCTTGTGCTAGTGAGTTCTCAAGAGATCTGATGGTTTTATCCCCCTTTGCTTGGTTCTCATGCTTCTCCTTTCTGCCACCCTGTGAAGAAGGATGTGTTTGCTTCCCCTTCTGCCATGATTCTAAGTTTCCTGAGGCCTCCCCAGCCATGCTGAACTTTGAGTTAATTAGACCTCTTTCCTTTATAAATTACCCAGTCTTGGGAACATCCTTATAGCAGCGTGAGAATGAAGTAATACACAAGAGATATTAATTAAGGTGATCTGCTGGGGACAGAACACAACTCCATAATAAAATACGCTTAGGAAACACGAGTAAAATTTCTTTGTGGAACTCCAAAGAGTCTTTAATACAGTATATTCAATGTGCATTATGAGCCTCCAAAAGAGAGATGCTGTGTGTTGTACCACTTGAGCTGCTTGAAAAGAAAAACTTAATCTCAGAAATCTTTTTTAAAACATTTTGGGGAAAGATGGCCCAGAAAAGGCATAGTTCCTTTAGAAGGATGGTTTCCTGGCTATCTGCAGTTCTCTCCATCTCACCCCTCTCCATCTCACACCCATCCTGTCTTTCTAAGATCTCCAAAAAGAATGTGGTCTGATAAATCCATAGAGGATGGAAATATATTGAAAGAAGAATGTCCATGGCCCTTTCTTTCTACATCTGAATTGTCTTAGAGAAGCCTAGAGGGCCAGCCTGATTGAGACACTGGTTAATGGCAGTTTCAGGTAAAAGGGGAATTCTTCTTTAAAAAACAAAACTAACTTGCACAATAACTAAAGGGAAGGCATGGAACTTGTTTGGACCTGAATTCCAACAAGCCAACTGTAAGATGACATTTTGGGGACATGGAAATTTTAAATGCTAAGAAATTATTATTAAATTTGTTAGGTGTGATTATGGTATCTGGTTATATAACAAAATGGCATTTTTAAGAGGCAAACTCATGCATTTCGTGTAAAATATCAAGATGTCTAGAATTTGCTTTAAAATATCTAAAAAAATAGATGTAGCAAATAAAGCAAATGTTAATAACTGTTCAATCTAATGGGATATGTGAGGATTTTTTTTAACAAGTCTTTTTATAGTTTCAAATTTTACATGATGAAAAGTTTTTTAAATACAGATTTCTTAGCCCCAAATCTACCAAATCAAACTCTCTGGAGATTAAGCCTAGGAGTTTGTTATTATTTACCTCCTCTTTTTTTTTTTTATTTTTTAAAATCATATTATCAGGGTTTTTTTGGCTGGGTGCGGTAGCTCATGCCTGTAGTCCCAGCACTTTGGGAGGCCCAGGTGGGCAAATCTCTTGAGCCCAGGAGTTCAAGACCAGCCTGGGCAGCATGGTGAAACCCTGTCTCTACAAAAAATGCAAAAATTAGTTGGGCATGGTGACTCATGCCTGTGGTCCCAGCTCTTGAAAGGCTGAGAAACGAGGATCACCTGAGCCCAGGAGGTGGAGACTGCAGTGAGCTAAGATCATGCCACTGCACTCCAGCTTGAGCAACAGAACAAGACCCTGTCAAAAAAAAAAAAAAAAAAAAAAAGAAATAATTATATGTCATAGTTTAAGGTAACCATAAAATTGTAATAAAAAGCAGTGTTTTGTTTTAGAAACAAGATATTTTCAAGAAAAGAATACAAATAATAACTCTAATCAATTTCTAACATGTATACCCAAATATAAGTTCCTTAGAGTGGAACTGTTTGTGATTAGCATAATAAAGTTACGTACAATACTTCACATACTAAATTACTATCAAATTTCAGCAGTGACAATTTGATGTATCTTTTAAATAATGCAGCGATTAACACAGAAATTCAGTACATGCAGAATCCATGCTATTAATCCATTTCTTCGGTACTTTCAAAAATCTGAATCATATTTTTAAAATGTGATGGCAGGTTTACAGAACATGCCTGTGCATCATGCATGTAGTTCAGACAGTCTGCAAAAAGCAGATCAACGACATGATTAGCCATGTCCTAAGATACAACGTCCACAAATATGGATTTGTGAACTATCTTTTTTCTACATTGAAATGACTATATAACTACATCTTCATACACTGAAGTGTATATAATTGTTTTTTTAAGTGCTTGTCTGTTATCACCTAAAATCATGTGGCATACAATAAGTAGTACTCTTATTACACGTTGGGAGATAGTAACCTAATTTAAGACCAGCAAGAATACATCAGATTCTTTGCTAATAGGGAAGGAAGGAAAAAATTATTCCTCAAGGGAAAGAACTTTGCCATATTTGTATGACTTGTACCTAGCACAGTGTCTAAAATAGGCATGCAATACATGTCTGCGTGAATTAATGAATGAATGCTTATCCTCTCTCCGAATTATCTCTATCCCCTATTCCCAAAACCAATTATTTGTTAAGATGAAGGCTTTGATGAAAGCTCTTAGTCCATGAAAATTAAATTGCTGAGTCTGACCCCTTTGTAGGAAATGTAAAATCATGAAATTCAAGTACTCTTGGGAAATCCAAACAAATTTTCATTTACCAATGTCTATAAAAAAGGAAAAAAAAAAGATAAATTTACTAAAATACATAAATGTTAGCTTTTGACATTTTTTAAAACACTGGAAAAGGAAATAGAAAATTCCCTCTCACAAATTTGGAGGCAGCCTAGTTAGTATAACTTCGAGAATGCAGTCAGAAAGGCCAGGCTTGAACTCTGGCCCTGCCACTAGTTAGTGATATGTACCCTGGTAAAGCCACATAACTGCTTCAAGCTTCAGTTTTTTCATCTATAAAATGAAAACGTTAGATTAAATTATCTATATATTTTTTCCAGGTCTAAAATAGAGTCAATTTTCTGGTTATTCTTCTACCAGAGGCTACTGACCGGTGCTTGGTTGTTAAGCTGCTGCTTTTTTTCTTTTTTTCAAATGAGACAGGGTCTCAGTATATTGCCCAGGCTGGTCCCGAACTCCTGGGCTCCAGTGGTCCTCCTGCCTCAGCCTCCCGAGTAAGGCTTCAACTTCTTTACCAGTATTAAGCAGGCAGAGACCTGGTACTGTGGTTCACACCTGTAATTCCAGCACTTTGGGAGGCTGAGGTACAGAGGTCAGTTGAGGCCAGGAGTTTGAGAACAGCCTGGGAAACACAGTGAGACTCCATCTTCAATTCAATTCAAATAAATAAATAAGCAAGCAAGCTGGGCATATTAGCGTGTGCCTGTGATCCCAGCCACTCTGGAGACTGAGGCAAGAGGATCGTTTGACCTAGGAGTTTAAGTCTGCAGTAAGCTATGATTGTGGCACTGCACTGCACTCCAGCAGGACCCTATCTTTTTAAAACAAAACAAAACAAAAAGGAGGCAGAGTCTAGCTGTGTGCTTTTCAGGGACCCAATGCCATTCTGAATTACAGGAGCCCAAGTACTGGCAAACACAATCTTCAGCATATCAGTAAAAGCCCTTGGTTATCCAATTTTTTAAAAAGTAGATTTAGAAAATAATTTTAAGTGCTCTCATTTAGTTTAACGTTTTAAGTAAATTTTACCATAAGGCAGATTATTTAGCTTTTGAGAACACATTCTCTGCAGTCAGACTGGGTTGAAATCTAGCTTTAGAACTCAGGACAAAGGACTTCTGTGTGTCTCCTATTACCTCATATTTTTAAAAGTGATAAATAAATAATGCCATCTGCTTCACAGATTTGTTGGGAGGTAGAATAAAAAAATACTTGCAAAGTACTCTCTTAAGTAGAATACCTGACATGTAGTAATCACTCAGTAAAGCAGCTATAATTTATCTTTTCCATCGAGGCTTTATGTAGAAAAACACTCCTATTTTCCTGCTAAAGAACACAATAAAACAATCCCGTAGTGTACACCTAGCTCTTTACTCCGTCCTATATATGCTCACATTTGCAGCATGAGTGAGTTATGCAGTGGACAGGTCTATACAAACCTACTCCCAAAGTCCGAGAAAGCGGAAGGCAAAGAAAGAGGCTGACAAATTCAGTTTCTTAGGGAGAAACATTTAATAGGGACTTAGGAGCAGAAGTTGCGTCTGTGTCTTGGGCCTCAGGTGGTGGTGAGACAAGATGGTGGATCCCCGCCCCATTACTCCCCGGAGCCAGGGTTTATATAGGGAAAGGGTATGCATGATTCAGATGGGATGTGAAGGACAATTGAGGTTTGATAACATCAAGGTTGTTTTGACCTAAGGGCAGGATTTAAACAAATTACAAAAGATAAACTGGAAATCTTAGAGTCCTTCCCAGAAAAGGTTTAGTCATTAGTCAACATGGCAGATTAGCATCCAATGGAGTTGCTTTAGCCTTTGTGAGGAAAGCTGGTGGAGATCACTGCCTGACTGTTGGTCCATATTCCTGCCGTAAAGTTCTATTCCTTTCTGCCAATAACTAAATTGCGCTGGCTGGGCAGCTGGAGGAAAGGAGCCCTGTGAAATGCTGACTTGTGTTGAAGATGGCTCAGGAAGTCCCTGGACTCCCTAGCCTCCTCCTGTTTTTGTGAGGCAAATGAGATAATGCTGGTGGATTAAAAACTATAAAATGCTGTCCAAGTGTTAGTTATCATATGAAAGGTTAAATTTGATGATAAAGTTTAGAGGGGAAAAGGCCAGAATGTGGGATGTGACCCCTTAAAGGTCTTCGTTGTTACAAGGTAAGGTGCTTGTTTCCCCGGGGCCACGGAGTTGTTGTTTATAGGTCCCCATTAAGCACTGTGAGAGGGGTGACGTGAGGGGAGAAGCAGGGAGCCCCTTTCCCAAGAGGGCTAAGAAAGAAAAGTAAGGGTGAGGCCACTGTAGAGAAAAAAGACCAGATTCATTCTGAAACATTTTCTCACATTAATAAACATTTTAAGTAAATAGTAATTGTAGGCTGGGCACAGTGGCTCATGCCTGTAATCCCAGCACTTTGGGAGGTTGAGGTGGGAGGATGGCTTAAGCCCAGGAGTTTGAGACCAGTCTGGGCAACACAGGGAGACCCTGTCTCTACAAATAATAATAATTAGCTGGGCATGGTGGTGTACACCTATAGTTCCAACTACGTGGGAGGCTGAAGTGGGAGGATTGCTTGAGCCTGGGAGGTCAAGGCTGCAGTGAGTTGTAATCCTGCCACTGCACTCCAGCCTGGGTGACGGAGCGTGACCCTGTCTCAAAAAAGAGAAAAAAACTGCATTTCACATTTAAAAAATAAATCTTCATTTTTCTTTAAAATAATTGGCAGAAAATTCTACCTAAGGAAAGGAAGAAACATTTTGAATAAAAACCATTACATCAAAATCCTTGAAAAATTGATTTTATTCTGTAATTGATTTATGTGCTCCCATATTTAGTATGTAAATAATGTCAAATATATGTCATTCTTTTATTTTAGGATCACATTGTTGATACACACAGGCACACACACACACACACACACACACACACACACACATATATTTGGAAGTAAGAAGCATGCTACCACTGGCTAGGAATAGTTGGGGGAGGGGGTAGGAAACTGACCTAGAGCAAATGGCATCTTATCAGCGCAGATACAATTAGCAACATTTTACTGTACCACACATACTTGCAATGCAGTGTATCTAAAAACAAACTTAAAGGAAATGGAGAACAGAAAAACATTTTCCCCAGTTAATTTCTATAAGTCACAAGAAGGATTTCATTATAAAGTAGGAATTACAAACAGTAGGGGCAAAAAAGTAAGGAATAAAGATTAAATTCACAAAACAAGTTGGTATCTTTACCTTTTCATGACTGTGATCCATAAATCCAACTAAATCAGTTTTTTCAAGTCCATTCCAATTTAACTCATCTTCTCTGGATCCCCCTAAAAGATTTTAATGGCTGGCTTGTCTCGAAACTCAGGGACATTTATTTGTGAGTTCTCCAAGATGCTGAGTAAGACGGCAATCTTTAAGAAATAAAGTCTGCCAAGCGTGGTGGCTCACGCCTGTAATACCAGCACTTTGGGAGGCCAAGGTGGAAGGATGGCTTCAGCCCAGGAGTTTGAGACCAGGACCAGCCTGGACAACACAGTGAACCCTTGTGTCTACAAAAATTTACAAAATTAGTTGAGTGTGGTTGCATAAGCCTGTAGTCGTCACTACTTGGAAGGCTGAGGTGGGGGGATCACGAGTCCAGGAGTTTGAGGTTGCAGAGAGCTATGATCACACCACTGTATTCCAGCCTGGATGACAGAGCAAGACCTTGTCTTAAAAAAAAAAGTTTGCCAAATTCCTTCCATGGGTAATAAGCTGAGTGAGAGCGGATAGCATAGTGCCAATCCCCAATGCCAGTGCAAACAGTAACTCTGTCCCTACTACTCCATTGAGACTGGGAGCCTCCAGATGTGGGTGGTTCCGCATTGTTCACATTCCTCCTGGAGACACTTACTGCCGGGCTACTGCTCCGGGAGCCACAGCTGACAGATGAGCCTCTTGTTCCATGCTAGATTTTACAACCTGGCTCCCGCAATGATAGGGACTGAAGGCAAAGGTGATTCCAGGGGACTGTCAGTCAGCTCCCCATTTGTGACCCAGATTGTCCAACTTTCTCCTTTATACTGAGTGTATGGCTCAAATGAAGCAATTAGAAACTTGAAGGACAAAAGCTGAGTTGCAGATGGAATGTAGAGGGGTGTAGCAACCTATCTGAGAACTTTGATCATTCTTTTTTAGTCTGATCAATTTAAGACACAGTAGAGCTTACACTGTTGGAATGGAAGAGGTGTCATCCAACACTGCCCTATTGACTCCTTCTTGCCAAATGACCTCACATAATTCCTTGTAATTATTTTTAAATGTTCTACCCACTAGAAATGGGCTAAGAATTTTGTTCCCAGTCCTTCCTGTTCCATATACATATCTAAGTTTGAATCAGTTTGAGCAGGGACATATCTTGGGTTCTTCTCCCGGTTTTCTGATACATAGTTTTTGCTGTCCGAAAATCAGCCACTCTCTGCTAAGAAAGTGGACACTTCAAGTGTCAGGATTTTTTTTTTTTATTAAAACTAGGTGTTCCCATTTTTTGCCACAGGACTTTTCTTTTCCTTTGTTTTTTAAAAAATTATTTACATACTTCTCTGCCGAGTTCACACACAAAAATAATTATTACATCCCAGCACTTTGGGAGACTGAGGCGGGCGGATCACGAGGTCAGGAGATCGAGACCATGCTGACCAACACGGTGAAACCCTGTCTCTACTAAAAATACAAAAAATTAGCCGGGCGTCGTGGCAGGCGCCTGTAGTCCCAGCTAATCGGGAGGCTGAGGCAGGAGAATGGCGTGAACCCGGTAGGCGGAGCTTGCAGCGAGCTGAGATTGCGCCACTGCACTCCAGCCTGGGTGACAGAGCAAGACTCCATCTCAAAAAAAAAAAATAATTATTATTATTAAACTCCACTATTAATAAGCTACTAACTTTGGGTAACTTGTCTGTTTTCTGGTTTCATTATTTGTAAAATAGGAATTATGATGGTACCTATTTCATGATGTGCTGTTATGACTAAATTAGATAATAAACCTAAACTTGGCATAGCATCTAAAACACACAGTAAACAGTAGATGATCAGCTGTCATTATTTTAAATGATTATTTCAAATGCGTTGCATTCCTGGAAACCACCCTTTTGAACTTGTCGTTCATAGAATAAAACAGTATCTATCCATGCAACCTCGTATTTATCTATGAGCCAAAGCCCTTAGTGGGTCAGTACAGTGGAGATGAAATATGTCCCTAAATATATGTAAAATATAGAGATATCTATTAGGCAGCATCAAAAGAGCAAGCTATGAATGGGAAGGAGTAGAAATTGGGATGCCTGTATATCCTGTTCAGTCTGTATTCCATTTTCTTTGAGCTGCCCTTCAGCATATTTATGGAAATGTTAATTAAGAATATGATTCATGTATACATTATTAGGTTGATGTAGAAGCTTCTGGGGACTAGATGCAATTATGTTATTCACTAAGACTGGTAGGTTCCAGTGCTTTCTTTAGTTGAATGACTTCTTATTGACCAAATTAATAATTACAGTTTTAGTTATTCCATTAACATCCCAGAAAATTAAAAACAGGCAGTCCTTCCCCAATCTGAATTAGATGCACTGACGTCAATGTCCTTATTGTGACAAAAAGATTACTAATCACATTTTACCACATTCCTCCCCCTCCACGTTTTTATTCCTTGGAAGGTAAGGATAGAGTTACAATACCTAAAGCATTTTGGGGCTTCAAATTAAACATTTCAGAAATATTTTAGATCTGGCCTCTTCATTTAAAACTTGTTTTAGTATAAGCATCAACAGGGCAACTACCTGTATGTCATGAATGGGTATCAAAATCATTTGGATCTTTTTGCTGATATTTTAATTGGAGATTCCTGGCCCTGTCACCAGTTCTTAAATGGTACTGATACATTGCCAAGTTTGGAAACCACTGTCTAAAAGCAATCAGCTAATAAGTCTAAGTGGAAATCAGGCAATATTTGAAAAAGGTGCTTAATGATCCCGTTTACAACTATTCTTCTTGGGTTTTGTCTTCATGAGAATTTGAGTATATTTGAATTCATAATTATATATTCTTTATTGTAAATGCTAGTGATATGATGAACAATAAAAGTATAAAAATAAGAAAATGGCTTTAATCCATATGAATCTGATTGGTTTGATTTATACAAACAATTCTTGATAGCCCTAATAATCATTTCAATGTTTACTTCTACATATTTGGCAGTAGCTATTTGTTTAAAACACACATAGTTTCATCTATTAAATATATTTCTACTAAACCACTTAAAAATAAAATTTAGCAAATTATTTAAGTAATGATAATTTTCCATGGTAAGAGCTAATATCCACTAACTTCTGGTTAAATTTTGGAGTTTATACTTTATTAACATAACTTTCCTTTTTTTTTTCTTTTTTGACAGAGTCTTGCTCTGTCACCCAGGCTGGAGTACAGTGGCACGATCTCAGCTCACTGCAACCTCCACCTCCCAGGTTCAAGCAATTCTCACGCCTCAGCCTCCCAAGTAGCTGGGATTATAGGCGATGCCACCACACCCTGCTAATTTTTTGTATTTATTTATTTATTTAGTAGAGAGGGGGTTTCCCTATGTTGGCCAGGCTGGTCTTGAACTCCTGTCCTCAAGTGATCCATTCGCCTTAGCCTCCCAAAGTGCTGGGATTACAGGTGTGAGCCACCATGCCCTGCCTATTCTCCTCCTTTAAGACTTAATTTTTGTTCAATAAATTGATTCTTCATTGCTATTAAGTGAAAAGCTTAGGTTTCCAACTTTTTTCTTTTGGGTCTTCACTATTGTTTAATTGGGATTAAGATAAATCTTATCCTACCTCTGTTGAGAAAGAGTCTCCTATTTACCTTTCCCCTCAAAATCTCTACATACTAAAAAAGAAGGTGATCTAGGACGAGATAAAATGTGTACTGAACGTCTTGGGGCTGTGGGAAGATCCAAATAAAGTTAGGGGAACGGTGGAGGCAGAAACTGAGTCCAAATATCTCACTCTTTAGGTCCCAAAGACATGATCCTTCACCTCCAGCAACTTTTCAATAGACACTTGGCAGGCTCAGCCAGCATCCCCCAGATACTAACTGCCCTGACTCACAGGGCACCTCAATGTTCCAGTCAAGTTCACCCTTTCGATCAGTGGCTTTCAAGTCGGGGCAGCAATTCTTTGTTGTGAGGTTCTGTCCCCTGTGTTGTAGGACGTTGAGCAGCATCCCTAGCCTCTGCTTGCTGGAAGCCTACAGTAGCACTGTCCCTCCTCCCCGCTTTCCCCATAAAGCTGTGACACCAAAAATACCTCCAGACATTGCCAAATGTTCTCGTAGGGGCAAAATCACCCCCTATCCAAGGACCACTAGAAGTGACAAAATATGGCTTTGAAGGTTCCCTTGTCTCACGATTATCTCCCACCTTACAGATGCCAAAATTTATTAATAAGGCCACGTACCTTTTGTTTCACAATCATAGACTTAAAGGCTTAAACTGTAGGTACTAGTTTGAGGTGATTTTGGTGGGATTTCAGTGAAAGTACAACTAGTCAGTCATTAATGGCAAAGGGTTGGTTTTCAGAACCTTTCTGAGTCTGCTCAGAAGGGAACATAGTGAGAGAGAGAGAGGGTTTTCAACATCTGAAGTGGGCTACTTTTTAGAAAAAGGAGGCCAGAGGCCGGGCATGGTGGCTCACGCTTGTAATCCCAGCACTTTGGGAGGCCAAGGTGGGGGCATCACCTGAGGTCAGGAGTTTGAGACCAGCCTGGCCAACATTGTGAAACCCTGTCTCTACTAATAATAGAAAAATTAGTCAGGTGTGGCAGAGCACACCTGTAATGCCAGCTACTTGGGAGACTGAGGCAGAATTGCTTGAACCCGGAGGTGGAGGTTGCAGTGAGCCGAGATCACGCCATTGCCCTCCATCCTGGGCGACAAGAGAGAAACTCCATCTCCTAAGTAAATAAATAAATAAATAATACAAAGGAGGCTAGAGACTAAGAACAAACTTCCAAAGCTTGATTACTTTACCTGGAATTATTTGTCCCTCTGTCAAACATGTTCCTGGTGCCTCATCAGGTGTGGTGCTAGATGTAGTATGAAATATACAGTCACTTCAGCATTTCTGTAGGAGGAAGATGGCCTAGGGCATGGTGAGATGTTAAATATTTTAGAGGAATAATTTGAATGTAAAGCTCCAGGACTAGAGATTAGGTTTTGTTTACCTGTGTCCCTAAGACCTAGTATACAATACTTAATAAGTATCTGCTAAATGAATCAACAAATCAATGATGGAGAAAGCCCTAAAAGAGCCAGGGGAGCAGGGGATACAGAGCTTTGGTAGGAGGAGATTAACTGAGAAGAGTCAGGAGAGAATGGCCTAGGAGAAAGATACGGAAAAATCTGTAGGTGGAAAGGACTGAAGCTCTAGGGAGAAAATGCCTGACCAAGTCTGTACCAGAAGCAAGGCAGTTTAGGGACAAAGGGCATGAGCTTAGAGTCAGATTTCCTAGGTTCAGATCCAAGCATCACTACTTATTTTCTTTAAGAACTTGGGCATCTGTAAACCAGGGATAATATCTTCTTCAAAGGGCTGTTGTGAAGATTCAACAAGGTAATACATATAAACGTCACAGATCAGTGACCAGCAAGAGTAAGGCTCGGTTGACCATTGAGAGTGGCAGGATTTCAGAGTGGGATGAGGAACCTGTGGAGAGTCATAAACATGTGAACAGTCACTGTGTGATGAAAAGGAAAGACAGCCAGGCAGGGATGAATAAAAAGTTGACCCAACAGCTATGAGTGTTTCACTGACCAAACTGTTGTCTTGGTGATGTGACTAATCAACTCATTTATTCAATTTTCTTTAGGCTTCTTCAATGTCTTTAAAGCAAAATGTAAGAAAACGGATGATTGAGTTGACCTGAATTTTGGGATTGTTAAGAAAGCTGGATTAGAAGGTCAAAGGGATTGGGACACGAGACCACTCAGCGATTAAACTGAAAAGGAAAGAAGTCAAGCCAAAAAACGGCTAATAAACTGAAAGAACAGGGAGGGGTTTGGGGACTGAAAGTCTAGGGGGAGATGGTGACAGTGGCAGATGTGGTGGACAGAGTAGTTTCCAGTCCAAAGGTTCAGAGATGGAGCAGCTCCAGGAAACACAAGGTGCAGTTAAACCTTGGATGGAGGTGGCGGAGGCTGAGCAAATGGAGGCAAGGCCACACATTTTTCCTTGTTCAACTCAAACTATTCTGTTCCCAAGCGTATCTCATCAAAATGTTTTGTGAGCAAAGAATTCAACAATAACCACTCTAGTAAAATCCTGCTAATAAACTTCTTAATATCTTGAAAAGCTGGAGGATGTATAGTTAAGTATAGTTTCACTTTAGTTGAATGATTTCTTATTAAGAAATTAATAATTACAGTTTTAGTTATTCAATCAACATCACAGAACATCAAAAATAGGTAATCCTTCCCAAATTTGAATTAGATCCACTGATATCAATGCAGGGGGAAGGCTAAAAATAGAAATAAAATATACAATAAGGAACATCAATAGAATATTAATTATACCATACATTGACACTTGAAAAAAATAAACATTACGTGAACTGAGTGATATAAGGTGTCCCATTCAAATCAACCAAGGCTTCTTAAGGGATAGATCATTTTTCATCAATACCTGAGATATCCGGCCCAGAAGCTTCTCAAAAAATGTTAATCCTTTTCTGTTCTCATCTCAGTGCATCTCAGATTTCTCTGCCTCACCCTTCACACACACACACACACACACACACACACACACACTCACTCACTCTCTCTCTCTCTCTCTCCCTCCCTGATCTCTACGTGTAATTTATGGGATTCATTCATTCAACAAATATGTGTCAGATACTGTTCTAGATGAATGGGGCCATAGCAGTTAGAGAGATTTTAGATCTGTGCTCACGTGAAGCTTAAATTCTAAAAGGAGAGACAGTTAACATATTCATAAATCAGATAGTAAAATGTGCTATAAAAATAAGTGATGTGTTAATATTTCACAATGATTTGTATATTAAGTCTGTATTGTACATAAAACTATCATATATTAATGTGTCTCCTCATTATCCTTTAAATTGGGGTATAAGTGTGACAAAATGATCCAATATGGACTATTTGCAGAACAGAAAATCACTAAAAATGCTGATTCTGTTTTTCTGCTCAAGAAATCACATGGAATGTATGGCTTAATTATATAGGAATAACAAATATATAAAAATGTTTTTACAAGAGAGCGTATTTCCTCGCCCCCAGTCTTCCTCTTGAAGCTAAATCTAGTTAAGAGTGCTATTGGCCAGTACTTTCTTTTCTCCATACATGTCAAAAGTAAACATCTGAATCTGGGGTCCTTTGAGACCAATCTTCCAATCCATAATTTCTAATTCAATCTCCATGATCTAATTAGCAGTGTTCTTTCCTTGAAGAACTGAAGTATAAGAAGTCTGTTTAGGCTAATAGAATAATTTATTAGGCTACCTTTGAAAATGAAAAATCTAACCACTACCTTGCCTGTAGAAAACTTTCTTAATATTTTCTGGCATTTGGTTTCATAGCCAAGCCAAATCAAAATGAATGCAGATTTTGTTTCTAACCTAGAATCAGGTGAGAGGAGAAACAGCGATCTTATGTCGGGTGTTTCAAGGTACTGTCTTCCTTTCATCCAACCAGTTAGTATAGCTAGCACATCAGCATCTTGTTTTATAACCAAATCCCAACCACCATGGACAGGTAGGGTGTCCCTTGGAGGCTGCACCAAGTCCTTTAGCCTCAGTGAACTTCCCATGAAATTCCAGAGCTAGGAGAGCCTTTTTTTCTTCTTCTTCTTGAGACAGTGTCTTACTCTGTCACTCAGATTGAGTGCAGTGGCATGATCACAGCTCACTCCAGCCTTGACCTCCCGGGCTCAAGTGAACCTCCACCTCAAGTGAACCTCCTGAGGAGTAGCTGGGACCATAGCTGCAAGCCACTCCGCCCAGCTAATTTTTTATTTTTTTATTTTTTATTTTTATAGAGATAGGGTTTCACTATGTTATCCAGGCTGGTCTCGAACTCCTGGGCTCAAGCGATCCACCTGCCTTGGCCTCCCAAAGTGCTGAGATTACAGGCAGGAGCCACCACATTTGGCTTAGGATATCTTATTTGTACTTTTACTCATGATTCTTTCTTAAGCAATCAAAAACAAGTTCAAAGGCACATTTGTTATGCTTATAACCTACCCAGGGTAACTAAATTAAAACAGAATGGACAGGTTTCATAAATGCTCTTTGCCAGTGGAACTTTTGTTGGTATTCTCAAGAAAGCCAGCATTGGCCAGGCTGTACATGCGTATTCTGAAAGACAGATGTTCACCCCTCCCACTGTTCCAGTTCAGTATGTCTTAGGCACACATTGATATCACAAAACACTGAAGAGAGGCCGGGTGCGGTGGCTCAAGCCTGTAATCCCAGCACTTTGGGAGGCCCAGGCAGGTGGATCATGAGGTCAGGAGATCGACACAATCCTGGCTAACACAGCGAAACCCCGTCTCTACTAAAAATACAGAAAATTTGCTGGGGGTGGTGGCACGCGCCTGTAGTCTCGGCTACTCGGGAGGCTGAGGCAGGAGAAACGCTTGAACCCAGGAGGCAGAGGTTGCAATGAGCCGAGATCGCGCCACTGCACTCCAGCCTGGGCGACACAGCGAGACTCCATATCCAAAAAAAAAAAAAAAAAAAAAAAACCCACTGAAGAGAACCTCAGTGGCCCAAGACCTCCATAATGTTATCACTAGTGTTTCAAAGGAATCCTCTGAGAATATTATCTCAGATAATCAGAGCGTGCCTGAGACATAAGTCAAAGAGTAACCAGTCTGTCACCAGATAGATTGCTGCTTCCTTTCTTCTTGCGTATCCTAATGGGAGTGGAGGGAATTGCCTCCCAACTCTGGGGTAAGCTTTTTTTTCCCCCAGGTTTTCAGTGAGTGATCAAAGAATCAGAGCTGCAAAACTACTCTGGAACCTTTAAGACCCATTGTATATCACACAAACAGAATACATGAGTTAAGTTTCATACTGTAGGGAATCCACCCTTTGTCCTGCCCTTCTGCTTGACATTTTTCTGTACTAGAGCTCTTCTATCTTCAGTCTTCTGTATAAGGTAAAGTCTCATGCATAAGGCAGCAATCCCATGTTTATACATAATTCCTCAACTATATTTTAGTTAGTAGCAGTATCCCTTAACCTAGCACTGCCTTGCCGCTATGCCTTTCAACTCCAAGACGCCAGTGTAATTCTCTACGATGGGCCCTCTCTCTACATTGTGCAACACCTTCCCAAGAGCAAGGGGCAGGGTCTGGCCCTTCCAGCCTTATCAAACCTTTCTTATTACATCTGGAGTATTCTAGTATTCAAGCCCTCAAGGAATGGGAATTGTGATGTTTGTGGTGAAATTAAAGCCATAATAGAATGGAAACAAAGTAGTTCTTTAAATACATCCCCTGTAAACCATATTAAAATGAAACTTTGACCCTGGATAATCAAGTTATTCTACTTTTACATATTTTTTTTTCAAAATTTGATGATCAGGAGAATAGAATTTAATGAATTTAATTTTTTCAACTCTGTATTTCTATAAATTGGGTAAAAGTAAATCTTCTTGAGTTAGATTGCTACATAAGCCCCGTGCTATGCTGCCTCTGAAAAATAATTATGCGTATTCCTGGTTAGGGGCTCCCGGTGTATGGTAATTAGACAGCTGGGTTAAATGAATGATAATCAATTTTCCTGACTTTTCTTAAGCATTAAAGTCTCTTTGGGTACTTTATTTTACTAGCTGAGAATAATAAAAAGAGCATTTTAAATGTTAGGCAGTGAAAATCAGGACCATAACACTAAACTATTTAAGTTTCCATGTGAGATTATTTTCTTTCATTAGCTACAGGGACATCTAAAACCTTAAAGTAGGACTTAATTAAATTTATTTTGTTTGTTTAAAGTACTTTTTGTTTTGCTTTTAAAATGAATCTCAGTAATTACCAAAAAGAAAAATGAACTTAATTTCTTTATTATGACCTTCAGCCAGAATGATGAACGGTATTTAATTCTGGAAAAGTATTCTTTAAAAGCCAGTATGTTAAATCACTGACTTCTCTCTTAGACTAGAACTTACATATCAGCATTAAAACATACTCTGAATGCTGGATAGCCCTGATTTATTATTATTATTAATTAATTAATTTATTGAGATGGAGTTTTGCTCTTGTTGCCTAGGCTGGAGTGCAATGGCGCGATCTTAGTTCACTGCAACCTCCGCCTCCCAGGTTCAAGCGATTTTCCTGCCTCAGCCTCCTGAGTAGCTGGGATTACCGGCATGTGCCACCATGCCTGGCTAACTTTGTATTTTTAGTAGAGATGGGGTTTCTCCATGTTGGTCAGGCTGGTCTCGAACTCCTGACCTCAGGTGATTTGCCCACCTCCGTCTCCCAAAGTGCTGGGATTACAGGCATGAGCCACCGCGCCCAGCCAATAAGCCTGAATTATACAAAAGATAAAAATAATTTTTTTTCTTCTAATATGCTAATCTTAATTGTCAACATACTATCCTGGTGTCTAGAAAATACCTGTAAAGGAATGTGAATTACAGCAGTTCTTATCTCATTTTCTATATTACTGTGTTCTTTACACCAAAATGTACAAATACCACCTACCAAAGTTTACACCTCTCAAAATAAGGCTATGGCCATCATGCTTTAAAAGCATGGCTCTGTGTGCTTGTTCACTCTGTGTCCTCTGCCATATGCCTACACTTAAAATAACCTGGGGATATTTAAAACATTCCAAAGCCCAAGCCATACCACAGACCAATTAAATTATATGCCTGAGACACAGGCATCAATAGTTTTTGAAAGTTTCTAGGTAATTCCAACGTGCTTGCAAGTTTGAGAGCACTGTCTCAACCAACTTGTTCTCAGGCAAACTTCTGTTTATCCTTCCCTTCTCAGTTCACAGGGGATGTTTGATGCTCTCCCTCCCTAGGCCTTCTCACTATTCTTCCTGCGTATCTCTACCATAGCATGAACTAACTATGTTGTAACTGTTAACTCACGTGTCTGTTCCCCTAATCTACTATAAGATTAAGGAGTATTTTTATTTTTGAATCTCTGAATCTAACCCTTTGCCTGGTGCATGGGAGAACCCAATAAATTCATAGAATGAATAACCTGTTCCTAAGAAAAACAAAAGCAAAAATGTAGAGTTGTGTTAATATTTAAATGCCATGGAAAAAGTAATTGCTTAGGATGTGTTTAAAATAATGTTTCCCTGGTGGGCAATGTCCCATATTTAGAAAAACATCTCATCATATTAGTGAAAATAAAACATCCCAACATTAAGAAGAAACATAAAATATAACTTTGAATTATTACCCACACAGTTGCATTCTTTATTGTAATAAGCACAGAAAAACGTTTTAAACGTTTTCTGTGATAAGAAATATCTAAAACAACACATCCTTTCTCAGCTCCCCTTCCATCTTTACTAGATTATGTATTACTTCCCCAATCAGTCCTTTCAGAATTTGATGATGTTACAGGAGTTTATATAACTGATTTTAAGAGTTTAAAATACTTAGTTTGCAAAATATTTTAACTAAGAGTCTCTGTTTAATGTGGTATTTATACTGTTAATATTATCACTATGATTCAGAAAATATTCACATAGTGAATTTTCCTACAATATAATTCTGGACAACAAGCCCACTCTTAAACACACTTTTTTTTTTAAACTGTTCCAAATATTTTGCTATTTGTTTTACCTAATTATATTTGCAGCAATGTTTCACGCCTACCAATATGTTGTTGTTTATCTGTTAGATTTTGATTCATGAAACCTGAAAATAAATCAGATTTAGGAACTGTTTTCCAAGATAGTGATATATTATTCATTTATCTAATTTATCTTTACACATGAAATGCCGGATTATCTCAGTAGGTACCAAATTAATTTAAGACCTTACCAAGTAGTATACAATATGCACTCATTCTGATGCATATAAAAGACAAAAATGAGAAAAAAAGTGCAATCCTCTACCTTTAAATGCCTACACTGTCCTCAACTATTGTTATCCAATTTTTAACTTTAGTACATTAAGTACAGCTACATTTTTTTTTTTCTTTTTCAGACAGGGTCTCACTCTGTCACCCAGGCTAGAGTCCCGTGGTGTAATCATAATTCACTGTGGCCTCAACCTCCTAGGCCCAAGCCATCCTCCCACCTCAGCCTCCTGAGTAGCTGGGGCTACAGGCATGGGCCACCATGCCCGGAAAATTTATTTATTTTTTATTTTTAGTAGAAACAAGGTCTGGCTATGATGCCCAGGCTGTCTTGAACTCCCGGCCTCAAACGATCCTGTCACCTCGGCCTCCCAAAGTGCTGGAGTACCGCTAATTTAAAAGGCAGTCATTGAAACATATTTCTTGTTCTCTTTTGCATCATGGAGTTATGACTTTAAATCATAAGTACAGTATCCTTAGAAACTGCCCAGTTTTATCAGAAATAAGTTCTGAATGTATTGTCAATTGTGAAAAGACAAAAGATCACAGTTCCTAATATTCAGTTCTAATGGCATGGTTCCCCAAAATGTAAAAGCTGTGACTGAGACAATTATTTCAAGAGAGCTTCAGCTGTAAATAAACACAAAACTGAATTCCTTTGCCATGCAAACAAGAGGCACACTTTCAACCAGTAACAGCTGGCTTCATATATTCATCTTTGGATGAAAAGAGCAGGGCAGTTTTTTTTTTTTTTTTTTTTTTGAGACGGAGTCTCGCTCTGTCGCCCAGGCTGGAGTGCAGTGGCGGGATCTCGGCTCACTGCAAGCTCCGCCTCCCGGGTTCACGCCATTCTCCTGCCTCAGCCTCCCAAGTAGCTGGGACTACAGGCGCCCGCCACTACGCCCGGCTAATTTTTTGTATTTTTAGTAGAGACGGGGTTTCACCGTTTTAGCCGGGATGGTCTCGATCTCCTGACCTCGTGATCCGCCCGCCTCGGCCTCCCAAAGTGCTGGGATTACAGGCGTGAGCCACCGCGGAGCAGGGCAGTTTTAAAGTTGACTTCTGAGAGCATCAGATTTTGGATAGTGTCCTTTCTCAGGTCCTGTTTCCTTGTCTCCTCATCCCATTTTAAAAGCCAGACACATAAACCCCGGCACTCCTTTAGCGAAGGGCTCAGTGAGGGCGTTTTTGCCACCCGTGGCCAGGGGTCATTGGGTCAGCAAAGTCAGAGGAAACCTAGAAAGGCAGAAGCCCAGGAGGTTGACGCCCTGCGGGTCTAGGGGCCAGGTGCTGGGTGTCTCTCCTTTCGTGTGCGGTTCCCAGCAGCAGGTCCTGGTGGGCGCAGACTGACCGGAGAGGTGTGGCTCGCCCCCTCCCCAGACCCCGAGGTGGCAATGAAACCTCCATCTCCTGGCTTGATTCCTTGTGCTATAAAAAATCTTCCACTGGCCCTTTGCATCTCTCGCCCTCCATCCCCCAAAGCCACTATCGGGAGGGGACAAAAATAATTTCTGAGGGGCCATGGGCACTAAAACCACAGCAGACAGAGGCTGTGTCTACCTGAGGAACTGGAGAGGTAGAATTAGAGGGGGAGGCTGGGCATCCTCGGCGGCGCCCCCTCCATCCAGCGTGAAACCCACGAGGCGCGGCGTCTCGAGTGGCGGGCGGGCAGGGGGCTGCAGGATTCACGAAGCCACCTCCGCCGGGGACCGCCTTCTCTCGGAGTGGCCTCCCCTCCGGCGTTCCGCTTTAGTAAGACGACACTCAGGCCAAACAGCCGCCCCCGGCCAGCCCGACTCGGCTCTGGAGGGAGCGCCCCGAGGGAGTCCAGCCGGAGGCGGAGAAGGCCACTCGGCCAGAAGGTGGGGAGCCGCCGGCGTCCCCTCGCACCTCCGTCTCCACAGCAGGGGGAAAGGCCCTGATCGCCGTGGTCCACACCACCGCGTCCACCTGAGGCTCGCCTCGCTTCCTGGGTCCCTAGAGGGGTGGCGTACTCCGCTTTCTCCTGCCCCCAAGTGGCCGCACCCCTCCGCGGGACGCTTGGTTGGGTCCAGGGCGGGGCGGGCGGGCGCTCCCCGTACTGCCGCGAGCTCAGCGCGCAGCTCCCGCGGCTCGGCTGCCGCCGCGGCCAGTTGGGGCGGGTCGGGGGCGGGGTCTCAGGGGGCGGGGATTCGGGGGGGCGGGTCGGGTCGGGAGGCGTGGGTGGGGGGCGGGGCGGACGCGGAGCGCCCCTCTGGCTGGCGGGGCCAAGGGGCTGAGAGGAGTGGGGCAGGCTCGGCGCCGGTAGGAAGAGTCAGAGGGGTGACCAGAGAGCCCAACGCCTGGTGCTCAAGACTTTCTCCGAGGTATGAACAAGAACCAGGCGTCTGGGCCCTTTCCGCTCGCCCCATCGCTCAGCCGCCGCGCCCCGGACGCCCGCTGTGCCCCCTGCCGGCGGGGCGGCGGCGGGACTGGGTTTCGGGAGGGTTTCTGGAAGTCGCGAGTCCCAGCGAAGGCAGTGCACCGCTCTCCGCCTCTTTCTTCGCCTTCTTCTCGCTCCCTTAGCTCTGGGTGTCGGGCACCGGTGGTAAGGTCGCTTCTCCGTGAGTCGGAGGTCGCTCACTCTGGGACGGGCGGACGAGGCCCTAGGGCAGCCGAGCCCGGCAGCGGGGGAGGCGTGGAGCTCGGGGCGGCTTCAGCGGCGGGGGCGGGAGGCTGGTCCTGGCTGCAGACTGCGCGCCTGGGCTCCGTGCGCGGTCCCTGGTTCTCTGCATCGCGGAGGTCCCCGGATCACAGGGCTCCCTGGCGGGCCCCGGCACCCAGGTCTGTGTCGCTGTGGCTGGGCGCCGGGACTAGCACCCGAGTCCCGCGCTCCCGGGGGCTGCGCCGTGCCGCCTGTTGTGCGCGCGCAGAGGCCGGACAGCCCGGCTGCGGGAAGGGACCCGAGCGCAGGGTCTGCCCCGCGTCCCGGAAAGTGCCTAGTCTGCGGAGCCGGAGGTTGAGCTGGGGCAGATCGGCGCCAGACGGGGGCCTGGGTGAGATACGAGTTGGGGGTGCGGCCTGCAGAATTTGGGTTTCTGGAGGAGCTTACGGCGCGCTGGCGGAGCCCCAGGCGAACAGGAGCACCGGATTCGGCTCCGGGAGGGCCAGGCACTGTCAGGTATGGACAGCTGCGGTCCACCCGTGTAAGTGTAAAGTCTACAGAGATTAAAACAACACCTCGAGTCCTGGGACAGCATAACCTAATGGTGCGGGCGTTTTCTTAAAGGCACGAATAGATGGGAAAATGTCAAAATAAGCATATTTTAAAGTTGAAAGCTGGCAGATTTTCAGGCCGTGTAGTTGTGTAGCTAGTGTCCAAAGAAATATTAGCTCGTTTTCCCCCTTAACACCTTTTCATTTTTATTTTTTTACGCAAAATCTGTTTTGCCAGTATTTCCCTCAGGAGCTGTGCATTGCTCACAGCAGGGAAGGAAAACTTCAGCAAGCGTTCTCAGGTTGCTTCTGACTTCCAGCCTGTGCTCTCCAGCATTTCTGAATGTGGAGAAAAAGTATCTCTTGCTGGATTTTCCGAGTATGATTCCCTTCTGTTCTTCTCTGGGACCGGGCAATGTTTGTTTATGGGTTTTATAAGCATCTATTTAAATTTAGTTTTTGCACGAAATACTCCCTCTTGCCACAGGGTGTAGTTTGGGGTTTAGAAAATGCTGTTGGAGAAAGCTGCTAGTGGCTTCATTTTCCAAGAATGTAAGTCATTTCCTTTCTGTGATTTCAGGGAGTTGATATTTCACAGCATCAAAACTTTGTGGGGAAAATTTTCCGTAATACATCTGTCATTAAAAAGGCTTGTGACTTTTGGGTTTCCTTCTTAGAGCAGTGCATGAATTTAGGTTCAGCAGTGTTAAAGGATGAGAAATTTTTTTTTAGAATTTAGAGCATTATGAGACTATTGTAGAAATTTTAACTACCAGGACCTACAGGATGGAGAGTGGGGGAGGGGAGAAGACCAGAAGAGAGGCAGGAAAACAGATGCCTTTGCTGATGTCCTTTGTAGTATAAAACTTAACAGCACCACAGCACCTAATCATTTTCTCAGGTGTGGCTTTGAGAAATAAACGTTTTATGTTAAAAATGAAAATACTTCACAATATGAGACAGCTGGCATTTGAATACTTTTCCCAGTATGTTTGTAAACATTTTGGATTCATATTTCATATTAAAATGGACATTTAGTAGGATTATTAGATGAAAAGGGTCCCCCAGGGGATATCTAATATCAAATTATCTGCAGGACATCTTCTCCAGAAAGCAGACTGACTGTAATATGAACTAATTTTCCCCCCTTTGAGTTGCTTGCAAGAATCTCTGAGATCTGACACTGATGGGCTACAGTAATCAGCAGTTCTTGCAGTACTCAAGACATTTTAAGGGGCAGGAAATCTTTCCTATTTCCAGTATCTCCTTTTTGGGGGCAACAAGGGTAAGCTGCTAGTTTTAAGTACATAATTTGAACTTAGAGATTTAAGATGCTCCTGGCTGTACAGGAAAACGCCTGAAAACAGCATGGGCCTGGATGAAGACGCTGCTTTTGAAAGCAAAATGCCAGTGTGCTAGGTAGCGGTTTTTAGTTACAAATTCTTAAAAAAAATTGTTACTGAACTAGGTTAGCTGAATTGGGGGGGGGGTCTTTTTGTAGTTTTTGGATTTTGTTTCCACATTTAACTATACTTATAAAGCTTTTGGCTTTCTGAACTTATGATGTAATAGACTGCGTAGCCTTTTGTGGCAGATGCTTGGAATGAAAGTTTCAAACATAATTGTTTTTGACTGAGCTGTCAGGTTCAGAGTTGAGTGTAAATGAGTCCTGTCTCACAACTAACTTTTTTGATAAAGGAATTCTTTGTAGTTTTCGATTTGGATGTTGCACATTTTGATTTCTAAAGTTGTGGGTTTTTTTTTTTTTAAGAAAAATAAAACCTGCAAACAATTATTTTATTACATGAAAGCCAGTACCAAGAAAAGATTAATTCAGTCCAGATGTAAAAATGTATGTGAATTTTAGATTTGGATGATCTCAACAAGTTTTCCCTTTTGTGGATGGGACTGCCTGGATCCCAGATGGCATTCACAAATTATCCCTTAGGTAGTTTTCTGAGTTGAGAATGAGATTTCTTGGGCTTTCCCTAAAATCATTTTAATATTAAGTCTTCTAAAGGATAGAAAGTTTTTTGCATTTGTACATTTTTGCATTTTTCTGTTCATTAATACAAACCTCATAAATGCCCTAGTTTGGTAGATGAAGCATATTTCTTTCATAAGTGGGAAAACAGGAGGTATTCAGTTTGTGTATCCTTATGGGTAAAGCATAGAAATTTTGGCTCTCATTTTTGCAATTTCAACTTTCTTCTTTTAAAGTAAAAAAAAAAAAAAAAGTTTTAAGTGTGTTTACAATCCTCAATAGAATCCTACTGTAACACAGTTTGTGGATTCAGGTATAGCAATTGGTCCTTGTTTGATGATCCCCTACCTCCTCCCCACCCCCAACGAGGAAAAACAAACACAGTTTATTAAAAAGTCAGTATGTTTTTAAACGTGTACTCCCAGTACTAGAGTTATAAAGGCTGTTTGTTGCACACATTAAAATTATGTATTTTTAGAAAGTCTTTGTATGATTATATCATTACACATTTTGGGAGTGTGTTTATGTCGTGATTGTGTATAAAACAATGGAGAGTTAGGAGAGGGGAATGGGAAAGATTTAGTGAAGGAGTTTTATGAGTAGTGAAATTTCAGTTATAATGTATGTTCCCCAAAACCCAAACAGGAAAAATGTTATCGTTGGTCTCTGTGGTTAAACTTTTATACAGAGGGTAGTTGAGAGGGCTTTCTGAATTGCACATTATCCTGAGGAAGAGGCTTTGGGGGCCTTTAAAAGTAAGTAGAAACAAGTTAAAGGGATAATTTGAGAGGAACGAGGAAGTGGAATACTGGACATTGAATTGCAAGGAAAAAGTTAGAAGGATAAGTATTTAAAACAAGGCTGAAGTAGAGAGAACTTACTGTTTAGAAGTGTAGATTAAAGAATAAGGTATTTTTAGCTGAGAAAAAAGGATCAGAATGATTAGAATCAAGGTGCCCTATAAGATCTGTATACAAACTTGAAATAGGACTGCTAATTGATAGTTATCCTGGAAATTTTGCCTGTCTTTGTGTTGAATCACTAGTTTGGTGTTAAATAATGTGCAGGGACTGGATGCTTATAACTGTATCCCGTACACTCCAAAAGCCACTTCCCATTTCAAAGACTGGAAACATTTTTTGTTTAAGTGCTAATGATTCTACAAATATTTAATTAGTCCCCCAACATTTGAGGAAACTACTAATGTCTACTTCCCATGCTGTGGGACCAGAGGGGGCTCTACAGCAGTAATGGCTGAAGTTATTATGAAGTTTTAGGTAGAAACAAGCAATCTGTGCTTCTCATTACTTTATGCGATTTAGTGATGTAATTACTTCTGATGCAAGTTTGTGTATGATCACTTTTTGTATATATCAAATGGAACAGAGCAGTCATGCAGTATATATACCATATTGATCAAAGATGAATTACAGAACACTGAGAAGGGGAAAGAAATCATTGATCTCTCAGCTGATTGTATTGCTTCAAGTCAAGAAGAGAAAAATGTGCTGAAACAAATTCACAGATGAACCAAATACAGTCGCAAGGAGAAGGCAGTGTTTTCCTGGAGCTTCCTTGGAGTGGTCTGTAGCATAGCATTTTCTTTTCTTTTTTTTTTTTCTGAGGCGGAGTCTCGCCCTGTCGCCCAGGCTGGAGTGCAATGGCCTGATCTCAGCTCACTGCAGCCTCCACCTCCCGGGTCCAAATGATTCTCCTGCCTCAGCCTCCCGAGTAGCTGGGATTATAGGTGCCTGCCACCACGCCCATCTAATTTTTGTATTTTTAGTACAGATGAGGTTTCACCATGTTGGCCAGGCTGATCTCAAACTCCTGACCTTGTGATCTGCCCGCCTCGGCCTCCCAAAGTGCTGAGATCACAGGCTTGAGCCACCGCGCCCGGCTAGCATGGCATTTTCTTGAATGTCTTTCCCCAGCTGTATGGTCTTGTCTTAGCAGAGTTAAATTGATATATCAAGAAACTAGGTAGAGATTTGGTCATTATCCAGGTCATTGCATTAATGTGCTGATAATTGGGATAATTCTGACCAAAAATATCTATTTAGACTCTCAGTATTCCAAATGGATCCTCTTGGGGGTGTTTTCAGATGTTTTCCAACAACATTATCTTTGTACATGTTTTATACAACTTTGAGCAATAATGTTTTACTGATACATGAAGACAGAGGGAAAAACAATATTTTGAATTAATTTATAGCCACAGTTTCATGTGAGGGAGGAAATCATTTAAAAAAATTAAGCAATTTCTTGATGCATATTTTAGGAAATATAATGAAGTTTCTCACTTAGCTTTTCAGATGATTTTTCTCTCTGATTGGGTTAAATAAAATGTAATTAATTTTCTCCCCACAGGTAGTAGCACTTGTGTGTACAGTTTCAGTAGATGACTTTTTTTTTTGGTCCCTGTAGCTTTATTTCTTTGAACTTGTTACTGAATTATACACAACCAGACAAATGCACAGATCAGGAGTGTACAGCACAAAATGATCACATTTGGGCAACTAGCATCCAAATCAAGAAGCAGAACATTACCAGCCTCTCTTTACAGTCATCATCTTTGCCCCCAGGATAACCATTATGCTGACTTTTATTGTCATGGTTAGTTTTAAACTGTTTTTGGACTGCATTTAAATGCAATAAAATACACATTTTTTGGTCATCTTTAGCTCAGCATAATGTCATGTGATATATCCAAATTGATGTAGGTCGCAATAGGTCTTTTTTCTGTTATTTCTGTGAATGAATATGCCCAGTTTCTTTATCCATTTTGTTGGTGGATATTTGGGTAGTTTGAGGACAGTACATGGTAGGTGACCTTTTGATGGCTCTAAAAAATGTTGAGCACTTTGGGGTTGAAAGCAGAGTATGGTCTTAAAATTAAAAGAGAAAAAGTAACGTTAGAGGTAAGATGTGAGAGGAAAAAAAGCAATCTTAAGAAAACTTTAAAGGTTCCACTCAGCCACTGTATCCTAAGGATATAGTTTGGAATATACCAACTAGATATCACCAGATTTCAATTGAGAATTGGTAAGAGGAAGGAGGCCTTAGGTGACATCTAGCCAGCCCCATCATTTTTCAGAGATGGAGGCAGAGGTTGAATGATTCATACAGAGTCTCACAGCTGATGACAGCGCCAGTAGTAGAAGCTGCTCTGACTCTCAATCTTGTCTCCTCTAGTGCCACATGCTTGTTGGAGAGAGAGAAGGCAAGATCAGGGCTACCAACTGTAGCTGTGCAGGTTTTGCCATGCAAGGTGGGTCTGAAAACCAGCTCCCTACTATGTAGTCCAAGCAAGTGAGTCCATTGGGGGGCTCACTGCCTGGAGGATGGGTGCCCTTTTCTGATTAATGCAAAGGTATTCTATGGCTCTGTTCAGATAGACTCAGATCTGCCCAGAGGAAATGGATCTGTAGCCCAATGAGGCAGAATTTTTCTTCTTTCAGCCTGCTGTACCTCTGCCCTCCATACAGAGCTCTGTTGGGGCTTGCCTTTTCCCTTTTTTCTCTCTCTCTCTCACTTCTAGGGCTTCCTAATGAGACTTTGGGTTGTAAGTATCAAGTAGGAGATCTCTTGAGGTCCCTCTTGATTCACTCTTGTTGATCCATAAATGATCTAGGATGGACCCTAATTTCAAAGGACTGCTTTGTCAATATTTTTGGAATAATTCATCCTTAAGAAAATGTTTCAAAAATTCAGTTTTTGGACTTCTCCTGCCTTTATGCTTCTCCCTCTTTTCTCCCTTTTTGTGTCTTCCTTCCACCCCCATCCAGTTATCGTTTCTTAAAGATCCCTGGAAACATCCAATCTTTGTCTACTGAGAGCAGCAGTGAAATTCTGACGCTAAAATCTGTGGCAGTCTCCAGGAAGTACTTATTGTAAAACATAAGATTATGATTTCACTGAGAGATCTAACAGATAAAACAAAGTGCTTGCAAAGGAAAACTATTCATGTATACATTTTATTTTATGTTTCCCTAAAGAATAAAGGACAGTTTTATTACTTAAGAAAAGACTCAGAGCTTCAGCTTAAGCTCATTAAAAAGGTGAAGAGAAGTTAAAATTAGAGAATTTTATAAATATGTGGTATTTATATATCCTACCCGAATAAGATACTGCTTATCACAGCAAAAATTTAGCATATGTAATGTTAACAAGTAAAAAATATGCTGACCATAGGGCCACAGCTCTGACAAGTTGCTCATGAAATTACTACAGAATAGCGTAATCCGTATTGAAGACAGCATAGAAGAGGGATAGTAAAATATAATGATAGGAATGAGGTCTTCGAGATCAGTTCCCTGGGGCCCAAATCCAGACTCCAGTATTCTCCCATGTGTAACCTTGGGGAAGTTACTTAACTCTCTACACCTCTTTTTCCTCATCAGTAAAGTGGGAGATAGTTATAATAGCTATCCCACAGGATTGTTCTTATTTTTAAGTGAAATGGTACGTGTAAAACAAATGGCATGGTCTTTGATATATAATAAACGTCTTACGTGATGTTAGCTATTGCTGCTTAAGACAAAAAGAAGTGATGTATAAAAGGACTTATAGTTTTATTGGAGGTTCCCAAGCCTTCATTTATAAGCATTTCATGAGATTTAACTTTGTTTTTTGATGGCATTAAGCAGGCAACAAAACCTAGTATTTCTCAGTTACAGATACTGGCAAGTCTGTGTTGCTGCAGTAGGAGCAGCTGGCCTGTTGCACTGATTACTAATTGATCGAGTTATTTTTCTTAATTCTCTTCTAATTTCCAGCCGTCTCAGTCCTTCAGCTTCTGTCTGCTAGATAACTGTTTCTTTCCATATGTCAAAAAAGCCAGCCTGCAGATTTTTAAAATTCTCCTTACGGTGACTGATGTTGTGCAAAGTTCTTTTAAAGAGTACCACTGACTGGCCCATGTCTTTTGCTCATGTTCCCTGTATGGCTTCATGTGAGTACTTCTGAAGAAAGCCACTATTATTGATATAAAGCAGTTCTTTATTCCCAACCCCTAACCATTGGCACAGTTTATATAATGTGGGTCAGAACCATTTGTGATTTTCTGTTATGAGGGCCAGAGTTTGAGATTTTAAACCATTCATTCAAAGAAACTTAAGAAAGACACAGTTAAACACCTTAGAAAGATACATTTTCATCTAACTAGCCTAATTACGAGCTCAGCTAAAAAAGGTACAGGATCCTCTAGAAGAATCGTGCTGTATCATTCTGATCTGTTTGTTAAAGGGCGGGGGACCTAGTCCAGATAACCCAGTTCCCCGTTTTGATTGTGTGTGTAAAATCTTGAGCTTAGTAAACTTAGCACTTTAAAAATGTTCACTAAGTCCATCAAAAGCCAGGTTTTATGTCTTTATGAAGTATTCAGGACTGTGCTGAATACTTTGTGCAATTTCTGTCAATGTGTTTCATGTCTAGTTGGGGGAACAAAATACATGTGTTTGAAAAGATATTAGATGTTTCCAGATGAGTGTGAAGTTGAGCTTTCGTTTTAGGGTCCAAAATCAAGGATGATCACATAGGATGTTCCCAGCCTTCCTGGGGCCACTGGATTTATACTGGTTAGTGAAGTCAGGCTAAGATTTTTCTATCCTTCAAGCCCATAGAAAAGGGGCTTTTCTAGTAGCAACAGAATGTGCAAGATCTGGTAAAAATCTCAAATATTAAAAGACAACTATGAAATTAAAATTATTAAATGTTTAAATTCATGCATTCAATATAATGTATGCCTAGGATATGCCAGGCACTGGTCTAGGTCTGAGAGATGTCAGTGAATAAAATAAAGGAAAAAAAAAAAAAAAAAATTCTGCCTTCGTGGACCTTATATTCTATTAGGAGGCAATCAGCATAAGAAAATAAGTGTTGTAGTATTTTGGAAGGTAATAAGCCTGATGGGAAAAAGAAAAAGTAGAGCAGGCTAAGGGACAGTAGGAGTGCTGGGGGAGGGAGGCAGGGACTTTGCGATTTGGTGGAGTATAGTCAAGGTAGGCCTCACTGAGAAGAGGGCTTGAAGGAGGAAGAGAGCCACACAGAGCTAGCTGGGGGAAAAGTGTTGCAGCAGAGGGACTAGTGAAGGCATCAGGCGGAAGCATGCCTGATGTGTTCCAGGAGCAGGGAGAAGGCCACAGTGGTGGAGCACTGAGAGCAGGGAGAGAAGGAGTAGTAGATAAGGTTAGAGATGTTTGGAGAGCACATGTTTGGCTTGTGTGGACTGTATTCAGGACTTGACTGTGAGTGGAATGGGGAGCCAGGTTTTGTGCAGAGGAGTGAGAGGATTTGATTTGCATTTTAATAGAATCACTGGTTGCTGTAGGAATCTGGAATTTAGGGAAGAGGTCTAAGTTGGAGATACAAATTTGGAAGTTGCCAACAGAATTTGGGTGAGATCACTTGGGGAATATGTGTAGTCAGAGAAACAGGCTTATGGACCAAGCCTTGGGGCATATCAGTATTTACAGTTTGTAGAGAGAAGAAGAAATCACACACATAATCCAAGAAGTGTTTTAAGCCAAAGTAATTATGCACGTTTTTCCAACATAGTGAACCCAATTAAGTGTCTCCATTCCTTGAGTAACAATGTTATCACTAGAAGATATTGTGAACTCTATTGATCTACACAATGGAAGAATGAACTATGAGTTGTTTTTCTAATTGCGTTGATGGTCTTGGGCTAAACCTGGATGCTTCATCTTTTAGAGGTTGTGTTGATAAGGAGGAATCAGTAAAAGAAAATTAAAAAGGAGCAAGCAGAGGATAGGAAGAAAATTAGAAAAATGTCCTTGTAGTCAAAGAAAATATCTCCAGCAGAAGAGTGGATCAGTTAGCTCACATGTTGCTGAGAAGTCAAGCAGGGTGAAGACTGAGAGTTGCTCATTGGATTTAGCAACCTGGGGAGTCATTGGTGATGATGACAAGAGCTGTGTCACTGGAGAAGTGGAGATGAAAACCTTATTGGAGTGGGTTCAAAGAGAATAAAAAATTTATGAAAGATAACTATTACTTGTAATTCAGTTTTGTATATTACAAATATTCAATATTGATGTGGGTACATTTTAATATGCCTGGTAGGATGTGCAGTGGGACTTTGGAAATGGGAATGTTGGAGGCCGTGCATATCTTCAGCAGGCTTTGTCAGGGTTAGGGAGCCTTTGAGCTTTTCCCTAGTTATTATTGGTAGGGGTAGGGCTCTAGTATATAGATTGTAGTTTGTATATTTTGAAATAGAGAAACGGTTCTATGCAGTTTTTTAGTTCTTTGTTAAATGTCTTTGGATGAGAACTATATCTTGAAAATACTCATACTTTGTTTAAAGACTTTTTCATTTCTAGTAAAGATGTGTTCTTTAATTCAATCTATTGATCCTTGTCTTAGATTGTTTTTTGATACTATAATGGAGTACCACACATAAGGTATTCTGTCCATAAAGAATGGAAGTTTACTATTGACATTCTTTACAGAACTAGAAAAAAACTATTTACAAATTCACATGGGACCAAAAAAAAGAGCTTGAATAGCCAAGGCAATCCTAAGCAAAAAGAACAAAGCTGGAGGCAACATGGTACCATCTTCAAATTATTAGAGCAACAGTGACCAAAACAGCATGATACTGGTACAAAAACAGACACATAGAGCAGTGGAACAGAATAGAGAGCCCAGAAATAAGGCCACACACCTGCAGCTGTCTGATTTGTGACAAACCTGACAAAACAAGCAATGGGGAAAGAATTCCCTATGCATTGAATGGTGCTGGGATAATTGGCTAGCCATATACACAAGATTGAAATTGGACTGCCTCCTTATACCATATACAAAAATTAACTCAAAATGGATTAAAAGCTTAAATGTAAAGCCCCAAACTAAAAACCCTGGAAGACAACCTAGGCAATACCGTTCTGGACATAAAAATGGCAAACATTTACTGATGAAGACAGCAAAAGCAATTGCAACAAAGGCAAAAATGGACAAATGGGATCTAATTAAAGTAAACAGCAAAGGAAACTGTCAACAGAGTGAACAGACAACCTACAGAATGGAAGAAAATATTTGCAAAGTATGTACTGACAAAGGTCTAATATGCAGCATCTATAAGGAACTTAAATTTACTAGAAAAAAAATCCATTAAAATGTGGGCAAATGACATGAACAGACACTTGAAAAGAAGACATGGATGCAGCAAACAATCATATGAAAAAAAAGCTTGTCATTGATACTGGAGAAAGCAAATCAAAACCACAGCGAGATACCATCTCACACCAGTCAGAATGGCTATTAAAATGTTAAAAAAATAACAGATGCTGGCAAGGTTGTGGAGGAAAAGGAATGCTTATACACTGTTTGTGGGAGTGTAAATTAGTTCCACCATTGTGGAAGACAGTGTGGTGATTCCTCAAAGACCTAAAAACAGAAATACAGTTAGACTCAGCAATCCCTACTGGGTATATACCCAAAGGAATATAAATCATTCTATTACAAAGACACATGCATGCATATGTTCATTGCTACACTATTCACAATAGCAAAGACATAGAATCAAGCTAAATGCCTATCAGTGGTAGACTGGATAAAGAAAATGTGGTACATATATATCATGGAATACTATGTTGCCATAAAAAAGAATGCGATCATGTCCTTTGAGGTAACATGGATGGAGCTGGAGGCCATTAATCCTCAGCAAACTAATGCAGAAACAGAAATACTGCATGTTCTCACTTATGTGGGAGCTTAATGATGAGGACACATGGACACATAGAGGGGACATACACTGGGGCTTACCAGAGGATGGAGGTTGGGAGGAGGGAGAGGATCAGGAAAAATAATTAATGGCTTAATACCTGGGTGACAAAATAATCTGTACAGCAAACCCCCATGACACAAGTTTATCTATATAACAAACCTGTACTCATACCCTTGAATTTAAAATAAAAGTTAAATTTTAAAAAAAGGAAGTTCATTTAGCTTATGGTTTGGGGGCCCTGAAGTCCAAGAGCACGGCACCAGCATCTGGCCCAGGTCATCCCATGGTGGAATGCGGAAGCAAGGGCAAGACAGAAAGCACAAGGGGCTGGACTAGTTTTTATAACAACCTGCTCTTGTGATAACTACGTTAATCCACTCATAAGGACTTGACCCTTATGACTCAGTCACCTCTTGTTAGGCCCCATCTCCCAATGCTATTGCATCGGGGATTAAGTTTCCAACACATGAACTTTTGGGGGACACATTCAAACCATAGCAGTCCTTTTTCATGAAAGGTGAGACATGTGCTTTGAGGTGGCTTCTTTTTCAGCAATGGTGATAGGTTTGATCTGACTAGGCCACACAGCATAGTGCCCCACTGGCCTGGAAGCCATCATTCACAGAGTAGATGGCTCAGGTTAGTGAATCCCAAGAGCCAGAGCAAATTGAGTAATAGAAAAATTGCCTCGTTAAAATTTTAAATACCTTGTTGATGACTTTCATCATGAAGTGTTATTTCAAAGCATGTGATTAAGCAATTTTCATAGTTCTGTATTTTATAATTATACACCAAGAATTTTCTCTTCTGGGAACTACCTTTGAATTTTGCTAACTGTCTGTAATACTGTCATCAAAATGAATCAACAGGTGTCTGATACTAATTATCTTCTCTTTCTCTAAGCTTATTAAAATGCTAACACATAGGCCTTTAATGCATACGTATTGTTTTTGGATAGTTAGAAGCTCAGAGTGGTTGGTAGAATGAAAACTTTGTTACATATATTTTAGTGTTTGGTAATACCAAAGTATAGTATTAGTCTTTAGAAAGTTGCTAATTTAGAAAATGCCGGAAAGGGCGAAGACTTTCCTTTGCAGTGGATTAGGGCACAAGGTTTTTGAGAAGTGGAGCTCTGGTGATTATATGTGTGTTTCCAGTGGGTTGTGGTATATGCATATAATGTCAGCATTCTCTTAGGTACTGCTTTGCCAGCACTGTTTTATTCGCATCATTTTGAATGTTTTTTTCAGCTGAAACTTGTAAGTTACTCTACAGTTAGTTAAGTTACAGTACAGTTAGTTAGAATGTAATTGGCTTGGAACAAATACACGAGGCCAATGTGGAATAATTTCGCAGTGCTGGGGATTTTACATTGTAGATACTGGAGTATGCAGAGGTATAAAACTGAGCAAGTTTTGAAATAAATCTTATGTCACTTGTCAGTGACTACAGAATAAAGTCCAGATCTCTTAGGGTGGAATTCATCATGCCAGCCCAGAGTTGCAAGCCTGTGGCCCACCAACAAGTTTGGCTGCAGACATGTTTTGGCTTTTAACATAGTTATTTGCCAACATTTAAAAATAGAGAAATTTTACATTAAAAAAATTGCATTTTATACCTTCTCTTGAAAAATTTGAAGGCCTGGCAAGGTCTGTTGTAGCAACATAACAGCTTCCCCCTTTATACGGGGTGTGTGCTCTGTAGTCTCCCACAGTCCCTGGCAGAGACTCTCTTGTCCTCAACATTGGGACCAAGCTGTTGTAGGCATTTTTCATCCTGCAGGCTTCACTTCTTTGCTCCTGCCCTTGTAGGCATGTGAGTTTGCTAACCTTGTGTTTAGATACTTATTTTTTTTTCTCAGAGTTCCTTAAATCTAGCCAAATTGTTCTTCCCATTGTCCTGTCTAATGCGTACACACTTCGTCTACCTCATGTTTCTGCTTCTGGCTTCTCCTTCCGCTGCGTCCGAGCTGCATGTTGCTCATGTCACATCATTGGAACTTAGCACATTTCTAGCTCCCCAGCTGTACTAGTTTCTTGAAGACAAAGACTATTTAATTTACTAACACCTATCAAATTTATTTTAGATCTTCTGGGTTAACTATTTGCTAATGGTTTGGCTGCGTCCCCACCCAAATCTCATCTTGAATTTAACTCCAAGAATTCCCATGTGTTGTGGAAGGAACTTAGTGGGAGGTAATTGAATCATGGCGGTGTGTCTTTCCCGTGCTGTTCTCGTGATAATGATTAAGTCTCACAAGATCTAGTGGTTTTAAAAATGGGAGTTTCCCTGCACAAGCCCTCTTCTCGTCTGCCGCCATATGAGTTGTGCCTTTCACCTTCTGCCATGATTGTGAGGCCTCCCCAGCCACGTGGAACTGTAAGTCCAATAAACCTCTTCCTTTTGTAAATTGCTGAGTCTCAGGTATGTCTTTATCAGCAGCATGAAAATGGACTAATACTCTATTGTTAGATTTAGCTTCCAGTGGGTGGTAATCTATGATTATAGTGACACCTGTAGAAGAAGTAGAACGTAATCAAAATCTTATGTGAAATCTACTTCCTCAAATAGTGCTTTCTTAATTTACTATGCCATTTCCTTTGTAGCTTTGTTAGTAACATTTATATAATCCATTTGAGTATGAATTCACTAAACACCTCATTTATTGCCATTTCCCTAGTTCTGTCACATAGATGGATGATGCTTCCAGATGAATGCGTCATTACTATGTGCCGTTTTATTATTTTAGATATGCTTCTTCCTAATGACTAATATTGTTTTAAATGTCTTATCTTTTTATTCATTTGGTAAATAGTATGTCTGTGATATTACTGTGATACCTTCCCTTTTGAAGCTTTTACTTTTTAGCAGGAAATTCAGATTTAAATAATGGAGTACATAATGATTTAATTTCAAAAAGTGTTATTAAGAAGTAGAGGTGCTGTGAGACTTCGGGGCAGTCTGATCTGGTCTAGGAGTGGGGACTGAAGTGGGAATTGCAACAGGACTGAATTCTGAATTCCTTAACTTTCTCATATATATTCCATGGCAGTTTGTAAAGTAATTGGAATGTAAAAATTTAACCTTACAAACAAAAAGATAATTTTGTAACAAAATAATAGTTAAAAAGTTTTTTCCCTGAGAACTTAACTTGGCTGTTGTCATTGCGTTAGTGATAAACAAAATTATGATTTATAGCTCTAGAATTTATTGTTTGGTACCTGAGTTGAACTCTGTTTAAATAAGTAAACAAAGGACAAATGGGGAATTAGGCTAGAAATTTCAGATATTAGCCTGGCACAGTGGCTCACACCTGTATTCCCAACACCTCAGGAGGCTGAGGCAAGCGCTTTGCTGGAGCCCCGAAGTTTGAGACCAGCTTGGGCAACATGATGAAACTCTGTCTCTACAAAAAATACAAAAGTTAATTGGGTGTGGTGATGCGTGCCTGTGGTCCCAGCACTCTGGAGATTGAGGCGGGAGGATTGCTTGAGCCTGGAAGGTCAAGGCTGCAGTGAGCTGTGATCATGCCATTGTACTCCAGCCTGTCCAGCCTGGGTGACAGAGCAAGATCCTGTCTCAAAGAAAAAAAAAATCAGATGTGAATAGCTTACAAAAACAACTTTTATTTTATGAAACTATAATTATTTCAAAGGTATTTGTAATGAGGAATTTTCTCATGGCTTTCAGAAATAGGATATAAAAAATAAACTTAGTAATCCCCCAACAGTTACTAGTGGATAGCACCTTTATTTAATACTTGCAAGCCCATAACTGAAAAATTAATACTTTATTGGTCGGAAGAATGAAGTAATATGGTATCCTGAAAAAAACTCGGCAGTGAATTTACTGACATGTGTGACCCAAAATATAGAGTGGAATTTTGTGTGGTTGCGTATGTTTTATCGCAACAATCAGAAATGTTTTATGTATTTTCTTCCAAAGAAAATAGAATTCTATACTTAACCCATCTAAATATAGTGGTAAAGTTAATTTTTTGCATAGTTTAGTGACATACTGAAACAAAGGTCAGCTGCAGTGGTGCCATTTCTGAAATCTCTTTTGAGGAACTCACGTTACTTACAATTATAGAAGGAGATTCAGAAACATTGACATGTTTAAGGGTTTTACTTCAAAGAAACCCAAGATTTTCAAGTGTAATATTAAGGATATTTAAGGAAATTAAAATCAGGAACAGTTTTTAATAAATGTTATCTCATCTAGAATTTAAAATAAATTCTAATTAAATCTTAAAAGTAAAATCTTTTAAAACTCAAATACTGATTTTCTGAACCCTCATTCATTTTAAATCTGTGAAAGGATGTTGAGAGCTAATGGTTTGTAATTGACTAAATTATTTGCTTCTACAGGTGCCTAGAGAAATGTAAAGAGAAATTTTCATGAAATATAAGTTGTAGAGTAAAACCTAGCAGGGAAAGCTAATTGAAGTTATCTAATTTATAAAACAACATTTGCTTTAATTACTGCCTTACATATTCTTGAACTAGGCTCATGTTGCTGATGAGTAAATTTTCAGGAAATTTTTAATCAGTATATTATAGATACAGGGTCTAAATTAATTCACATTATCAGTCATTTGTTCAGAGCAGCTGTTACCCTGAAAAATACTCTATTAATTTATAGAACTGGTTAGGAAAGGGATATGAAAGTAAAGGTGTTTTGAAATGATTACATATTATACATTTAAGGGTAAGATACTAAGGACGGTTGCTTGATTTACTCTTTAGAACTTATTTATTTATTGAGACAGAATCTACTCCTTTACCCAGGCTGGAGTGCAGTTGCATAATTTCGGCTCACTGCAACCTCCGCCTCCTGGGTTCAAGTGATTCTCCTGCCTCAGCTTCTGAGTAGCTGGGATTACAGGCATGCACTACCATGCTCGGCTAATTTTTGTATTTTTAGTAGAGACAGAGTTTTGTCATGATGGCCGGGCTGGTCTTGAACCCCTGGCCTCAAGTGATCTGCCCACCTTAGCCTCCCAAAGTGCTGGGATTACAGGCATGAGCCACCGTGCCCAGCCCAGAACTTTGTAATCTTAAAATTAGAATGCAGGAGGCTGTGAAGCTCGAATGAAATAATGCTGGTGTTTTTGTTGTTTTGAGACTGAGTCTCCCTCTGTCACCCAGGCTAGAGTGCAGTGCCATAGTCTTGGCTCTCTGCAACCTCTTGTCTCCCGGGCTCAAGTGATTCTCTTGCCTCAGCCTCCTGAGTAGCTGGGACTACAGGCATGCACCACCACACCCGGCTAATTTTTGTATTTTTTAGCAGAGACGGGGTTTCACCGTGTTGGCCAGGCTGGTCTCGAACTCCTGACCTCAAGTGATCCACCCACTTCAGCCTCCCAAAGTGCTGGGATTACAGGCATAAGCCACCATGCCTGCCCAAAATCAGCTTTTTAAATGATGAATCATATGCAATAATAAAATAAACAAATTTTAAGTAGATAATTTGATGAGTTTTGACAAATGTATATATCATCATGTAACCAGCACTGCGGTCAAGATACAGAACATTTTTGTCAAGCCAAAAAGTTTCCTACAGCTCCTTTTTAGTCAGTCTCCTCCCCTGCCACTCTAGATGCTTTTGTATCTGGCCATGTTTCACTTTAGCATGATGTATTCATCCATTTTCTTGCACATATCAGTAGTTCCTCTTTGTTGTTGGGTGGTATTCAGTTGTCACAATTTGTTTATTCATTTACCTGTTAGTGGATATTTGGATTGTTTCTAATTTGGAGCTATTATGAATGAAGTTACTATAAGCATTTATGTATTATATAAGTCTTGGGGGACATAGCTTTTCATTTCTGAGTTGTATAGTAAGTGAATGTTTATTAAAAACTGTCAAATTCATTTTCAAAGTGGCTGTATTATTTAACATTCCCACCAGCCATGTCTGAGAGTTCTAGTTGCTCCAGATTCTCACTAAGATTTGGTATTGTCAGTGTTTTTAACTTTAACCATTCTGGCAGGTGTGTAGTGGTACCTGACTTCGATTTTTATTTGCATTTTCCTAATGACTAATAATGTTGAGTATCATTTCAAGTGCTTATTTGCTATTTGTATATCTTTGGTGAAGTGACTTTTTTGGCCATATTTTTAAGAGTTGCATTGTTCTTGAGTTGTAATATTTATATATTTTTGGATTTAAGTCTTTAATCAGATATGGTTTCTATTTTTCCAAATATGTTTTGAAAATGTATTTTCTGTTATGATGATTTCTTTGTCATTTTTTAAGTGACTTTCAGAGGGCAAAATTAAAAAGCAAAATTTTTGTGGTTCATGTTTTTAATGCCCTAAGAAAACCAGGGCAACAAAGATCTTCCCCTGTAAGTTTTCTATGACTTTTAGAGTTTTAGCTTTTCAATTTGGGCCTGTAGTTCATTTCAAAGTAATTTCTGTATAAGGGCTGAAGTAGATTAGAATCCGATTCTGGATTTTTACCGAAAAAAAAAAGTCCCTGGGATTTTTAAAAACTTTATTTTGAGGTAATTTAATTTTAATTTTTTTAGAGACAAGTCTCACTCTGTTGCCAAGACTAGAGTGCAGTGCATGATCATGGCTCACTGCAGCCTTGACCTCCTGGGCTCAAGCAGTCCTCTGCCTCAGCCTCCCAAGTAGCTGGGACCACAGGCATGCACCACCACACATAGCTAATTTTTTATTTTTAATTGTTTTTGTGGAGATGGGGGTCTCACTATGTTGCCCAGGCTGGCCTCAAGTGCTCCTCCCACCTTAGTCTCCCAGAGTGCTGAGATTAAAGGCATGAGCCACCGCACCTGGCCTGAAATAATTTTAGACTCACAAGAAGTTGCAAAAATAGTGTACAGAGTCTCCCAATGATAATCAACTGTAGTCTGTTTTCAAAACCAGGAAATTGACATTGGTACAGTACTATTAACTAGCCTTGGATTTCTTCAGTTTTTATGTGTACTCATGTTTAACACTAATTGAACTTTGGTTGTAGTTGCATTGAATATATAGATTAGTTATGGGAGAATCAATATCTTAACAATATTGAGTCTTCCTATTAATGTACATTTTTATATATTTAGTTAGGTCTTTTTTTTTTTTTCTTTGAGATGGAGTCTCACTCTGTCACCTAGGCTGGAGTGCAGTGGCGCAGTCTTGGCTCACTGCAACCTCCACTTCCTGGGTTCAAGCGATTCTCCTGCCTCAGTCTCCTGAGTAGCTGGGATTGCAGGCGCACACCACCACTCCCGGCTAATTTTTTGTATTTTTAGTAGAGATGGGGTTTCGTCATGTTGGCCAGGCTGGTCTCGAATTCCTGACCTCAGGTGATCCACCTGCCTCGGCCTCCCAAAATGGTGGGATTACAGGCGTGGGCCACCGTGCCCGGCGGTTTGTATGTTTTATCATGAACATATGTTAAATTTTATCAGCTGTTTTTCTGCATCTATTGAAATGATCATATAATTTCAGTTTTTCATCTTTTGTGGTGAGTAACATTGATTTTTGAATATCAAACCAATCTTGCGTTCCTGGAATACACCCAACGTGGTCATCATATGTTGTCCTTTTGGTATATATTGCTGAATTCAGTATACCAAATTTTGTTAGGAATCTCGTGTCTATGTTCATGAGGGATATTGGTCATTTAAAACATTTTCTTATAATGTCACCTAGTTTGGGAAATGATGGCCTCATAGAAAGAGTTGGGAAATATTCCCCTTTTTTGGTTTTCTGGAAAAGCTTGTGTAGAATTGATATTAATTTTTTATTTGAACATTGATAGAGTTTACCAGTGATGCCATCTGAGCCTAGAATTTTCTTTGTCATAAAATTTTTAACTAAAAATTCAATTCATTTAATAACTGAGGGGTCTTCAGAAAGTTCACAGAAAATGCATATTATGTATGGATTTCAGAATGGTTTTGCACCGAAATAAACTCATACTAACATGTTATAAGATACCTGAATAGGATCTAGTTTGAGGCACTAAAAAGGGTAAGACAGCAGGACAGCAGTTTGAAAAGAACCCCTCTCAAAGCAGCATGAATTCTGCTGAAATTGAGGCAAGAGTAAACATCAAATTTATGGTGAAGCTTGGGTGGAAGAATGGTGAAATCACTGGTGCTTTAGAAAAAGTTTATGGGGACAGTGCCCTAAAGAAATCAGCAGTTGGTGGATAACTTACTCGTTTTAAGAAGAGACTAGCAAATGTTAAAGATGAAGCCTGCAGGGGCAGACCATTCACATCAATTTGTGAGGAAAAAAATTCATCTTGTTCATGCCCTAATTTAAGAAGACCAACAATTAACAGCAGAAACAATGGCCAACACTGTGGAATCTCAGTTAATTCAGCTTACACAATCAGAACTGAAAAATTTAATTCGAGCAAACTTTCCACTAGATGGGTGGCAAAACCATTGTGCCCAAATCAGCTACAGACAAGAGCAGAACATTCATTGGAAATTTTAAAGAAATGGGATTAAGATCCTGAAGCATTTCTTCAAAGAATTGTAACAAGAGATGAAACATGGCTTTACCAGTATGATCCTGAAGACAAAGCACTTTCAAAGCAGTGGCTACCAAGAGGTGGAAGTGATCCAGTCAAAGCAAAGGTCAGGGCAACAGTTTTTTGGGATATTCAAGGCATTTTGCTTGCTGACTGTCTGGAGAGCCAAAGAATTGTAGCATCTGCTTATTATGAGAGTCTTTTGAGAAAGTTAGTCAAATCTTTAGCAGAAAAATGCCCGTGAAAGCTTCTCTGGAGAGTTTTTCTCCACCACAACAATGCTCCTGCTCAATACCTCTCTTCACACAAGGACAATTTTGGGAGAGTTTTGATGGGAAATCATTAGGCATTCACCCTACAGTCCTGATTTGGCTCCTTCTGGTTTCTTTTTGTTTCCTAATCTTAAAAATCTTCAAAGGGCACCCATTTTTCTTCAATTAAAAATGTAAAAAGACTGCATTGACATGGTTAAATTCCCAGGACCCTCAGTTCTTTAGGATGCACTAGGTGGCTGGTATTATTATAAAAATATCTTGACCTTTTGGAGCTTATGGTGAGAAATAAAGCTTATATTCTTTATTTTTATCTTTTAATTCCATTTTTTCCATGAACTTTTTGAAGTCCCTTCATATAGGGCTATTCAGGTTATCTATTTCGTCTTGAATGAGCTTTGGAAGTTTGTCTTTTAACAGATTTGTCCATCTTATCTATGTTTTCGAATTTATTAATGTAAAATTATTCATAATAGTCTTATTATTGGGTGCTGGATTTTGACAGCTTGGGCTTCATTCTAGAAGGATGAATGAACCCATTCATTGGGTTCGATTTTTCATGGAGGATAAGTGTAGATAAGTTACTTGGGCATTAAAGAGTTTGGACCTTATTCTAGCATGTAAGTAAGTTACTTGGGCTTTAAGAAGTCTGGACTTTATTCACCATGTAGGTAAGTTACTTGGGCCCAGTTTGATCCTTTTGAGGCTTGCTTTTAACCTTCTATAGAGTTGGTTCAGGGCAGCCTTCAGACTGAAGCTTTACTTGGCCTACTGAGGTGATATCCTTCACACTAACCTATCTGATGCCATAAATATTATAGGGTTTCTCCTCTGGCTAGTGGGAATGAGAACTATGCCCAGCTCTATGTGAGCTGTAGGAATTGTTTGACCTATTGCTTGTCGAAGATTCTTTCCTCTGCCTTGTGGAGTTTTTTTTTTTCCACGTTAGCACAGATCAGTAGTTAGCCAATGTACCAGGAGAACCTCTCTGAAGATCTTTGTACCTCTATCTGGGTTCCCCTACTTCCTCTTTGGGATTCTGTGCTGCCCCCCAAATTCTAGCTGCCTCTGCCTCCCAAACTTTTCTCTTTATCTTCTCAATTCAGGGAATCTTCTCAGTTCTTTTTGGATTCCTTTCCTCACTGTGGACCAAAACTGCCTCCAGTCATTAAGTTTGGGGAATCATTAGGCTCACCTAGTTTGTTTTCCTTCAGTGTCTAAAAACCATTTGATGTGTTTTATCCACTTTTCTAGTTGTTTATGGCAGAGGACAATTCCTGCAGCAATTAATATTTGATGGCCAAGAACTGAAAGTTCCTGGATGTAACAGGTTATTTTTCAGAACTCCCCAAAACTGGAAGAAACGCATTGAAAAATGTGGAGGGGAAAAAAAGTACAGAGGCATCTTTTGCATAATTATGTGTGGAATATGATGCTTTTTATACTCATTCTGAGAAATGGTCCTTGAAAGTAATCACTTGCCAGTGGAAGTTTGTAGATTGTCCAGAGTTTGTGGTGCATGTGACAAGTTAAGAGTCTGAAAGGAAGTATTTCTTTTTTATTATCAGAATCTTTGCTTTTAATTGCTTTATTCACTAAAGTGGATAACTTAGACCTCAGCTACAGTTTTCAGTTATTATACATGGAAGCTTAGGAAACATCACGACTTTTACTCTTGGAGAAAATAATTTCCAAATCCTAGACAGATGACTTTCAATTGGAAGATGCTTTTGAAAGAAAGACTCATTAGAGGGAGTTTCAGGATTTTGTCTCCTGGTTATTGAAACTTGTACTGAAGGTAAAAATCCAATGGATTTACAACTTTGCAAATCTTATATCTGAAAAAAAGAATCCAACTTTTCCTAGAAAGCCCACTATGAGGAGCAACACCATGTTTTCTTCATTCATTCTTCCAAACGTGAAAGTCATGAAGGAATATAGGCACTCCTCTCGATGAGTGCTTTTTAAATATTTGAATGATTTTGCCTGTGAATCAGAGATAAGGTGATTCCAAGGCAATTAATTGTAGGCAATATATAGTCTTTTTCTAGGGTAGGATTGAGCGAGTAAGTGAGCCATTTGTGTTGAGCAGTGGTCCTGCCATGCCTGCTGACTTGGAATAGTCTGCTCCTTGGGTTTCTCCAGGATAAATGTTTATGTGTCAGTCTCAGTACTTCTGCCTTTCCAGTATGATTAGAGCCATATGAAAAAGCAGTGCTGAGCAGAGGTAGGGTGGTTTCTGGTTTTTGTTTGTTTGATTGATTTGGGGTTTTCTTTTTTAACTTCAACCTTCAAGGTTGAGGTATGGTTCCATTTTTCATGGAAGATTAACCCTATTTGTGTAGGGTAAGGTGTAATTCTGGTTTCCTTCCCCCACACCCTTTAAAAAGCATACTTTAAGCCTCTCTCAACGCATCAGAGGATGATTACTGTGAGAAGGAATGTTCTCTTTTGGTAATATGGAGGGGGACGCACGAACCGAACAACCAGATGATCCAGTAAATAGGTAGGTCAAATGGAGGTGACTGGACTGGGCTCTTCAGTTACTCATTCCTGGATTTTGTTGACTTCACACACCAGAGAGACCAGAGAGGTTCACTGTTAAGTGGCTTTATTTCTGTTTCTTTTAGAATAGATGGATAATAATTGAATTGACCTTGGTTTGTATATTATTTCAAAACTCTAGTTGAGAAGAGTTACAGAAATAATGCCTGTGAATTGGCATATGGGAAATAGAATGTTGCTAGATAGGTAAGTACCACTGAAAATGAGATTCCACACTTGGTGTAACTGGCAGATTCATGGTAGTTATCTTCTAGAAGTAAGCTAAGAGAATGAAACACTGGGTGACAGTAGCAGAGGCCGGCTTCTGATTGAAGATTCCCCTGGGAGAAGCATGAAGGATACAGCCATCCCTAGCTCCCAGTTATGTTCCTGACAGCTACCTTAGCAGTCTTGGATCCATGTTTCTATGGAATAACAGAAGGCACCTTGGTCTCCTTAGAGCACGTTGGCTAAAGATTTGATGACTCCACAGGGGAACTGTAGATCTCTGATTAATGGAAGGCTTTGTTAGGATAGAAGTGTCTTTTAATGTGTTGGAGACAGAATCTGTACATGAAAATGACAATGGTAAATATGTTGTGAAACTATAATAAAGCCATATATAAAAGAAACATTTTTATCATTTCTCTTAAGGGCTTTTAAAACTGTATAATGTTTTGTCTTTTTAAGTTTATTTAGCAACTTGTCTCCAGCTTGTGTAATCACTGCAAAATCCCCCAAGGGGGTGTTAAACAAGGACTTTTGTAGCAGTAGAAAGTCTTGTTCGATTTTCCAGATGAATTTTTTAATTTGAAGTCTGTAGGTTGTGCTTTTGATCTTCTTTACTTTAAAGAGTACCTGGCCTTGGAGCCTCACTTTGCATCATTCTGCACATGTACAATGTGTGTGTGTGTCTCTGTGGGTGTCCCCACAGCAAATGCTGCTGCTTTGAGTGTGTCTAGGTAACAACATAATCTTATCCCCATAATTTATGTAGGGTAAAAATTAAATCTAGAATCTCCAAAGCCCTTTTCTGGTTTCATAAAATTTTTCACATATAATGAAAGGTATCAAGGTAAAAGGCAGGTTTTATTAGCATTTGGGTATGTTTAATTTAGTAAATTATTTTAGCACGTTTCTTAACTTTCCGTTTAAAAATATAAAATATGAACTTTCTGAAAAGATACTAGATTAAGCTAAATTGTTTTTTACCCATGGGAGTTTTGGAATATAATTTAGGAAGAAAAATCCCATTAAGGAAAAGCACACCACGGTCCTACAGCTGACTGTCATCTTGGCCAGCACATTCTCTCAAAGTGCCAGTTTCTTAACCTGTAAACTTAAAAGGTTGGATGAAGTCATCTCTAAAATCTGATACAGTGATAAATTTTTCATTTGATTGCACTTTGTTACATTTGTTTCCAGTTAGGAATAGATAGAAACTCAGAAATTATTTTATACCTGTCACTAAATTATAAAAATTACAAGAATTCATTAACAATACTAGGAGCTCTAAGGCTTTTCTTAGTTTCAGATCCCTGGAAACAAACTGTGTAGTAAGTGAAATAACATTTTTTAAGTATGTGGTACATGGTGGTTACATGGTAGTTAAACTCTGCATAGGATCCGTAATGGATTCATCTTTTGTGAAATGTAGCAGGCAGTTATAGCAGCATTTCATACTTGTCCTGCCTTATGTATCTTTTTAAAGTTTAATTATCAGTATGTGATTATTCACAGCATTTTCAACCTCAGTACTTCTGATGTGCTTTACAGAATTGTGAAATATACACATAGAAGAGTGTTTGTAATGTCTGTACATTTTAAACAATAATAGTGATGAAAGAACACCATTGTATTCACTACCAAGTTATGAAAAAAATTTCTGTAGAACCTTTGAAGTTCTCTGCTGCTTTCTGAATATGTCATCCTACCTCCAGCCTCCCCCACATTACAATTTTGAAGTTAATCATACCTTTGCCTTTCTTTAGTTTTATCACACATATATATGTATCCCTAAATGAATCATTCATTAGTTTTGCTTATTTTTGAACTTTCTTTTTTTCTTTTTGAACCTGACATGTGAACATAAGAACCTTCTATTTGTAATCTGTCATATGTATTCTTCTGTTACTTGCTTTTTTCCTTAATGTTGTTTTTTGAGATTCGCACTTGTTAATGTGTAGCTGTAGTTCATGATTTTTCACTGCTTAATTGTTTTAATGTACCATATTTTATTTAGTCTGTTGTCAGTGGGCCTTTGCGTTTCTAGCTTGTACATTTCCTTGTTGTTAGGAGCCATGTAATGACATAGAAAATCCTTTTGCAATGTTACCAGAAAGCTAGCAACTTCTCAAATATTTAGTTCAATCTTTGTTAGGGGCATTATGCTCTCTTTGGGAAGAAGTATTTCAGGGGAAAATAAGTAAAGTTAATGTTAAGATTCATATATTGCTACTAGATAATGAGAATTTCACAGCAAAGTCATTATCTAGAAAACTGCAGTTCCTGTGTCAGAGGGAATTGAGTGCAAGTCCCATGAATGAGGGAATCAAAGATTTCATTGTGGAAATTAGAAGCAGATGCTTCTAAGTTGGAGGATTTTCCCTGAGAACAGCACTTTTTGTTGGCGATGTCATGCTAGAAATTCATCTTGGTTGAAAGGAATTTTTGTGCCTGGTTGCTAAACCTGATATGACTTTTGAATACAGATGGCTGTGAAAGTAGTTTCTGTGGTTTAAAATTCATGAATTTTACCATTGCCTTTGTTCTTGTTGGTTGCCTATCTAACATCTTCTCTTATCCCCCAGCTTCCCATAGGTACCCAAATTTTGGTTTTAATGTCCGTGTACTTCAGGGGAAGTTAACACACCGCCAGATCTAGATGTGGGCCCTAGGTGGCTTAGGCTAGTTCAACTATTCCCTGCCCCTGTTCAGTGCTGAAGGACTTGTGAACTCTCCAGTCAGGTAGAGATTCAGTATTCTTGTTTCCTTCTACATTCTGGTTGATTTGGCCACTCTGAGAGATGCCAGCCTTAAGATGGAGCTGATTTCAGGGTGCCAGGAGAAACTAGGTTCTGTGTATGACAATGTGAGCCACCACATCAAACCACCTGTGGGGCCACCCATTTCACTTTAGGCTCCAAGTCACTCTATTTATAAATTTCGCTTATTTAACTAGTCCTGTTGTTTACTAATAGTTAACACTTATCTAGTGCTTACCATATGCCTTATAATACCCTATAAAGTATGTACTGTTATAATTTCCATTTTATAGATACGGAAGCTGAGATAGAGAGGTGAAGAGACTTTGTCAAAGGTCATACAGTTAGTATTAATAAATAGCTGGCTAAGAGTCAGACCCAGGCAGTTTGGCTTCAGAGTCCAGATTTGAGTTGGATATTTTTGGTACTTGCAACTTAGTGCGTCCCAAACAGTGTGTCTCCTTATGTGTTTGCTTTCACATAAGTTGGCTTAACCTGACACACATGGAGACTTTTGCAGAAATTATTTTGTGGACAGTGTTGGAGGATCGTATTCTCACATTATGTCCACTAAATTTGGAGACAAGAAGAAATGTACACATTTCCTCTATAACTAATATGCAGAAAATATTCAAGAAGCTCTGACCAACGCTGACTCCCATTGTGGGGGAAAAGTGTGTCGTAAAGGAACATAATTTTTAACTTAATTGCTAGGGATTCATTCACATTTCTGGTAAGTCTAAATAGTGTATTTAACAAGTCCTACTGGATACCTATACAGAGCCAGTACTACCCTGGGCATTAGTGACATAAGGATGCTGACAGCCTACCCTTGAGGAGACTCCAGTCCTCCATGGGGAGCAGGAGAAAAACTGCTGAGTTGCCTAGGAACGTGGAGGCATGCTTCACAGACCAGCATCTTGAGTTTCCAGGGAGAATGAAGATATTTTGTGATTTCATTATGTTCTTTTGGAGTGGGTGGGTGGGTGGGATAATATGCAAGGGATAATATTGTAGGCAGAGGGAACAGCATGGTCAAAAGCATAGAAGTATGAAAGCAAGACTTGTTCAGGGATCCGTGAGGAAAAGAACTGCAGTAATTCAGAACATGAATTGGAAAATACTCACACTGAGGAGGAATGGGACCCGATGGTGAAGGATTACTGTGCTTTAGTGTTAGGTGTTGTCCTGTGGATGTGCTGAACTGTTAAAGAATGTGAGCAATGGTGTGATATGTATGATCAGATATGCAATTTAAGAGGTCACCCTGGCAGCATTGTGGGGGATGGCTTTAAGGAATGAGACAAGACAGAGAACATTTAAAAATTTAGGTGAGAACACAGTGAGGTTGTATAGTAGAGAAGAAAGCTGTTAAAAAGGCTAGACAAAAGGAAGGATTTTTTTTTCTTACTAAGATTATATAAAAATATACACACGTGTATAGATGTATATATTTGCTATATATAATGCATACTATATATGTATGATGCATATTATATATAATATATATTATGCATATATATAATGCATATGTAGCATATAGAGAGAGAGAACAAATAATACAGAGAGAGCAAATAATTTTCCCAACCTTTCAGTCATTGAGGATCACTTTCATTTGTCGTTTCCCCCACCTTCCTTAGGCTTAATGTTTGGAAAGATTGTCTGTCAAAACAAATTAAGTCATTTGTTTTCTTTTTTTTTTTTTTTTTTGCTTTGGCATGTAAAGCTAAGTGTGCTATCAAAATAAGTGCCTGAAAATAATACTAATATTACTTAAGTGAAAGATCTTTTAATTTCCCTTGAGATATTATTGTGGGAAAATATGCCATTTCTATCAGGCTTTTTGAGATATTTGAAGATCCCCATCACTTCTTTTATGGGCTTCATTGTAATAGTTGATTAACAGAATTATGCTTATTACTGTTCAGTTTAGGAAGGATATACCAGACCTGTGCTTTGGAGAAATATGTTTTTAATCTCTAATGTAAGACAAGTGATAATTTCATTTTCCCAAGTACCTATTGTCATTAGCCTTTGCTTTGCCTCTGTAATCAAATAAATAGCGTGAGTATGGTGGTAGCAGAAAATAATGCCAAAGAAGAAGGGGGAAGGGTTGAGTCCAAACAGCACAGGGTGCAAAACCTCGGTTAAAGCTAGAGAAGGCGATTCATTGGTTGAGTTAACAAAGAACAAAACTTTGAAAAACAGTCCGTGGTGTACTATGCTGTGTGCCATCCAAGTGAATCTTGTTGGAAGCCTCTCAGGCTTTCCAACTGAAGAAAAGCCTTATATTTCAGGAGAAGGCTCTGTAACCAGGCTTCTCATCTGTTCAGTCTGAGTTTGCATGGGGCAGCAGCACAGGCCCAGGCCTCTCCACTAGGGCCCTTATCTGTATTACTTCCCACCCTTGCAATTCTTTCTTCTCCCCATACATGCTGTTAACCTCCCTTCATGGAATCTTTCCTGAATGCCATGCTCCTCCCAGTTCTCAGCCTTTTCTCAAATCCCACAGCCTTCATTTTACTGTACAGTTTAGCATTTAATTTAAGATGTAGTTGCATTACTTCCTATTGTTTCTACGCTATTAATTTTGACTCTTGAAAGAGTATAAACTGTCTAAGGGCTAAAATTTAGAAATGGTGTTGAGAGACAAATATGTATGAACTACACTTTAACAAGTGCTAGAGTTCTCAAATACCAGTTGGTTTATGCTTATTCATTGACTAACAGAATACTTATGATCTTTTTCTTGCTTTTTTTTTCTCTTTGATTTAGCAGCTTTCTTTATTCCTGCTAGTCCTATTCTAAAATTATATAGTGAAAGGGTAATTTTTGGCTATAGTGGGTATTTGTGATTTAGGGGATGATGTGCTCAATAAACGTTTATTATTATTGATGTTATTTTTTTATATACTATGATTTACTAATCTGTTCCTGTCTTTTCCCTATTTAGATTTTTCTCATTTTTTACTTTGATAAATAACACTTTAGTGAGTACTTTTGTTCAGAAATGTTGAATGCTTTGTTTGAATTATTTCTTATCCATTCGCTGCAAGTGGGATTATTGGGTGAAAAGGTATGAACATCTCTATGACTCTTACTACAAAAAAAGCCAAATTGGTTGCAGTGATTTATAATGCTAACCACAGCTTATGATTCGATTTCACTAATTTTTCTCTTTATTGCAATAGAAAGTTCTTTGCTGGTCTTTTTATATTCTCCCTTTTCTATAGCTGAGTACTACCCACATAATGTTTTTCGTTAGAGTATGATGAGCATTACTTGGCACCAATGCAAGTCCACTTTAATTGGAAGGTTCTTTTTTTGTTCCTAACCCCGAGGTTAACCTCATTGGTTAAATACAGAAGTTAAATAATCTGTTAGCTGCCAACAGGAGAAAAACACCATTTATTTAGATTTCAAGATATGATAAAATAGCATAGATAGTGACCACTACATGTTTGCAAACAACAGTGCTTCCACTTGCTTTCCATGATATGAAGCCAGTTATGTTTCTTGCTAGTAAATACAGTAACACATACTGTATATCAAGCTCTGTTCAAAGTGCTTCACATATGAGTAACCCGTTTAATAAACTTCACATGAATCTCAATTCAAAGGTGAGCAAAATTGATCAAAGAAGTACAGAGACTTGCCCAAGGGTACCCAGGTGGGAAGTGTCTGAGCTTGGGTTCAAACCCAAGCTGTTTGGCTCCAGAGTCCAAGCTCTTAACAGCCTATTATGCTGCCTACTGCCATACAGTATTTCCTCTTTCAAAACTTAGCCTTTCTGTTGATTCAACAACTAGCCTGCATTTCAAGTGACATACACAGCCACTTACAATTGTATAGTATAATAATGTTACAGTCAGATTACAGTTTCTTAGCTTGCATTTGGTAATTAGCTTAATGGTTTTCCCCTTACCAAATTTATAAAATATGCTTCAAATTAAAGCTATTTTTACTAAAATTGCTATGATTACACTGTTTACTGATCAATTTTCAAATTACATATCAACCATGCTTTCCAGTTATTTTGTTTGCAGTAAAAGCATTTTTTTACAGCTACTCTAATTTGTTACAAATGTACAATACAATAAAAGCATATTCTGCGTGATTCTGTAAAACACATTGTGGTCTTTAATAAGAGGACTATTCACCCACACATTAGTATGCAAGATGAGATATTCCTTTGTTGCTGAAAATTACTGTTATTAATTGCCCAATATGCTTTGTTTGCCTTAAATGAATTTTGCATTATTTCCATAAATTATTTACTGTGTTAGTGATTTATTTTGAATTATTTTCTACTTATATATTCCCTGTAAGTGGGATTATTGGGTGAAATAATAATTTACTATTATTTTAACCCAACCACCTAAATTTTTCAGCTACTCAGATTTTATCCCCCATCTTCTTGGTCTTCTCTGCTTATGGTGAATAGTGACTATTCTCCTTTTTTTGGATTGGAGAGAAACTTTAAAACTTAGAGCAGTTTTTTGTTTTTTTTTTTAAGTAAAGTAAATATCAATGTTGGTATAGCCAGAGATAGGAAACAGTGAATTAATGAATGAATGTATCAAGCAGTCAGTCAGCTTCTTGTTTGGATTATCTGTATTAGAGAGGACTTACTCTGTTGCAAGTGGCAGAATTAACATAATTAGCTTAAGATAACTTGCTGGCTCACTATATGAGAATTTCTATGGATGGTTTCTGGCTTCAGATAGCTAGATGCAGCAGTTCAAATGATGCAATCAGGATTCTTTCTGAGCTTCTCTTTCCTCTGTGATGATGTCCTTCTCAGGAGATTTCTTACCATGTGGCATCAAAGATGATTGCCAGCAACTCCAGGCTCATATTATTTTCACAAAGAGCAATACAAAAAGAAGAGCAGCTCTCTCCTTCCCAGCGTTTATATCACAAATTTCATGGAGGAATTCTGGTTTTGCTTGGGTTACATGTTCAGCATTTAGACCAAGCACTGTGGTTGGAGAATGAACCCTGTTTGGCCAGCTGTGAGTTACATCCCTCTCCTACATCACCCCCATCAGCCAGGGTGGGGACAACACACTGTGATCAATAGCCCCACTGGAAAGATGGTGCCAGGCAGACTAAAACAGATGTCCTCTACCTTCCATTCTTTGGTCAGCCAGCACACATTTCAACCCATACACCCATACGCACTGTCTTTCAGTACATAAAATTTCAAAGGAGTAACCACTTAATATAATGCCACTTTTCCATTTACAACCAACAATACGCTTAACTTCCCTACCCAAAAGTAGACTTCTTAAAGTTTAGCTCATTTGCTACATCTGGCTCCGAGGCCTAGATCTCTGTATGAGTGTATTTTTATTAATCAGTTGTAGATATTCCTTCTCATGACCTGGCAACTCATGACTAGTTTTTATTTTTTTTATTTTTGAGACAGAGCCTTGCTCTGTTGCTCAGGCTGGAGTGCTGTGGCACAGTCATTGCTCACTGCAGCAATGACTTGAGCCCATCTCCTGGGCTCAAGTGATCCTCCTGCCTCAGCCTCCTGAGTAGCTAGGACTACAGGCATGTGCCACCATGCTCAGCTATTTTTTTTTTTTTAAACTTTTTTAGTAGAAATGGGGTCTCGCTGTGTTTCCCAGACTGGTCTCCAACTCCTAACCTCAATAAATTTTCCTGCCTCAGCCTCTCAAGGTGCTGGGATTACAGATGTGCGTCACTGTGCTTGGCTTTGACTCTTGTTTTAATGAACAATCTTTCCCACCCAAATAACCTGATAGCTAATACTTATATCCATTATCTCATTTAACCCTTCCAATAATCTTAGGCGGCCAATACTACAGATGTTACAGATGAAGAATCAGATTTAGAGGTCAGGTAACTTACCGAAGGTCACACAGCAGGTGTTGTGGAATCCAGATTAAGATCCAGATTTGACTGATTTGAGAAAGGGTTATTTAACCCTTAAATCTATCTTCTTAATCAGTAATCTGTTTGTATTGTCTCTAAACATGAGGTTAAGCCATATCAAAGGCGATCTTAGCCTTTCCACAGTGCCTCATTTATCCACCAGAGCAATGGTTGGAAGGTAGGAAAGAGACGGCAACAAAGAATCTGATGTTCTTTCCAGAGTATTTGGCTCCAGATGGTTGATAGATGTCAACTACTTTCTTTATAGGTAAAATGGTAACTGTAAAACAGGCCATGAAACAGAGTGTTCAGTTTATCTCTCACCTTAAGTGAGAAAAGTAAATCTGTGGCTCCTAAATGTTTTGTTTTGTTTTTAAATAAATAAATGACCCTTAAAAAAAAAAAAACCCTCATAGTACAGAGTATGCAAGCAAATTAAAATAGTTGTTTCCAGGTCAGATTTTATATTTTCAGGTACTGTTATCAAAATAAAGGACTCTTCAGGAACAAGCAGGTGGGGATTGTGGAAGTGTATTTATGTGAGAAGTTTGGCTGTATACTGCAGTAAATATTTAAGTTTTAAGAAGTTAAACTTCAAAGCTATTCCAAAGCCAGAGGCCACACACATTCAAGAGGTTGAAAATTGTCTTTAAAGTTCAAGCCAGATTTCTGAGTTTAGCACTCAGTTGCTAATCTTTAGCTGGAAAATATGTATTTAGTAAGAATTGTATTATTAAATAAAAAACAGCTGGATGGTAAAAAGTAGCCCATAGTGTCTCTATATGGAAACCTGTGGAGCACTAGTTCTCAACCATGGGTAATTTTGCCCCCAGAGAACATTCTGGAATGTCTGAGGGCATTTGGGATTGTTACAACTGATGGGAGAGGGGCTCCTGGCAGCTAGTGAGTAGAGGCCAGGGCTGCTGCTGAACATCCTACAATGTGCAGGACAGCCCCCCACCAAAAAGAATATTTGGCCCAAAATGTCAGTAGTGGCAAGTTTAAAAAACCCTTCAGTAGAATCTTCATGTATAGGAAGCCAAACAGCTAACATTTAATGAGCATATACTATGTGCCTGTCATTGGAGATTAAGCAAAATATGTAGCTAGTGAAGTGACCCTCCTCTGAGAAGAGCTGAGTAGAGGAGACAGACAACTGAGGAGTACTTACAAGGAGTATTGCACAAGTAGATTATCCACACAAGGAAAAACTTCTTACTGAGCATGAGTTAGTCACAGCACCAGACCAGATCCAGGGAGAGGGGAAATAGATCCCACCTCTGAATGGGAAGCATGAGAGTGAGTTTGCAGGTTTCCTTAACATACCATAAGTACCTAACAGTGCCTGGAACATGGTAAGTTTGTAGTAAATGCTAGCTATCATTAGCACTATTATTTTGCCTTTTCTGAACAGTAAGTGAGTCTTGGCAAGGAAAACTCTTGCCTGGGATAGATGGATGGATGGACAGATGGAAGGAAATTACATCTCTTTCTTCATTTAGATGTTTCCTTAAATATTGACTCATTAGAGATGCTTCCCTTGATTACCCTATATGAGATAGCATCCACACCACAACCATATCTCCATCAACTCTATCAAGTACTCTGGGCCTATTTTTCTTCATAGTACATGTCACCATCTATATCATATGCTTATTGTCTGTTTCTATTAGAGCAGGGTATTTTTGTTAGTGCTGTTAGTGTACTCAGCACATACAGCAACATTTGGCAGACAGGTGTTGAATGAAAGAATGAACAAAAACAGAACTCATTTTACTAAAGACATTTTGATATCACTTTTGGGATAGGATACTATACATTAAAGATGATACAGTTTATTCCAGAATGATCTTAGCTACAGTATTCATAGCACAGTATTTGTGTACTTAATACTGTTATCCATTATATCTTCCTTTGAGGTTGGCATGAGAGTTGCCCATCAGAGTATGTGTGCTCTTAGAAATCGGGACAATATTATCGTTTTAAGCTTCTTGGCAGTGTGATATGTCCTTAACTAGATGGTGAACTCATATAGGTGGAGGGGGAGTATCTAATGCTTTTGTATTCTGCTTTTCAGCAAATAAATATTACCGTACTGTGTGTGTAACACGAGCTGTATAAATGTGTGATGATTAAATTAGAAGATAGGATTCTCTACAATCCAGTTTTCCAAGATAAATTTTTGCCTTGTTTTTGTTAGGTGATGAAGATACCATATTGACTGTTGATACATGCCTACTTAGTCATGCTTCGCTTACAGTAATCTTAACAAATTACCAGCTTTTTACTTTTTAAGAGACAGTCCTAGAATTGAAAATCCTCCTTTGCCTACATTCAATATGAGACTATATTATGTGGGTAGGAAACTTCTGGTGACCTACTTTTAATTTTAAAATTAAAAAAATACTTACCTTAGTTTTAGATTCAGAAAACAGTTGCAAAGGTGGTATAGAGAGTTTCTGTATACCACACCGGCACCCAGTTTCCCCTGTTGCTAACATCTTACATGATTATGGTATATTTGTCACAACTAACAAATCAGTATTGATACATTATAACAAAACTGCATACTTTTAGGGGTAGTGGACCCAGTTTTAAAGCTTTTTTCCCACAATTTGTTAAAAATGACAATCAGTATTGAATGCCCATGGGTGGTGGCTTCCTGATTCTTAAAAGAAATGGAATAATTTTGTAACCATTGGGACTTATCAGGAAATAAGGAGCTTATAATAATGTGCACTTAAAGTTCCAGTGGGGGAATTGTATAGCTCAACATATTGTTTTTGTAAGTTGGATATTAATAAATAAAGAGGCTGGGTGGGGTTTGATCACTATTAAAACTGATTTTTTTTTTGTTCCCTGGAAAATATGTTACTACCACATGGTCTACCCTTCGAAGATAATAGATCCTAAGATCATTGGACAGGAAAGGGTTGCCCTGTAGTAAGAAATGTGTCCTCCTGGGACTGAGTTGAGATTTAGTTTAGGATACAAAATAAGTAGCCAATGGCTGTTGTGAGGCTGACTTCTAAAATTCAAATTGGTATAAATTTAATCTAATTCTTTTCCCCAGGACTGCCCAATTTAAGATTAAGTTTTATACTGGTGCATATTAGAGATATGGCTATTTTGCCATTTCATTGGAGCCTTTTAATCAGCTTTAATGCTGTCTTGGGTAAAGTAAAAACTTAAACTCTTTCTTTAAGGGCTTTTCTAGTTTGCCATCCTCAAAGCAGAAAAAGCAGCAATGAAGCAGTGCTGCTTCGTATCGACTCTGCTTTTATTACATTTGCTTCAATAATCCTCTTCCAGTCATCTTCTGTGCTGCATATTTGAGCCATAAAATAAGCAAAAATTGTACCCAAATGAAAATTTCAAGTTATTTTAATGAAGCTCTGGAAACATCCCACAGCTCAGAAGATATTTTTTTCTAGTTTATTTTTTAAATTCTGGAAAGTAGGTCAGTAGACATACCCTGCTTTAATTGGTTTAATTAGAAGTGAAAAATTATAGGACTAACTCAATTTGAAGTACAGATTTAAATAAGAATTACACTGGGATGAATATTACTTAAGGGTTTGAATTTAAGATGCATTTAATCAAAGCTTATAATTTCTTCTTGAAAAGATTTATATTGCAAAAAGGAAGACTAAGTGTTGGAATATATCAATATATAGGGGAAAATTTTGTCATGAAATATAATATTTGATAAAATCATTTTAGAATTGTATCTCTAAATGGTATGCCTAAGAATATTGTTCTATAGGACCTTAATAGATATGCCTTGGGGGAAAAAAGTATTGTGTGCCCAAGTAAGTTTGAGATATACTGCATTAAATATAAGAAGTTGCCTGCAACACTTCTCAGAGCCTTTAACACTTTCTGATTTCTAAGAGAGGACATATATAGGGTACAGTACTTTGCAAACCTATTTATCCCTGTACCACCTAGTAACATTTTTCAGGAAAATGTTTTGAGCACACAAATTTGACCTGTTTTAGGAATTCATACCTTTGACAATGTTGAGGACCTTTTTTTTCTATTATAAAGATGATGTGATATTCACCTATATTACTTTTTCCCAATTCTCTATCTTTAAGATATTTTTCCAATGTATTATATTCAACCCTCTGCTCAGTCCCTTCCTTCTGCTAAGTAAAGTGGTGGTTTCCATCTGTTGCTACACATCAGAAATACCTAGCTCTGACCCTGGAGATTCTGTATGAATAGAAATGCCAGAATACCTGCTCAGGATTCTGTGTTCATTACAAACACCCAGGTGATTCTGATGCAGCCAACCCTGGTCCTCCAACTGATGCTTTGGAATTGTTGAAGGAAAAGCATGCGTGTTTTTTTTTTTTCAAGATGGATGAGTAGCTTGGGGCATAGTTTGTGGTCCTAGAACACATGGGTTAACCATCCATCCTAGTGAGAACGATAGCACAGGCCTCCAATGACCCCATGAGGTGATGTACTGGCTATAACCTAACATGAGATGATTATTATTAAGAAAAGCAGAATACTTCTAAATGGGCTTTTAGCCACCTTCCTAATAATGAAGTACCGTATATATGATTACCATTTGTTTTAGTTTCGAGTAATTCCCTTGTAAATGATGTTTTATTTATTCTTTAAGAAGAATACTAGATTATATTTTCTAAATGTGCCAAGTATCTAAGAATATATTCTTTCCCCTCCTGCTGATAAGAGTTATACATTTAACCTTAAGCAAATCGGCCAAGATTCTATTTCATTTATGCTTTGATTTATGTGAGTATTAATGTATTTTCTGTGAAAATTGTATGGTTATATATACTCTCCACCTAGTAAAACAGTTCCATATTCCTGGAAATAGTCTTTTACGTCCTACAAATGTAGCTGGAAAGGAATAATATAAATACTAATGGTTTGACAGACGACTAGTCTTGACTTGTCTTGGTTGAATAGTGTTCTATTAGCAACAATATATGAAATACTAGACACACCCATTAAAAGTAGAAAATACCCACTACTGTTTTAAAATTATTCTGCAAGATCTCACTAATGCAATGAGACATAAAACAGAAATAATGGGTGTAATTATTGAAAATTGGAGATAAAATTTCTATTACTTGCAAACAAAATTCTCTATGTCAAAAACCTGATAAGTTAAACAATACAGTTAATATGTTTAATAGAACTAATTAGATATGAGAGGCATCCAAAATCCATTTTTTCTATACAAACATGGTTTGATATATACAGTCTTGTTTTATCTGTGTATTAATTGGCTTATGAAATAATAGAAAAATCAAGTATGCATTATTAGGTTAAAGAAGCAGGAGAGACAGAGCTATAAAAACTAAGAAGAATGTTGTAAGGAGGGCTTAGCAACCAGGATAAATGTTGTAGAGAGATCAATTAAAGTGATGGCCTAGAGATCATGGGCTTCCTTTGGCAGAGCCATGTTGGTGAAGTGAAGGAAGTGTAAGCCAGACCACAGTGGTTGAAGAATGAATGTAATGTAAGAGCCAAGACATTTATTTGAGTTTGATAGTTATGAAAAAGAACGAGAATTTTCTTATTGCTGTTGTTTTTGCCATTTCATGTTCAAAACCCTTTATCTCCCATGTGGGACTGAAAACTCCTCCAAGACAGGATCTCTGTTTCTGTGAGGCCTGTAGTACTTAGTACATCCTTGAATGTGTGAGGCTCTCATTGGTTATAAGTTTAATTCCTGACTGTGGATGAAAGCTTTAAAACTTTGTGGGCAAAATACAGAATGAATTTCAGTGAGTTCCCATGTATTAAATAAGGTGGTGCTGGCTGGAGATATGCTGTCCCTGTGCCCACAATAGTAGTGGTGCTGTGCTTATCTTCCTGACGCGCTCTTCGCAGTCTTCACCGCCTTTCTTCAGGAGTCTCCCCTTTGGCTTTTTCACAGCTATGAAACCCACGTAGTCGAACACCGTGATGCTTCTCCTGCAGGGCGTGTGATGAGGAGGCGAGCTTGGCTTTGGAGTGCTGGGAACCTGAGGAATTGCCAAGGACCCAGAGCCCAGCCCTGACCACCAGAGTGCCCAAAACACAATGAACAAATTGAATTTTCATAACAACAGAGTCATGCAAGACCGCCGCAGTGTGTGCATTTTCCTTCCCAACGATGAATCTCTGAACATCATCATAAATGTGAGTAGATCCAGTTTTAGAAATGTCTAAATATTGTGTTTTCACCAGTGGCCACATTCAACTTATGACTTGATTAAGGGTGAAATCTTTACAGAATTAGGGCAGTAATCATGTGGCAGAATTGGGTTGTCAAATAGTCCATACATACATTAACTTAGCTTTGTGGCTTGTGTGCAGCTGCCTTCAACATTCTCTCACCTGGGTTAGAATTAGAGGACTATGGTTACTATATTGAAAAACAAACATTTGCTATTTTTAAACTTTTGATCGAAATATAACTTTTATTGAAGTATATGAATTTATGTCTTAAATGCTTAGAGTTGTCACCCACACACATGAAATGGTAATCATCGCTATTAGGTTGGTGCAAAAGTAATTGTGGCTTTCGCCATTGAAAGTAGTATCAAAGACTACAATTACTTTTGCACCAACCTAGATAGTTTTTTTTGTTTTTTGTTTTTGCTTTTTGAGACAGAGTCTCACTCTGTCACCCAGGCTGGAGTGTAGTGGCATGATCTCAGCTCACTGCAACCTCTGCCTCCTGGGTTCAAGCGATTCTCCTGCCTCAGCCTGCCGAGTAGCTGGGATTACTGGCACGCACCACCACGCCCGGCTAATTTTTTATATTTTAGTAGCGACGGGGTTTCACCATATTGGCCAGGCTGGTCTCGAACTCCTGACCTCAGGTGATCCGCGTCAGCCTCCCATAGTGCTGGGATTACAGGCGTGAGCCACCGCGCCCAGCCTTAGATAGCTTTTTAATATGCATCTTGATTTTATCTTAAGAGTAGCCAAAATCTAGCCAATTTCCAGGACTAGGTGCCTATAGGCTGAACATTTGAGCACTAAGCTGTTGCTTATGGTTTGTGAGTCATAGTCAGCTTGCTTAGATAACCTGAACATTGAGGAATGTGATTTTTTTTTAACTTTAAAAAAATTGAGTTATAATTTACATACTGCAAAGTATAGAAACCTTATGTGTGCAGCTCAATGAATGTTTACAATTGTATACATCCATGTAACCATCACTGTTTGAGATATAAAACATTTCCAGCACCCTAGAAAGGTCCTTTGTGACCCCTCCTAGTCAATATCCTTCACCTAAAGGGTAAAAACTATTCTGATCTCTTGTCACCAAAGTTTTGCTTGTTTCTTAACTTCATGAAGCTGAAGTTATGTGATATATTCTCTTCTGGCTTCTTTTACTCAACATTTGTCCTGTGAAATTTATTCATGTGAATCCATGTGACAATAATTCTTTCTTTTACATTGTTGTGTGATATTCCATTGTACGAATACACCCAATCTATTCATCTACTGTTGATGGATAGATATTGAGTTTTGGGCTATTGTAAAACTGTTATGAACATGTTATGTGTATGCACATGTAGAAATATTTCTTGGTTTATACTGAAGAGTAATTGTGAATCATAGGTTACACTATGTTTAGCCTTGGTAGAGACTGCCAAACAATTTTATGGTAATCAGTGTCATGCCTAAGATTTTTCAACCCCTCTCTGTGTTATCAACTTTCATACTGTTTCTTTCATAGATTGTATTCTGATGGAATTAGAGGAAAAAATTGCCTTAGTGCATGACTTGAATTAGTTTCCTATATGTTACTATATTTTTATTTATTTATTTTGATTTTGATTTTTTTTTTTTTTTTTTTTTTTTGAGTCAGAGTCTTTCTCTGCTGTCCAGGCTGCAGTGCAGTGGTACAATCTTGGCTCACTGCAGTCTCTGCCTTCCAGCTTCAAGCGATTCTCCTGCCTCAGCCTCCCGAGTAGCTGGGACTACAGGTGCCTGCCACCACACCTGGCTAATTTTTGTAATTTTAGTAGAGATGGGGTTTCACCATGTTGGCCAGGCTGGTCTCAAACTCCTGACCTCACGTGATCTGTCTGCCTCAGCCTCCCAAAGTGCTAGGATTACAGGCGTGAGCCATTGTGCCTGGCTATGTTACTATATTTTTAATCCAATTGCTATATAAAAGAATATTTCTAAATATTATGCTGAAATATATGACATTTAAATAACTTCATTAAAAAGTTTAGCTAAGAAAAGTTTCTGCTTATTGCTATAGTCATTTTGGCTTTATTCTGACAATCAACCCAATTTCTTAATTTACTGCTGTATCCTCATTTTTGCTTCTAGGGATTGTCTGAGGATCCAACAGGCCTGCCTATTGGATGAACTTTGTCATCTTTTGGGCAGAATTTCCAATGATTAGCTACATTGCTGCTCAGGGTAACTGAAATTGTTTTTGGATGTGTGAAGTGGTGGGCTACTATTTTGACAGCATTTGGTTTTTTAAACTGAATAAAAATCGACAATGTGTCTCTTTTTTCAGTGGGGGCACTAGCAATATAAGTTATAATTGAATCCTACTTACATATGTGAATATTTTGTTTTACTTTTTATACAGTTATATAAAAGATATCCAATAATTTTTAAAAATATACATAATCTAGGACATATAGCATAAGCACTTAAGAAACTTCTCTCACTTTCATTTGTCTTTTTACGTGGTGCAATGTGTGTGTGTGTGTGTGTGTGTACACACACAAGCAGGTTGTGGAACAACACCTTACCACATTTAAGTGAAGGGAAGGCTAATCTGACAGTGAAGAATACTGAAAGCTGACTATAATTTTCAAATAAATTAATTTATACTAAAATCTCAGCTGAGGAAGATAGTTATAGAGAACAGACTGGAAGATAGCTAGTTCATTTGTTCCTATGGATCAGTGGTTTTGAAACTTGAATATATATCAGAATTATTTGGAGCAGCTTACTAATATTCAGATTGTGTAGTCTATGGCCATACTACCCTGAATGTTGCCTGATCTCATGTGATCTCAAAAGCTAGGCAGGGTCAGGCCTGGTTAGTACTTGGATGAGAGAAATGCCGATGTAGTGAGTCTGAGGCAGGATGCAAGCATCTGCCCTAAATAGATGCTATAGATACTCTAAAATTTGAGCGAAACAGGCAAAGATCTATGTGCCAGCACCACCTAGTTTCTTTCACTCTCTGGAATTCTGGTTACTCGATTGTGTTTCAACTTGCCCAGTACCTGGTACCTAGTGGGTACTGAATTTGTATTAGCTTCATTTCTGTCTTCCCTCTATAGAATAATCGAAGAGTAGTATGGAAGTGAAAACACATGGATATACTTAAAACACACAGACCTGAATTCAAATCTCATATCTGAATGACTTTGGGAAAGTTAATTATACCTCTTCCAGCCTCAACATCTTCACCTTTAAAATGAGAATAATACTTACGCTGCAGGGTGATTGTGAGAATTTAGGATTAACACTCAGCATAATTTCTGATGCATATATAATAGCTGCTATTATCATTTTAATCCCTAGGCAGAGATAAATTATACTTTTTCAACTCTTCTCTTTTACAGTGTTAGTATGATAATCTCTCTAACATGGTTAGGACTATGATCATGGACTGTGAGGTCATATATCACGATTAAGGTGGGTTTTGGAGTCACAGGTACCTGGGTTGAAATCCCTACTCCACAACTTTGCAATCTAGGGCAAATTTTCTAGTTGTTTTGTTTTGTTGCTTTGGTTTCCTCATTTGTGAAGTAGGGATAATCTTACCCTCTGCACAGGGACATTGCAAGGATTTAAAGATGTCACATGCATGAAGTATTCAGTGAAGTGCCTGCATATGTGAATTGCTCAGTAAGTGAACCCTTGAGTGTCAGTTTACTTTTTAGTTCCTTGAACTGTTTGTTCATTTCATTAGTGTACTCTGTTAATAAACCAAGATGAAGAGTCTGAATCCCATGTAGGCCTGCAAGATTTCTTATTTCAGGGCAGGTCTAAGGTAGGACACAAGCATGTAGACTCACTATGCCCAAACTCCTCTCCAGTAAGCGGTTGGACCAAAGAAGGGACTAGGTTACGTAGGATGGAGGCTTCCCCACTACCAGAAAAACAATTCATGGCTGCCAAGAGGCCCTCCCTTTTTACAAAGTGTTATCTTTGTGTTCAGAAAATAGCAGTCAATGTGTATAGAGTTTGAGTGTAATAAATTAACTGTAGCAAAAACGATTTTATTAACTAATTTTTTCATAATTTCTCTCTCTATAACAATGAAAGTTTGTTCCCTGACAGGTGTGGTTGATAGAATGTTGCCTTTTTGCATATGGAATAAATTTAGTGTTTTGGTCATTCTGAATTCCCTGTGAGTTGCATTAATAGAAGCTATTTTAAATGATTTTAATCATCAGGCAAATATGGAAGCTTTGGACAATTTTGGAAGTAAAACCATTGTAAATGTAGGAGCCATAAAGATTTGAGTGAAGTAATTGTGGCCACGAGCTTATATGTCTTCACTAAGATTAAGCAATTCTTTTTTTCTAGAGTATATTTTAAACATTCCTGCACAATAACAAACCATTAACATTTAGGATCACATACTATTTTAATTTAAAAGTCCATATAGAGGCTGGGTGAGGTGGCTAACACCTGTAATCCCAGCATTTTGGGTGGCTGAGGCAGGAGAATCATTTGAGGTTAGGAGATTGAGACCAGGCTGGGCAACATAGTGAGACCCCTGTCTCTACATAAAATTTAAAAATTAGCCAGGCATGGTGGCACTGCCAGTGGTCCTAGCTACTTGGAAGGCAGAGGTAGCAGGATTGCTTTAGCCTGAGAGGTTGAGGCTGCAATGAGTTGTGATCGTGCCACTGCACTCCAGGTTGGGCAACGGAGTGAGACCTTGTCTCAAGGGAAAAAAAATAGTCCATATAGAGTATATTTTTAGATAAAGCTTTAATTCTTATTCTTAATACCTCATACTATATAGCACTTTTTAACATTCCCATTGCTCCTGAAGATTAAAGAACTTGAGAAATTTTACAGTCAGCTAAAATGTAGCCTTAAAGACTCATAATATGCAAATACAGAAAACTCAAGCTTATTTTCACAGCAGGCAAGACTTCAGAGCCATGGCCTTATTTAATTATAGTTTTTGAATAAGAGCACTGCTTACTTGATATTTGTTAAAGAGCTTTACCAGTAGGCTTCAAATACTTGATTTAAACTAGCAGAACAATAATAAATGTATGGGCTGCATGGAGGAAATATATAACGTTATTTGGTCTACAGTCACACGAGCCTAAAACAGTTTATTTCCTATACATTTAGTTTGTGGTTTGGAATTTTAACTTCTTATGGCATTTTATCTTGGCTGCCTTGTACCCAACGTTTTTAAATACAGTCAAACTAAGGATTAAAGGTGCTGTAAACAACATGACATTTTAAGTCACAAATTTGTAGTATATAGTTCAACTTAAGAATTTTATGTGATAATTGATGTGTTCTCCTCTTCTTTATCATTGTTTAAGTTTATTTGTAAGGTAGAATTACGATGATAATGGAACTCAAAATCCAGAGGCCTTTTAAAGTGAGTGTTGGAAATGACATAGGACTTCTATAGGACAGAAATCTAGAATGTCAGGTGATTCAACCTAGCTGTACACAAAGAGAATGATAATGATTCCCCATTGGCAAATGTGTTCTCCAGTGGTGGTGGTGGGTGGGTTTGCATTTATACAGTTTTCCTAAAATGCTGAATGGCATATTTATAAAATGGTTTGCTCAGTAATTCAGGGAGTGGTCTTGATCTCTAGTCATGGAACAGAATGAAGGTGAGCAGGAGCCCACAGGGAATCAGATTCCTGCCTTTCATTCATCGAACATTTACTGAGTGCCTACTATAGATCCTGAATGTAAAATAAGACACTGTTCCTGCATGAGTTCCTGGTACTTCCAAGCAGCTCACTTGGTGCTACTTTGGTCTTAAATATCTTCTGCTCTTTCCAGTGGGTAAGATACTTTAGGTTGGTTGCTATTTAATAATGAATGTGGAAAAGAGCAGTAAACCCATTCTTCTTACTACAGTCGGAATTATCACCAGTTCTGAATTGTTTACTTTCAAATTTCAAGGGATCTTGGCGTGTCTTTATTTTCCTAATCTGAGTTTCATATTAAGATATGATAAAGTCATTAATTCAGAGTTAATTTTTAGAATTTATAATAACTTAAACTCATTATCATTGAAAAAAAGGATTTGAAAGCAGATAGTACTAATAAAAGGGGAGAATGCCATATGTAATGCATATAGGTAAAATGATAAACTGTCATGTTACAATATTTTAATATATATATTTAATAATTAAGGTATTTTAATACACAAATAAGCTGTGAGTTGCTGCCTTTGCCACTATTAGTGATATGACTTTAAGCTTTCTGAGTTTTATTTTCAGAAAATAAATTGACCTGGGTGGTTTCTTAAACTCTATCCAAACTCTAATAAACCTTGATGATTCTGAAGTCAACAAGATAGAATCAGCAGAATTACTGTCCTCCATAATACTACTTTAAACATTTGAGAAAGCATTATTATGAGATAATAATTATTATTTGTAATAATAATACAAATATTATTTGTATGAGTTATTATTTATAATAATAATATTGAGAAAGAAAATTGTATCTTTTAAAGACTATCAGTTAACTTTTGACTTGTCAGAATAACTTATTGCCAGAGTTCCAAATTAATATGGCTTTGTGATTGAAGTATACTAAGACTCAGAAAAGGAATCTGGTTTAGGCACTAAAAATATATTAGACAAAATAACAGTGATAAATTAAAAGCTAGGCAGGCTGGGCATGGTGTCTCATCCCTGTAATCCCAGCGCTTTGGGAGGCCAAGATGGGAGGATTGCTTGAGGTCAGGAGTTTTAAGACCAGCCCAGGCAACGTAGTGAGAGACCCTGTCTCTACAAAAAAAAAAAAAAGTCGATTGAGACTCTGTCTTTAAAAAAAAGTCTAGACCAACTCGTTGTACAGTAGATGAGTTTTTGGGGTAGACTATTAAGAGGAAAGCTTTCCTTGAAAGGATACTTGTCCTGAGTAGACGTCCCTCAAAAGAAGATACACCCATGACCAATAGGCTTATGAAAAAATGCTCGGCATCACTAAATAGCAGGGAAATGTGACATCTCACACCTGTTAGAATGGCTATTATCAAAAAGACAAAAGATAACAAGTGTTGACGAGGATGTGGAGAAAAGGGAACCCTTGTACACTGTTGCTGGGAATGTAAATTAGTACAGACATTATGGAAAGCAGTATGGGGGTTCCTCAAAATATTAAACATAGTACTACCATATGATCCTGGAACCCCATTCCTGGGTATGTACCCAAAGGAGATGAAATCATTATGTCAAAGAGACATCTGCACTCCCATGTATATTGCAGTATTATTCATAACAGTCAAGGTATGGAATCAACCTAAGTGTGCACCAGTGGATAAATGGATAAAGAAAATGTGGCACATACACACAGTGGAACACAATTCAGCCTTTAAAAAGAAGGAAATCATGTCATTTGCAATAACGGATGAACCTGGAGGATGTTAGGTTTAATGAAATAAGCCAGGCACAGAAAGACAAACCCTGCATAATCTAAAAAAGTCTGACTCAGGGAAGCAGAGAATAGAATGATGGTTACCTGAGACTGAGGAGTTAGGGGGACTGGGGAGATATTAGTAAAAAAATACAATATTTCAGTTAGGAGGAATAAGTTCAAGAGATTTATTGTACAACGTGGTGACTGTAGTTAATGATGATGTATACTTGAAAATGCTAAGAATAAATTTTAAGTGTTCTCACCACAAAAAGATACATATGTGACATAATGCATATGTTAGTCTGATTTATTCATTCCACAGTATATACATATATCAAAACATTATGTTGTATACCATAAATATATACAATTTTATTAGTCAATTAAAAAAACAAATGAATAAAAATTTTTTAAAAAAGATACTTGCCAAATAAATATTTTTAGTAATCTGAGTAGGCTATGCTGCTTACTTTCTGAAACTCATTTATCATTTATCATGCACCATGGTTTCAGAGCTTTGTCCATGTATGGTAAGATCTGTGAGTCTTGTACTTTATTACCATGTTGTAAAAACTGGTACTGTGATCATCATTACTGAAACACAACCCCAGGTTAAAGTGATTTGGATAAAGCAGCAGTTGTTTTCTACTGTCAGCTTGTCCTTTCAAGGAATATATTTACGATGCATTAAATTGCCTGATTGTGGCTCCCTGGGTGGACTTAGTTGAATTGTTATTTTACGTCGTGCCTTTTTCCCCTACAGGTTAAGATTCTGTGTCACCAGTTGCTGGTCCAGGTTTGTGACCTGCTCAGGCTAAAGGACTGCCACCTCTTTGGACTCAGTGTTATACAAAGTAAGTCTTAGAGCCCTCTCTGATGGATTTAGCCAACTATCCCTGAGGAAATGACATCTTATAGCTATAACTTAAATTGGGCCTATTGTTATAAAACTGTGATTGTCAAAATACCCATGGACTGATTTTCATTTTTAGTGTAGGTGTAGTATTTAATTTTTTAATCTCAATTTCTATGTATTTTTTACAATATTTAGGATTTTAGGCATTTATTTATTATAGTTTGAACTTAAAAATTGATTCCTCTTTGGGAATCTAGATTCTATGTGTTTGCTCTTCCATGTTTTAATGAAGCAAGCTTGATTTTTGTTTCCTTGCATTCAGGGAGCAGCTGGAATACTTAGGAAAGTAATTTAATTTGTTTTATAATTTTTGACATTAAACTGACTTCTCTTTTCAAGTTATCTTGCTATTAACTATATAGTATCACAAAGTAATTATTAATTTAATCTTATTTTTTATTTTTCTCTCGTACCCCTTCTCTTTTTTCCAGTCAGACTATATGACTTGGAAATATCGGGTCAGTTTCTTCTATATTCTTTGTGAGGAGAAGATTTTTAAGTAAAGGACTTCATATAAGCTTTCTTCTCTCATAACACCTTAGTTAGAGTTAAATTTCTGGGACTTCTCTAAAGCCATTTATTATAAGCTTTCTTCCTTCAAATGATATTTTTAAATTTCTCTAATTTAGTCTTCTATATATCTTTGCTCATTTTGTCAAGAAGAGTTTTTTTTGGTGCGGTGTATTTAATTCTAATTCTTGAATATGGTTTATTTTCTACTGCTGGAATTGGTTTAAATTTCAAGGCTTAAGATATCTTGGAAATCTGGTCAATACAATAATATGTTTACACCTGCCAAGTTGGAAAGGATATCAGTATAAAGTTGGTCAGCTGATAAACAAGGCCCCTTTCCCCCAAAATGTAGACTGTTTTCAGTTGCCTTTTTAGGAGAGGCTAAAGAGCATGGAGCAGGGAACACATCAGGACCTTGTGAATCAGCCATTTGCTCTTCAGTTTCTTCCTGTGGTAGTTAAAACAATAAAACACAGTTGCTAAGCTCCATCCTTGTGTTAGTGCATACTTCAGTCGTTCTTTCAGGGAAGAGTCTGAGAGCCATAAGAGGCTCTATAGATTCTAAGTAACTTTTAGTATTCCATGCTCAAAGTTAATTCTTCTTACAACAACTACTGCTAGATCCTTATTGTTCAACAAATAAGTCCAATAAAACCAGTTTATAGCTTCCTTAGGTTTCAAAATAATTTTTAAGATGTCCTTTTTAAAAAAGAGATAGTAGTATGGCGAAAGAACATTGAAACAGGAATTGGTTGACCTGGTTCTAATTCCGGTTGCACCCCTAACTAGCACTTGACTTCTCTCAATGTCAGTTTTTTCGCGTCAAATGGAAATTACTACTCCACCAGCTTTGCAGGATTAATGTGCTTTGAGAATTCTTAAGGTATAAAGCTCTGGTCAGATTGTAGGTGGCAGAGGTATAGTGGCAGTTTAAAAATATATATATGTACTATTATGGTGAACAGTCTTAATTCTATTCATTATGTTGCTTCTTTAGGTGGGAACTCAAGCCAAACACAAATCAGTTTCGACAGGAAGATTGTCTGGTCTTGTTTATTTCATGTTTAATCAGTGATATGAGAGATGGGAGATAGTGTTAGTTGACCTAATAACTGGATTTAAGTAGCATTCCTTTTTTTGTCTCTGGGATCTCTTTTCTAACCCTTTCATTAAAATTGGTTAACTTAATGTCGTTTATAACCAACGAGTAACTTTACCCTTCCTATTTTCTTCTGGCATTTTTCCAGTCAAGTCCCAGTATTCAGCTTGGAGTCAAAGTGTAGCAAAGTGTGCACATCTTTGGAGTAGTCAAAGAGACACACTTCCAGAACAGGTACATTTTTATGCAGAGCTTTCCGTGAAGATGTCTCCTTAGTGATAGTTAGAATAAAAGGAGTTTAAAAAAGACTTGAAACTTTGTACAGTATAGGAATGCCAAAGACTTCTTTTGTGAAATAGCTCTCTCTTTTAAAAGATTATCTTTGGGAAATATGAAAACGTTTGTTTTCTACCAGCTTCTTTTCACGTGTTTAGATCACTTTAACATAGGTTTTAGCGGTCTTATTTTCTGTTCACCTTATGAGCATCATCCCCTGGAAGGGATGTTTTGGCATCCATACTTGTTTTTCATAAAATGTTTCTTCTCTTTTCCATGAAATTGATCCCAAAGGCAGTGCGAGTAAGGGTTTATCATTTTGTCATGCTGTGTTTTGCTGTGTGTGGAACACGGACAAGAAATAGTCTTAAAGATTAGTCTTCACAAAATGTGGGTCAGACTTCTCACTTGGAAATGAGCTGATACCGTGTTTTCTAATTTCTTACATAGCAATTAAGATAGTGTTTCTGCCCTGCTTTATTATTTTGTACCTATAAGAGCAGGCTTCTTTGAGCTGAACAAAAGCATGTTTTCCTAAGACTAACACCCACAGTGTTAGAAGTTAGACTGTAAGTCATAATGACCCTAGAAACTAAGAAAAAGCAGAAGTTGGAATCTAAGATTTCTTCTAAATATTATATACTTTAATAGTATGTGTTCTGTATTGCAAAAGCAAAATAATTCACAAGTATCTCATTAATGTCTAGTTCACAGAACCTTTTGTCTTCTAGTATCTCTTTGGGTTTTCTAGTATGTGCATTCAGACTACATTCACAAGTCTTGAGGCTTTAAAAGAAACTTGTTTCTTTCTATATTTTTTTTCTTTTAAAAATCCTTTCTTTAGCATGTCGTCTCCTTTTTTTTAATGTACAGATAATGAACATGTGTATATGGAGTTGTCACAAAAGCTTTACAAATATTGTCCAAAAGAATGGAAGAAAGAGGCCAGCAAGGTACGACAATACGAAGTCACTTGGGTGAGATTACATTTATAAGCAAAATTATTTTGATTTTTTTTAAAAAATGTTTATTTTAGCTGTTATACATTAGAAGAAAACTGTAAGCAATACTTTATGTACTATACTATATTTTCTACTTTATCTACTAAGTTATATATAGTATATGTATAGTATATATATATATACACTTTAGAACTTATAATTTTCTTTTCCCATTTTCTATATATGCTGAGTATATATATAGTAGTATATATACTTAGTATATATATATAGTAATATGTATAGTAGTATATATAGAAAATGGGAAAATAAAATTATAAGTTCTAAAATGTATATATATATATACTTAGTATATATAGAAAATGGGAAAAGAAAATTATAAGTTCTAAAGTGTATATATATACTTAGTATATATAGTAGAAAATATAGTATAGTATATAAAGTATATATAGTATATATACTTAGTATATATAAAAAATGGGAAAAGAAACTTATAAGTTCTAAAGTGTCACATTAATCAAGTATTAATAGCTTATAGAAAATAATAAATAGAATCTGGATTATCTGTTAAATAATGTTGGATAATAACTTTAGTAATCTTGGAATAATGCTTTTAAATGAAAAGTATGGAAAAATTATTTGCTCTTCTTTTTTGGCTATGCTAGGTGTCAAAATTGCTGTTCTAGAAGTTATTACTAATTTTTAAATCTACTTTTACTGTACTTGCATTTGATGCTTTGTCCATTCATTGTACTGGTGCTTTATTTCACAAACATTAATTTCATTTACATGAGAGAACATTAATAGGGAATTCACCTCGTGTTTCCAGAACCTCCCTAGTAAGTCAGGAATAGTAATCCTAGATCCTCTAATTTGTATTTAAGAAGTCTTGGAGTAAACTAGAAGGCTACTTCAAAGCCAGCTGCAAAGTAAAGAACATGAATGTCTAAATAAACAAACAGCATATTAGAATTTGGTATGTGGAATGTCAGAGGAACAAGAGAACATTTGTAATAAGGAGCAAATGGTCACCACAGGGAACAGAGCTGAGCGAGGAGCTGGGTCTCAGCTAGAAATTTCCACTGGCATTTATTTTTATCTTCCCTTATGTTGTCATTGGCATTACAGTGAATGAAAATCAGATAGAAGGATGGTGCCCTGTTTCGCTTTATAACTTCCTAATTGTATATGAACCTGGTATCTATATAGGACAACTGTCTACCTACTACAAGCCCCTACTCATTATAAGTAAATAAAACCTATCAGTGATCAAAAAGTATCTTGCAAATAATTGTATTTTGGTTGCTTTTGAAACCCATTTTCAAAGTAACTAGAAATAGCTTGATTTTTGTGTGTGCTTTTGTTTCTAGGGTATCGACCAATTTGGGCCTCCTATGATCATCCACTTCCGTGTGCAGTACTATGTGGAAAATGGCAGATTGATCAGGTAAGAGGACAGGGGGTGATTCTAAACGCTTTTTTTTCCCCCATAGCACTTTTTCTAACATACCAAATAAGTTACGTGTGTTTATTCTTTGTCTTCACCTTTAGGATATAAACTCTGTAGGAGCAGCAATTTTTTTCTTTTTAATATTTTGTACGCTGGTATATCCTCAGTCCCTAAAACAGAGATACAATAGGCATTCAGTAAATATTTGTTAAATGAAAGAATGTTAGACTGTTGATAAAAATATTAACAGTATCTATTGGCCCACATTTTCTCCACTCCACGTTTTCATAACCAAATCAGTCTCCAAAAAGATACTTATTTCAAGAAGAAACTAGCACTTTTGTAAAGAGTGAGGAGGTTGATTAAAAGATTATGTTCTTTTCCAGTGGTAAGGTGGGAGTGGGTCAGAGGCAGGAACTCTCCTATAAAAGTGGATGGGTGTTTATATAATCGGTTTTCTTTTCATGTTTGGGGTCTTGTTTATATTCTTGGCAGTAGCCTTAAAACCAAGATTAAGCCCAGTGAAGCTATCCTATCAGAATCTTAGATGCAATTTGACAAGGGCAGGTAATTGATTCTTTTTCTGGAGGTGTGTGCATGAACAGTAGTAGGCTCAGGATGCAAATTCAGAATTCACCATTTCAGAAGCTCGGTCTGTATAGGAGGATTCAGTGCTAGAAAACTTTCAGAAGTGATTTCTTGGCCGATAGAAAATACTAGAAATATGAACTCTGTTTTGCTTATATATTTTTAAACTTTGAGAAGTTCCATGTGAAAGAAACAAAATACATATGGCTAGTGAGTTATATGTAAAATTAGCTCTTGATATTTTTATCAATGCCAGATGCAAATTAAAAAGTAAAAAAATTAGCCCATAAGGATTTTTTTTAAAAAAGGCTAAGACACTTTATTAGTTATCCTTAGTTTACATACAATTTTTACTTATTTTACCTGGTAAGTGTGGCATGACCTGGAAAGAAGGAATATATATATTTAACAAATAGTTAACCCCCTGGGGCTAAGTTTTAATGCATCCCTATACTTCTGCCCCTTTTTCCCAGGCATGAACCAGTCCAAACCATCTGTGGTTGGCATTATAAACAAAAGTGCTCTGAAAAGTACTCTGTCCTAAGGGGGGAAAATTTACATAAATGCTTTATTTTTAAGCTCTTTCTACTTAACCATGGTCTTAGTTTAAATAAACCCATATGTGTTTATTGTTATCTGCTAATGACATCAGCTATGAATCTCAGGTAAACATTCAACCTGAAATAATGTAGAGGCAAATGAGCTCATTAAAATATGTACACACACATTTTTACTTTGATCACAAAAGCATCCTATTTGCCAGTAAATATTTTTTGGAGCTTTTACCATGTTTTCCCCAGTCAGCATTTCTTAACGTATTTAATGATGACTGTATTTATTTCTGATCTCAAGAGATTGTAATGAGTGCTCTGTTAGTATTTCCTTTTGTGGGGAGTATAATAATTGTCGTGACATGTGCCTGTAAAAACATAACAGTAATGTAACATTCACTTCAAAAAAATCCCCAAAAAAAGATTTAAGGAAAGCATTCATTGCATTTCTTCTTGGAGAAGTTTAAAAAACGGAAAAGAAACCTTTGTTAAGCAAATTTTTTTCCAGAAGAGTATATATGCAAATACTTATAAAGGGCCTTAGAGTATTTGTAGTGTGTTCAGTTAAAAAATAATAAAAAGAACAGCAAAACACTGAAGCAGGATTGCTCCTCAGATTTTTCCTTATTTATGTCACGTGTGTAGCATCATTGTAGCAACATTAGTACAGACAACACATGTCTAGTTTCTATTCTAATACTTGTTCAGTGAAATATTTACCATTTTAGAGTGGAATGATTCAGACCTTTTTCTTCTCTGAATGAATCAAATGCTGTAAGCCTTAGGAAACGTTATTTTTATTGTCTGGATAGTCTGATTTGGGGTTCTGACCCCCTGCAACCTCAGTGAGGCAGCTATCAGATATTAGCTACAACCGCTTCCTTTTCAGTGAGGTGGGAGGGAGGAGCAGAAACAGAAGGGTTCCTGTCACCAGATGGAGAGAAGGATTTGGGTTCTGTTTACATGTCATTGGATTATTCCATCAAAATGTGAGTTCTGTTTTCTTTTATTTTTCTAGTGACAGAGCAGCAAGATACTATTATTACTGGCACCTGAGAAAACAAGTTCTTCATTCTCAGTGTGTGCTCCGAGAGGAGGCCTACTTCCTGCTGGCAGCCTTTGCCCTGCAGGCTGATCTTGGGAACTTCAAAAGGAATAAGCACTATGGAAAATACTTCGAGCCAGAGGCTTACTTCCCATCTTGGGTAAGCACTGTTTTCAAATTCGAAAGAGTGTTTTCTCTCGGGCATTTCTAGTTCGTAGTGTTGCTACTCATACTCTTTAAGAAATGGGAACACAGATGTTCTGTGGCCAAATTCTTTGTGATGCCCAGATATTTAATGCTTAAGAACGTGGTGCACATCATGTCTTCATGTACTTAGTCTGCTTATGGTGAGTGGGGTAGAGAATTGCCATCCATCCTGATAATACAGTGGAGCTTGGAATTTACCAGCCTCCTTTCAGCATTGACATGCCCTTGACCTTCTTGCCTACTCTTACCGAAGCAGTATTTTCTCCCTTTGAAGGCAGAAAAACATAACTCTTTAAAAAGTAAGATTATTCCTCGCTTTCCTTTGCTGCGAGAACAAGTATGTCAACTTCTGGCTCCGGCCTCCATGTCCTCCACTCTCGGGGAGGAACTAACCCCTTCTTTCAGCAAGAAAATGTGGGTTATTCCAACGTGAACTGTCTCAGCTGCGCTTTCTCCACTCCACCCTGTCTGTTTCTCTTCCCGTCCTTCCTCCATGTCTAGGCTGTATTTTCTGTCTCTCTTCTATATCATTAGCCCCTCCCCAAAGTAACTCTTCTTCAGTGAGAACATGCAAAACATGTTTGGTTCTCACCCACCCATCCTTGAGAAAGAAAGTGGGGAGGGAAAGAAGAGCTACTACTCTTGCCTTTCCTTCTCAGTAAAGCATCTTGAAGAGGTAGTGTGTATTTGATTTTTTCAGCTTCTTTACTTCCCACAAGTGTTCCTCAAGCCATTTCCATCTGCCTTCTTTCCCCATCAGTCCACTCATGGTGCTGCCTGTTAGGTTGCTTTATATCAATACAGTAAAGAAGTAAAAAATTAAATATGCACTACTTTTGCTTTATATTGACACCAGTTGCTTTATATTAACATATCCAGCAGACTCTTTTCACTAAATTTTGCTGCTGTACCTGACACTTAACTACTCACATCTTGGGAGATCTCATCCAAATTAATGCTTTTAACGATCACCTATGTGAAGGCAAGTCCCAAATCTGGTTTTTTCCCCTATATCCATAAGGTAGCTGTTTACCCATAGGCCGTTCAAACTCAAGATGTCCTAAATCAAATTCATTTTCTTGCCACCTCATTTCTACGTATTCCTACCTCTGAGTACGTGGGAGTCATACGGAACTCTGCCTTATCACCATTCCTTCTCCCTGTCCTGTCCCATCAACTGTAACACCTTGTAATGTCTGTGCTTGAATACCAATCACCCAGCTTAAGAAATAAAATTATCTTCTATTTTTATTGCCATTAGCCTTCCTAAATGTCCATTGCCTCCTCTCCCTGTCTTAGCTCCTGCTGTTTCTAGGTTCGTGTTCTCAGCAGCACTGTTGCAGAAACTTGTCCCTGCTTCGGTCTTTACTCCACAGCTTGCAGATGAGATGATTTTGCTTCTGACTTAAACTTTCAGGGCCTCCTCTGTCACCTGTGGAGTGAAGCTCAGGCTCCCATGCATAACCTAGAAACTCTCCAGATTATAGTCCCTGCCAGCCATTCCAGCTTCCTTTCTGGTTGTCCTGCACCTTGAACTTTAGGCTCTGGCAACATCCAGCCATTGGTGTGTCTCCATACTTACTGTGGTGTTTCATGCTTCAGGTCTTTCTTCTTGCAGTTCCTTTAGCCAGTGAAGCCCCTCTCTGTTTCACCTGGCTAACTCCTACTCATCCTCCGAGACTCAGCCCAGGTGTCGCTCCTTCTGGGCAGACCATCTAGGTGCCCAGTGCTCAAGAAGAACCTGGGAATAGTGTTTTACATCTTATTTTAAAATGATTTATTTCTTGCTCCCAGTAAACTGTTTCTTAGTGTGTTCTGAAAGACGGGCATAACCTTAACCTTTTCTATTTCATCAGCTCTTCATATTGAGGTACTCAGTAATTTTTTGTTGTGTGACTTAGAGTGCTTCATTTTTTTGGAGAGAAATCACAATGTCTGTCAAACTATTGCTGTCTGTAGCATGTTTGCATTCTCTGGTTGTCATCAGGTGCTCATTGAATATTGATTATTGAAATCCAGTTAGTATGCCAGGGCAACCAGTGTGCTGAGATATCAGTTTCCCCCACCCTTGGGATCACCAAAGCCATCTGCTTTAGTGCCCTTACAAATACTGTTTTCAGTGTGCTTTTGACCTGAAAAAAAGGTTGATAAATAACTGATTTAACTGATTACCATGTGAAAAGAACCTGGAAAGAAAAATCTGTGTAACTTGAGTTCTTAGCAGAACTTGACAACTGACTATTAATTCATCATATTTAATTCTCTGTAAAATATTCAATAGGAAGAAACAAAATGTCAATATAAAGACATTTTAAAACCAAAAAGTCTGTAATTTTTAAATTTTGATTATTTTAAGCACGACTCTTGCTCACATTGCATAATTCTTTCCATCTGTTAAGTTCCTTATGGAATCAGCTAAGACTTTAATCAACACCTTTCTCTTAGCCTGCAGCTGCTGGATACTATATATTTGACATCTGAAAGCCCAGAGTACTGTCTGATGAAAATCTAAGTCACAGTGAATCACAATGAGTGTTTGAATGAAACGGTTTTCTCATAAGTATTCCAGCAGTGTTCATATCAGCCTCTTATGCAAGAACCAAAAATGTTTTAGAGAATTTCTCCCAGTACCCTGCCTTCTTTTGATTAACATTTAGAACCTCCCAGTCTGTGGCTGAAATTTTCTTAAGAGTTAGGTAGGATCCAGAACCTGAAGATGTGCCTACTATAGATGTATTTCATGGTACCAAGTATAAACTTGCAAGTATAAACAATTATGTGTACAAAATTATGAAAGTTTGTGTAGTGTTTTTCTCTTGGTGACTTTAAAGCAAAGATAACTTATTTTTCCTATTTGTTGTGATTTTTCTTCTTAGGTATTCAGCAGTACAACTAAATTGACTCTATAGCTTCTAGTATTAGCTGATTTAGCCTAGTAACATAACAGATGGTGAAAACAGAATGAATTTTCAATGCAAACCAACCAGTTTACATGGCCTATTTTAGCTTCTCATTCTTTCATCATTTTGGGGGTGGGGGTAGAACTTACATCTCTCCAACAAATGTTGCATTGCACACCCCTTGTATCCCAACAGGTTGTTTCCAAGAGGGGGAAGGACTACATCCTGAAGCACATTCCAAACATGCACAAAGATCAGTTTGCACTAACAGCTTCCGAAGCTCATCTTAAATATATCAAAGAGGCTGTCCGACTGGATGACGTCGCTGTTCATTACTACAGATTGTATAAGGTATGAAACGGCAACTAAGTCTTCAGCTTCTGAGAAAAAAACATCTTCTCAATAGGATTGAGAAGGAAAACCGAAGGATTTCATTTCCATTAAAACTTATTTCATTTTTTACATGCTTTTAAAAGAGTTTCATTGAACTGCTTTTTGTTATCGCACGTCAGTCTTGGAGGCCATGGTGCTTTTACTCTGGCCTGGAAGCGGGGTGGAGTATTTTTTAATGGTTCTAATAGTGAGATGACAATTGGCTATAAGATGTTAATCTGACTTTTTTAGTGATTATGGCATTGTTATTTCTCTCCTCCCCAAATCTGCTTTTCTGCTTTGGGGAATAGCATTTGCAACTTCTTTGATAAGTAATTTTTAATATTCCTCAAAGTGAAGCTATACCTGCGTTGTATCCGTCAGTTACAAGAACATTACCACAACAGGTAATGTTTATGGAGTCCTGTGTTTACTGGGCACACTTTATATGTGTTTTTTTTAATCCTCATAACTTTATATGAAAGGTACTTTAATCTTTATTTTACAGTCCAGGAAACTGAGGCTTAAAGAGATTAAATGAATCACCTAAGATCACAAAACTAAATGGCAAAGCCAGGATTTAGTCAAGGCCTTCTTGATAACATAGGCTGTGAGCCTAAGGCACTGTATTCCACACGTTCCTCACTCTCGGAAGTTACTCTCCTTTGTGTCCCGTGTATCTCTAGCCTCGTTTTTCCTTTCTGGGGCAGAGGTCACACACCCAAATAACAACTGGGGCCATGCTCTGCAGGGAATCACTCACAGTACTCTATATCATCTTGTCTTCTCTTCCCCTCCTCCTCCTAACCCCTTTCACTATTCCATAAGTGCCACTTTGTTGGCAAGAACTCCTGAATACCCACTTAAGTATTCAAAGGTGTATTCTCAAACCAAATGGATGAAGTGGTTAAGAGCACTGTAAGTTGAGCCTAACTGCCTAGGATTGAATCTCAGTTTGGCCTCTTACTATGTGACCTCAGGCAAGTTACTTACTTAACCGCTCTGTACTTCAGTTTCCCCATAGTTAAAGGGGACAGCAACATACCTGCTTTTTAGGATTGCTGAATACTAAAGGAATTGTTGGATGAAAAACTGCTTAAAACAGTGCCCAGCACATGTTAAGCATGATGTTAAGTTGGCTGCTGTTACCATTACCATTGATAGTATTATGCTTGTTATCTCTACTTTGCCTTTTGTGGTAGGATTAGCATAGCTAGACCATTGGAAACTGGGCTTTAGTTTGGATGTATTGCTCAGTAATCTTGTTAGCTGGTTCAGAAAACTTAAGGGACCAACTGATGTTTTTTCTATCTCTCTTCTATGCCCAAGAGATGCATTATTAATGCCCCATCTTCCTTGAAAGGCATAATTGAGTTCCATAAGATCTGTTTGGCTAAATTCCTAAAGGACTGAGTTGTAATTTTTTTTTAGCCTGAAGAGATTTTATTTGTGACACCTCAATTGACACAAGAAAATGCAAATAAATGACAGTTTTGATAATTAGTTTATATTTTAAAATGTATTAGAAGTATGAATGATATGTTGGAAAGAGTAAGAGTGTGGCTTTGGAATCAGATGTCAATTAGAAACCCTATGTCACTACTCGCTATAGCTGGGATCCTAGGCAACTATAATCCTGAGCTGTCTATTAAGTGGGGATGATACAATATGCTTCACAAGGTTGGGAGGCTTTGGTGAGATAATGAATCTGAAATAATGAGGTGGAATACCTGGCACATTAGTGAGTGCTCAATAACCATTAATTGCTTTTTGCCTTATTTGCTGGGGAAGCTTGCTATTTTAAAGAATCCTATTAAGAAATAAGAATCTTTTGTTGAAGTAGATATCCCCAATTTATCTTCTGTGTAAAACTTAATTTTCAAGTTTACTTAAAGTATGGCGCTTCTGAATTGCATAGAAAATGACTCTTATCTGCTAAAAAGATTTTTAGTAAAAATGTAACATAATGAAGTGGGGGAAAAGATATTGGCTGATTCACAGTTTTTATTCTTTGGAGAAATTCAGCGGCAGCCATTAAATCTGCTTCATTTAGGAGCTGCTCATAAACGGGAAATAAGGTAGACAAAGGACAAGGGAACATTCTGGAAAAAAAACCCGTTTTGTGCCCCTTTCCCACCAATATATACCGTATACTTGAAAACCAGCATTTTTATGAGCATAGCCTTATTTTGGAAAGCAATCTGTACATCCTTGAAAGCGAAATTGACCAAAACTCATATAATGATGGATTAGTTTCTCCTCTTAAAGCTTATGCTATATGTGTTTTTCTTGATGTAAAAATATACTAGTTGGAAAGAAACAGCCTAAATAGTAGAAATAGGCTGTGTCTTATATTTATAATGCCAGGTGAGGACACATGTTTTAAAAATATTTCATCCCATGTTCATGGGAAAGCTGGCACTAAGCTTAAAAAGATCTCTGCATACTCATTGTGTTTATTGGGAAATCTCATAATGAAAATATTTACTTAGTAATTTCATTTCTATTTTGAACTTTATACACTATATATACTTATTACAGATGAGCACTTAAAGGATGTGGCTGAATTTTAAAGTGAATTTTTAATTGTGGAGGTTTTTTTTTCCCCTTATGCTCATTGTAGTTTATTTTCTACAGTTTATGGTTTAGCTGGTAGATTGTGTATCATATTGGCAAGTGATCATTGAACTTCTTAAAAATAAGTATTTCCAAACTATCTGAATACACCGCTTGTACAGCTTTATTATCCTCATGAGAGAGCCTTAAATATTTGGTCACTTGCCCCTAATTTTGGCTACAGAGCTGGAAGATGTGCCCAGTTTTAAACATATAAAGTCTTATGCATCTCAGAATATAACTATTACATTTGATTTAAGATTCTAACATCTGAGAAAAGAGTAATTATGAGATGGAAGGTCAAAAAAATCAAACAATGCAAAAGCAGCAAAAATAGCCTTGTTAACTGGAGTTGTCAATAACAAGTATTTAGAATATTGTCAGATACAAAAGTGTATGTAATATAGTGAAAACACTAAAACTTTGAAATCTCAGGAATTTAAAAAGTAGAATATACCATTCTTGATTTAATATGTGCCCATGGTTTTCTTAATTCTTGTAGGAAACTAGGTATGTGGAAAGGCTTGAGCAAAGTTATTTTAAGTCAAAAACTTTTCAGTCCTGAATTTCAATCCTGAAATGTTTCTTTGGTGCTAAATTGTCCACTGTAGAAAAAATATATAAAAACATTTAATTTTTTATAAAATCCTATTCCTACAGGATAAAAGGGAAATTGAAGCATCGCTGACTCTTGGATTGACCATGAGGGGAATACAGATTTTTCAGGTTGGTAAATGAGAATTGTGTCAAATGCTGTCAGCCATGTCTTCTGTTTACAGCATGCCTCTGTGGTCCTGCCACAGGTTCAGTAGTTCATTTTTGGCCACTGGCTGGTCATCATTTCCCATTTGTCTAGCACAGATGTGGATGATGTAGGATGGATGAAGTGACTCAGCCTGATTGTTGACAGTAATAAGAAATAACAGAAAACAATAAGTAATAAGAAATAACAGAAAACAATAAGTCAAAGATTAGCCCAGGTTCATCACTAACAGGTCACTAACAGATCATTAATATCCAAACGTTTCTGTGTGTCAGTGATTTTAAATATTCTTTTATCCTTTGGAGCATTTGTAAGTGGAAAGAAAAACAACATTTTAATATTGTGCCTGACCAGACGTTTTAATTTCCGTTATACTTTAGTGATGAAACTTACCCCTTAAATAAGTAGAAACTGTCACCTTTTAGCAGGTGAGACAGTGTTATCCTGCAGCCATCAAAAAGGGAGACAGATACCTCTTTCAGCAAGACACAGGAAAGTGAAAGGATGTCTTATCTTTGATGTAGGCAAAATATCCAGTTATGAAAGTCTGAGCGCCTTATTGCATCTCTTGAATACCTGAGTCCTTTGGACTTTTTATTTAAATTTAGGCATACACCAGAAGGGAAAAGATTGCCTTAAAAGGGTTAGTTAATACAGTCACACAGGAACCAAAAGCCACAGAATTGTTATCATGAATCTTTTAATTATTGTCTGTATTTCTCCAAAGAGATGTGGGGGCTTTTTTCAGATTTTAATTACTGTATTTTGGTTTTCAGGGAAAGAAGTTAGAGCCATTTTACAGTATCTATCATTTTTCCCATTAACTCCATATGCATATTCTTTTCACAGAATTTAGATGAAGAGAAACAATTACTTTATGATTTCCCCTGGACAAATGTTGGAAAATTGGTGTTTGTGGTAAGTTTAAAATAACTGGCTTAAAAGAAAAGTCTCATTAATTGCTTACTTTTTTGGGTTTCTGTTATTTTTTGTTTTGTTTTTAAACAATATTGTCTCAGGCACAAAAGCTGTTATTTTTAAGAAGTTGACACTGAAGATAATTTGCTTTCTTGTATTCTAATGCATGTGCTATAGATTCTTTGTCACACATATCAGTAGTGAACTTAAAATCAAAGAATCTTACAGTAAAGACTCTTATAGCAAAAGAAGTTAGTAATTTTAATTTATGTTTGGTCCGTAGCACATGACCCTAAGTTATTCTAGTTGCAGAAGGTATTTCGCGTAGAGGTTAGCCAGTTCTTTTGAAAGTTACCTCTCTTGAGCAAAGAATAAAGAATTATATAAAAAGATGTTTCTATTAATATTTGACTATTTAAAACCCATTATTTTAAAGAGAGGTCTGCAGTTCTTAACATGAAAAATACTCTTACAATATTGAGAATGATACATTTTCTTTTGTTAGAGCAACGTCTTGATTTTTCCCAAGTATTTCTCTTTTGCCAGCTATATCCGTTTTTTGGTAGGGTTCAAAGAATTATAGTTAATAATGTGTACATTTGGTCATAAAAATTCATAGTTCTGGCCGGGCACAGTGGCTCACTCCTATAATCCCAGCCACTTTGGGAGGCCAAGGTGAGCAGATCACCTGAGGTCAGGAGTTCGAGACCAGTCTGGCCAACATGGTGAAATCCTGTCTCTACTAAAAATACAAAAATTAGTTGGGCATAGTGGTGGGCACCTGTAATCCCAGCTACTCAGGAGGCTGAGGCATGGGAATCTCTTGAACCCGAGAGGCGATGGTTGCCATGAGCCAAGACCGCACCATTGCACTCCAGCCTAGGTAACAAGAGTGCAACTCCATCTCAAAAAAAAAAAAAAAAAAATCGTAGTTCTGCTTTGTTCAGAAATTACTGAAAAAAATACATGAGGAAAGGAAGATAAGGATTTGTAGACATGGGCTTCTCTCCTGTAAGAAAGATGGCCTATGTAAATAAAGGGCCATTTCTCCTGCTGGGATATATAGCTCCATGAGGCTATATTGCAAATAGAATGTGGGCATTGACTCCATGCTGCCCTGTAAGTCAAAAGATGTGTTTCTGACTTCACATTACTTTAATTACTTGGGCACGATTCAATCTGATTTCACTTTACTTATACATTACATGGGGCCTAACCTGTCTCCTCCTAACTGGCTCTTTTTTGTTTCAAGCTATTTGTGAAAGGATCTGAGCTGTTTGAAAATGAGCAAATTATGACGCACTTGCCCCTTTCATGCCCCAAATTAAGTTATAATAAAGTACATTTATGAAATTGAGGGTTTTTTAGGGTCCTGGACTTGTTGCTTGCTGAATCTGTTTGTGTATTGCCCTTATCTGAGGAGTCTTCTTTAAAGATACATATTTTTGGGCCTCATGCTCCTCCTCCAGGAGATTTTTGACTCAGTGGGTCTGGAGTAGAGATGAGGAATCTATTTTGACAAGTTTCTCAGATGATGCTTCTTGAAGCCAACTCAGCTCTGCCTAGCTGTATGACCTTGAGCAAGTTACATAAACTCTGTGCCTTGGTTTCATTCTAAAATGTAGATAATTAACTCCCTCCCTAGACTTGCTTTGAGGATTAAATGAGTGGATACATGCTTAGTGCTCAATAAATGTCAGTTGTTACTATTTCAGTATTGGGGTCCACTGGTAGTTCCTTTAAAATGAGGGAAATCTCAGAGATTTAAAAAAAAAACACCTCCACCTTATCCCTGCCTGGGCTATACAAGCCCATACTGCTCCATACAGACCTTAAGGTGTGTAGTTAGAATATGTCTCCGTTCTTGCTTTACCTCCACTCTCTGGCTGAGAATCATTATATCTGAAATACTCCTTTTTGTATTTCGGCTGCCCTATTCATTATTAGGAAAGTTAAAAGAGTTCATAATATCCCATAACTGTAAGAAACTTTGTCAAAGCCTTGCCCTCAACTTAGGACTTTATCTTAGTGATCAGATTTGAAGAATGAGACTCCTTATATGTCTACTGATAGCTGTTCTTGTTCTTTCCCATCTCATACCTCCAACTACCAGCTCTCTCTATGTTTAGCTAGGGAAGTTTTCCATTTCTTCTAAACCCCAAATAGATATCCTGTATTGTTCACTATATAACTCCTTATTTATTTCCAATAATTTATCATAAACTTATTATTTTGTGTGTTTCTTTGCCATTTCTCCTGCTGGGATATATAGCTCCATGAGGGTAGGAACCTTGTCTGTCGTATTCACTGCCTATTTTTTTTTCAGTGCCTAGCAAGGTGTTTGGTACATTTTAAGTGTTCAATAAATATTTTAGAATTGGTAAATAATTTAGAATCTTTTAGAATTGGTTGCCTTGTTGCTGAGTTAGGGTGTTGGGATTATATTTGATGGTTCTTTTATGATGGACCCTTCTCTTCTGCATTATACAAATAACCTGACCAGCCAGAGAAACCAAAGATATTCCTCAGCTGTTTTGGATAGTCAGTGTTTACTGACAGACCCTTGTGGCTAGATGCTTTCCTGAATTTCTGGTCATCCCCTGTCCTGTGACATTTTTGAAAGGAAAAACAATAATTTATCCCACAAGGAATTTTAAATGAAACTTTATACATTTCAGAATCTATAATTTTCCTTACTAAATAGGAAACAAAGGGGACTTTGGCAAATCAGAGATTTTTCTTCCTGAATTTGATTCATGGTTTCCTTCCAAAGGGTAAGAAATTTGAGATTTTGCCAGATGGCTTGCCTTCTGCCCGGAAGCTCATATACTACACGGGGTGCCCCATGCGCTCCAGACACCTCCTGCAACTTCTGAGCAACAGCCACCGCCTCTATATGAATCTGCAGCCTGTCCTGCGCCATATCCGGAAGCTGGAGGAAAACGAAGGTATTGCAGGGTCTGGGGTGTGGAAGCAAATTGTACCTTTGCCACCTGTGGCCTCTTACTCTGAATGGGGGTTTTGAGCTCCTACAGAATTGGATTTTGGGACTGGGACACTCCAGATTGAGAGCAGCATTACTATTTACATCTCAGTATTTCCAGAAGGCAAAGGGTTAGGCTTGAGCCCCACCTACTGTAGCACTTATTCAGAATATCTGAGGTGACTGCATTTAGCTATCTCTCAAGTACAGTCTCTAAGGTTTTCCCATGCCTGACTTGAAAATACTTGCAAAAAGCCACCCATAAAGGCACAGGGCAAGGGTTTATCTGCAACTCAGATTTTATCTGCATTTTAGAGCTTTGTATTTACACTGACCCACCTTAGTGCTATTATCCACAGGTGGTCTGGAATTCTTTCCAATGTGATTATTTCTTAGGGTTAGAGTGACAATAAAGGTAGGTCACAGATGTGTCTGCAGCCTCTGATTGACGGCTGGGAGGCCCCCAAGTCTGTTCTAGCAAGAGTGCCAAACAAAGGAGAGGGAAGTCAGCTGGTCCTGTGGGGCCTTTGCTGAGATGCAGATGAAATAAAGCAGTCTGTCTGGGGCCTCAGAGTACTGGACCCTGAAACGGGGATCATGTCAGGGTGGGAAAGAAGGCAGTGCTAAGGGTCTGTAACATCCGACTTCAACTTTACATTAATCTGATAGCCCTTTATCTTGAGTTGTGGCACCCTGGATTTCCTCCATTTAACACACCCCAACCCTAATCCTCAAAACTGCTACATTACGTATTTGGGTTTGTTTTTTTTTTTAATGCTTTGGGGTTTTGTTTATGCTTTCAAAGATTTGTTTTGCAAAAATTAGTTTTATAAATTCATGTTGTAGTAATATCTAACAGTAATTTGATTAGATTGGATTTGGTGTATTTGTGTGAATATCAGGGTGAAGATTCATATTTTAGGTTCATGTCTGAGACAAGTTTTGACACCTCAGACCTCATCTTTCCTTTAGAAACCAGGCAAATACCCATCCTTTCTTAAACAAACAAAAGACCTTGTAGAGGTTTGTGCTTCTGATAGATTTCTCTCAAAAATTCTCTGTCAATCCAAATGAGACCCGGTTTGGCAATTCTTTTGTAATTTCGTAGCGATTAGAACATGAATCATTCCTCACTGTCTGCCACAAACTGCCTGTGTCTTCAGAGAGAATTGGTATAACTGTCAGGTGTATTGGCTTCAGCTGCTGCTAGACTGCCACTTCTTCCCCACGATGACTCATCAGTGTAACAAATATATCTCTCCTATGCTGACATGAATATGAAAAGGAATTCAGATGGGGACAGGAGGAGGATGAAGAAGCAGGAGAACCTGTGAGAATAGGTGACATAATTACGTGCAGAGCCCATAATTTGCCAAGTCAGCTTCATTCCTAAACGTCTAACATGGCACCTTGAGAAGTTGATTTGTTCTATCAGCTTTCTGCCTGCAGCATTTTAGTACATTTTTTTTGTTCAGATGACCTTAAGAGATCCCTTCAGAGCCTTAAAGAATTAATGACCTTCCTCTATAGGTTCTAAGGTAAAAATTGCAAAGAATTTTGAGTTTTCAGAGAGACAGGGCGTTGTTCATTGCCAACCATAGTACCAAGTGTATTCGGAGGCTTAAGTGAGTAGGTGTCTTTGTTTGTTTTGTGCTGCTGTAACAAAAGACCACAGACTAGGTAAGTTCTAAAGAACAGAACTTTATTTCCTCACAGTTCTAGAGGCTGGGAAGTCCGGGATTGAGGGGCCAGCATCTACCAAGGGCCTTCTTGTTACTTCATCCCATGATGGAAGGTGGAAGGGTAAAGAGAGGGTGAGAAAGAGTAAAAGGGGGCCAAACTCCGCCTCTCATAATGAACCCACTACTGCAATAATGGCACTAACCCATTCATGAAAGCAGAGCTCTCATGATCTAATCATCTCTTTAAACTCCCATGTCTTACTACTATGATATTTGATATCATATGATTTATGATAGCAATTAGATTTCAACCTGAGTTTAGGAGGGAACAGACATTCAAACCATAGCAGTAGAGGAATGAAGAAATGACACATGCTTAGTTTCTTCTACTTAGGGGTTTTCCAGGTCTGAAAAAGGCCTGAAATTAAGTTTCTCTGGGTCAACTTTGGCCTGAATCCAAGATCTCACCCCCATTTAAGGGCTTTATCATTTTAACATGAAAAGCCCTTTTTTGGGCATTAGTTTAGCAAAAAACAGCATAAAAAGAGTCTGTGTTTTTCTTAATTTTATGTAGAGTCACCTTGTCTAAAACACTATTTTAGCATTTTAGTAGAAAATGATCACAAGGATTTTTCCATAGGGTTTAGAAGAGAAACAAAAACATGCCTTGCGTCATTTAAAAAAATGTTAAAGCCTAACTTTATTCAACAGCTGGAGCTTATTCCTAGGATAAGTATTCACATTTACTGCATTATTTTCCAAAGTAGCGTATGAAAAACCTCATTGTCTCTGGGCTTTTACAACAGAGGGAGTAAAAAGAGCACAGGCATGTTGATGATCTGCACTGTTGACACCAGTGATTATTAGGGGGATGAGAGGTTGCATTTTACATTTCTTAGAAAACATTTCAGAATTATTTAATGTTTCTCTCAGTTTGTAACTGAACGGTGTGAAGCTTCCTAAATGTCTGGAAAGGGTCTGGTACAGCACTAGGGAGGGAAGAGAAGCCAGCCATGTGGAACACCCAGGCCATGCTAACATGTTGACAGGAATAGGTAGAAAACAGGCTGGCAAGTACTTGTCTTCTCGTGAGCATACTAGTGAATATAGAGGAACTATAGTGATCTCTGAACCTATCAGGAAGTTGAGAGTAAAAAGGCTATATGTAAAGATACAGAAAAGCTTTTAAATTATTAGGTCCACAGTTCCTAATTATTTTAGAACAATGGAACTCCAACAACTTAGAGACTTTTACTTTTTTCTCTTCACTTGCCACTCATCCAAGGGCCACATGGCTATTGCTGTGAAACCACAGTGAATAAAAACTACAGTAATTTTTGCAAACTGCTTTAGCTGTCCACCTTCATCTCACACCTGCTGATTCAGAAGATGGGGATTGTTAGGCCCCAGTCTGCTCCCTGACAAGTTGTACATGGATGCATTTTTGTTGTGATGATATGTGCGTGGAGCTCTGGTGTCTGGTTTCAGCCTGCTTTCTCTGTAGCAACACATACTCACCTTTGTGTTTCAGCCAGTTCCTTAGAACAATGTGAATAGGCTGGAACCTGGAAATGTGCACATAGCCTTCTCCAAGCATTTTTTTTTTGCATTTTGCATCCTAGAAGGCGCATCTTTTCTTTCTCCTCCTGCTCATTTTCTCTCTAGGGACCCTGTGATGATTATACTTCCGAGCTGGATTCAGACATCAGGCATGCAAGTATTTTCACTTAACCAAGAAACAAGACAATTAAAATCCATTAACAGGCCCCTGAGAACCCAATTAGTCTACTAGTTTCTAAAATCAGATCAACTTCACATTCCCCAAATGCACTCTCCATTTTTAACATTGTTTTATTGTATTATTTCTCACCAGTATTAAAAAGGCAAGGAATCTAAACTTCTTCCTTGTTTTACATTTCTGACCTGAAAGACAAGAATAATATTTTTGTGTCAGTTGAGTTGTAACTGGCAGCTGGGTTGTAACTTTGTGCCTTAATGGAATGGTTAGTTTATATGTAATAAAAGAGACTTTGCAGTGTTGTGTGTTTGACTGCGTTAAAGAACAGCACTGACATGTGAAATCAAAGAACAGCTTTACCAGTCAGAGTTGGAAATCATCAAACCAGTAGTGATTACTGGTATTTTCTAAGTAGATGATAAAGCCTCACTAATTCAGCCTAAGTGGAGAAAATCAATCTTATATTAATGAAAATCCAAATTTTAGAATATTCACAAGAAATTCTCAGAAGAATAGTTTTATTTTAAATTGTATTCAGCAGCTAGAGCTAAGCTAACAGTGGAACAAATTGAACAAATGAACAAATAAAATGAATGGCAATTAGCATAATTGTATTTATTAAGTAGTCTTCTAGAGCAGTGCTTCTGAAATTATCTGCAGAAAAGGGCCAGATTTTTAAAATATTTAATATGCTATGGATACTTTCGCAAAATACAAAATCACATTGGTGGCTGTCATGGCAATGTCACATAGCTCTGGAAGTTTCTAAATGTTCATATCACTCACTGAATTTATTTCACTATGGACCAATAAATTTGCAGACAAGAAGTGGTCTGTAACTGCACTTTAAATACCACTCTTCTTATACTGCTTGAAGCTTTCAAAAAACTAAGTAGTTTAAATATCCCCCTCAAATCTGTTGCACTGGTTTTTATTCATTTTTCAGTCTTCTGAAGTCAAATTCCTATCTAAATTATTACTACTTTCCAATCACTAGATTCTGAATTTGAAGTTATCCTTGTTCTTGGCCTGATGAGTCACTTAAGCTCACCAGCCGTTCCTTCTGTCTTGGTTAATGAACTGTGTTCCCCACCACGTAGAGAAGAAGCAGTACCGGGAATCTTACATCAGTGACAACCTGGACCTCGACATGGACCAGCTGGAAAAACGGTCGCGGGCCAGCGGGAGCAGTGCGGGCAGCATGAAACACAAGCGCCTGTCCCGTCATTCCACCGCCAGCCACAGCAGTTCCCACACCTCGGGCATTGAGGCAGACACCAAGCCCCGGGACACGGGGCCAGAAGACAGCTACTCCAGCAGTGCCATCCACCGCAAGCTGAAAACCTGCAGCTCAATGACCAGTCATGGCAGCTCCCACACCTCAGGGGTGGAGAGTGGCGGCAAAGACCGGCTGGAAGAGGACTTACAGGACGATGGTAACAGTACTGTCCCCTCACTGGCTCTCTGTTTAGTCTCCCAGTTTTTTCAAGCATTGGTTCTATAGAACTGGTGTCTGGAGAGCAACTTTAGGCAGTAGTAATAAAGTGGAAGAGGTGTCTTGTTGTCTTCCCCAATGACTTGGTTGAGTTGCTTGTGTTTGGCTGTGAACAAAACATCCCTCTAGTTGTGATCCTTTGCGGCCACAAGACTGGATGGTTGTAGACTCAGTCTTAGCTGTTTCTATGAAGTAGATTGGAAATTAGTCCTGCTGCCCTTGTGTCTGTATTTCTGCTTCCCAGATTAAATAAAACAGTGGTTAGGACAGCACAGTGGAGTGCAGTAATAGTGACAGAAACATCTTGAACTTCTGGACCCCTCCCCACAAAGTAAAGATTGGAGTCCATGCCATTGAGTTACTTAGTAATGTTTTTCTGAAGCGCCTCCCATGTAACCAGAACTATAGGGAGGATAAAAGAAATATAGCACCTGGTTGATAGGAACTTACTGCATGTTAAGGAGATAAGATGAATCCTATGGCTTATCTTAGCCAAACTTAACATTTGTGTCCCTCTTTTATATTATTTTTCTGTCTCAAATAAGTGCTGTAGCATTCAGGCTTGACGGAAAAGATAGACTTTGTTAAAGAAAAGTGCAGACCATCTTTTTGGTTTCTGTAGAATTTGTGTGGCTCTCAAGTCACTCAGTGCCCTTCAGAATAGGCAGCTATGGACATGGGGGGCTTTGTGAACTGTCATCTGCCTGTGTCAGTGAGCCTTGCTTTGGTATCAGGCAAAGGGCCCATCAGTTTCGGTTTGTCCTTTGTCATTGCAGCAAGGTGGTATAGTTTTTCTTCTTAAAAAATACAGAATAATGGGCAAATTATAGTATTAAAACACATATAGGTAATGCAGCAATCCGATAAGAAAGAACAAGTAGGCCAGGCATGGTGGCTCACACTTGTAATCCTGGCACTTTGGGAGGCCAAGGCAGGCGGATCACGAGGTCAAGAGATCAAGGCCATTCTGGCCAACATGATGAAACCTCATCTCTGCTAAAAATACAAAAATTGGATGGGCGTAGTGGCGCGCGTCTTCAGTCCCAGCTACTCGGGAGGCTGAGGCAGGAGAATCGCTTGAACCCAGGAGGCGGAGGTTGCAGTGAGCGGAGATCACACCACTCCAGCCTGGTGACAGAGTGAGACTTCGTCTCAAAAAGAAAGAAATTGAGAAAGAAAGAGAGGGAGGGAGGGAGGGAAGGAAGGAAGGAAGGAACAAGTAGTACCTGTTGAAAATGGTCCCAGGAAGGAAGGAAGGAAGGAAGGAAGGGAGGGAGGAAGGGAGGGAGGAAGGAAGGGAGGAAGGAAGGAGGGAAGGAGGGAAGGAGTAAACAAGTAGTACCTGTTGAAAATGGTCCCTGGAGTTTCCTATTGGAGTCTCATTAGCAAATTTATTTTCAAATAGGAATAATTACATAGCCACCCTCAAAATATGGTTGCATATTATGATGGTCATTTCCCTTTTTGTCATTAACTATCTTTTCCTTCTTCTGTGTCAGAAATAGAGATGTTGGTTGATGACCCCCGGGATCTGGAGCAGATGAATGAAGAGTCTCTGGAAGTCAGCCCAGACATGTGCATCTACATCACAGAGGACATGCTCATGTCGCGGAAGCTGAATGGACACTCTGGTGAGCTCTTACGGGAAGTTATTCTTCCTTGGTAGCAGGTTATCCAGGACTGAAAAACACATGCCTCAGAAAATAGAAGGGGTGAGCTGGGGGCCCTAGACCAGAGACTGGACTGCACTAAGAGTCTCTTCAGGTCAGTGTTGTAAACTGCAGGATCCTGTGCCTTCTGTGGAAGGCAGGGAAGAGGAGAAACACCCAGGACTGGGAATTAGCATTTTGTGCTCCATGCTTTGGACAAAAGGTAGTTGAACAGTAGGGTTCTCTTTATGTTATGCTGTGTCGAGAATCATATAATGTATCTGGAAGGCCTTGTAGACCCCTTCAGTCTGGCCTCCTTTTTACAGATAAGTTAACCTATAGTTCAAAGAGGACAAATCCAACATGGCTAGAAACAGAAGTAGGCCTCCAGGTTTTTGGGGTTTTTTTGTTTTTTGTTTTTCCCACTGTGTTATACTGGTAGAGGAGTCTGGGAGGAAAAGTGTCAAAATGGGTTGACCTAAAAAGACACTCTTAAATTCCATATTCGTATGAATTCCTGTAGAAAACATGCATTCCCTATAGTTATATAATACATCATATATATTTCTGTTACATGTAAGATACTATCTTTAAAAAACGGCAGCAGTATCAGTTTTGTTTATAGACATCAGTCAGATCTAACTGCTTTTGTCACACATCATGAATCAGTCTGTTCTTTAGAGAAATATGCCTCAGGAACCAGCACTATTGAAATGGCCCCTTCCAGCTTTGATTGAATGAAGGGCCTGACTGAGGTAGCCTGTCCCTGCTCTGGCAAATCCACAGCTCCTGATGTTCATCGAGCCTCCTCCTCCAGGTGCCAGGCACTGGAAATCAGAGAGGAACCAGACCGATACACAGTCACTACCATCCTGGCACTTAGTCTTCAAGAGCAGGAGGCATCTTTTATTTCAGAATTCTGTTCGCTAACCCAACAGAACCCTGGCTTCCCAGACCTGCCTGTAGCTGCAGGGAATCATCTCTCTGACCAACACTGACTCATTAGGCTGCTTACCCTAAACATGCTTAGAGTTCATATACCAAACTTTGCCCCTTTTTGCCCATGTACTTTATGATATTGAATTTTCTCCTATAATTACATTTTAATTTAAATTCACAATTATATGCACATTATAGGTCCATGTATATAGCTCTGTGTGTTTATGCTTGTGGAAAGGAAATGGTCTAAAAACTGTGTATGCCGCAGTGCCTTTGGGAAGGGAGGTATGAGGGAAGCTGACCTGGACTTTGCGTTTATATATTTCTGCATTTAATTTTTATAAGACTGTTAATTTTAAATAGAAATAAAATTTAAGTAAAAAGCCTGGCTGTTTAAGAAGATTTATATATAAAAAAAGTTTGTTGAAATGTTATAAAAATAATTAAAGAATGAGTGGTAAGGCCAGGTGTGGTGGCTCACACGTATAATCCCAGCACTTTGGGAGGCCAAGGTGGGTGGATCACCTGAGGTCAGGAGTTGGAGATCAGCCTGGCCAACGTGGTGAAACCCCATCTCTACTAAAATGCAAAAAAAAAAAATTAGCTGCAGGCCTGTAATCCCAGCTACATGGGTGGCTGGGGCAGGAGAATCGCTTGAACCCAGGAGGCAGAGGTTGCAGTGACCCAAGATTGTGTCACTGTACTCCATCCTGGGCAAAAGAGTGAGACTCTGTCAAAAAAAAAAAAAAGAAAAAGAACAAGTGGTTAAATTATACCTTATTCATACAATGGTATATAACCATTAAATTCGAGATTTTCAAACAATATTTAATAACATAAGAAGGATAGTTAAGGTAAATAGTAAAAATTATATAAAATGTCATCTAATTAAAAACAAGAATATTTATTTGTGTATTTTAAAAACGTAAAACTATTAATAGCCTTTTATTTGGATGTTAGGGTTATAGATATAGATGATTTTATTTTCTTTCTTACATCATCTTAGTTTTCTAAATTCTCTATTAATTTGAGCATTTAAACGTTGCTTATAAAACATTCAGCTAAGTACTCGCCTTGGCAGCACATACACTAAAGTTGCAGTGATACAGAGAAGATTAGCATGGCCCCTGGGCAAGGATGACATGCAAATTTGTGAAGTGTTCCATATCTTTAAAAAAAAAAAAAACACTCAGCTAAGATTGAGTAGTGATGAAGTATACCACACTGTCTTTCATTCTTACAGAGTTTGATAGGAGTTGGTTAAGTGTTTTGAGCATCAGCTCGGTGTTGACTTTTCCAGTGGTGGGTCTGAGTTTGGAGAATACTCTTTACAGGCATGATAGCTGAGGGCACATTTACCAGGAAATCGAAAAGGAACCATGACAACTTGTTTAAAGGTTTAATGCTCTTTAGAAGATAAAGATCGTTCTAGATCCTCTACTAAAGCCATTTGTACTAACTCCTAAAACATGAGTATCCCCTGAGTTTTTAAAGTGTCTACTTGTAAACCAGTAATGTCTTCATATTTCATGTTTCAATTGAACTAATTATTGAATACTTAATATGTTTATGGCATATGCTAGACACTGAGTCATTATGAGATGTTTCTAAAGAGTTAAGGGATAGAACACAAGTCATTCTGTAGACTACTAGCAGTAGTTGAATAAGAATCACATTACTTAAAGGGTTTTTTGTTTTTTTTTTTTAAGAAGCCATTTGGCCTTATGGATCTAGGGCTTGACCTGTAGTACACTTGCTTCATCCATTGGCAAGAAAAATTTCAGCGGTGTTCACTTACACCTCTAGTTCTTATTGGTAATTTTACCTTCTGAGACATGTTTCTACTCAGTGCTTCACTCATATGCCAGTCACATAGGGAAATGTCAGCCCTGGATTTCTGCTTCTGAAATTTTGGCGGGTTTCCACCGAGTGCTAAAGTGCTTAGGTTAGGTGCTCTGTTGTTCTCAAAGACCCAGTACTGAATTTTCACTGTGGCCTCCCAGTTTGTCTCCTCCCAGGGGGATCTGCTGCAGGAGGTATGTGCCAAGTGTCCCATCACCCAAAAAGAGCTGCTGTGAACTGAGTGTATCCATGTATAGTCCCTGTACCTCACCCTTTTATGCATTCACTGTGTAATTATTAAAACTAGCAGGCAGGTGCTGTTATTGGCCCGATTTTATACGAGAAGGAGACTGAGACACTGGGAGGCTAAGTAACTGGCCAGGACACATGGCTAATTAGTTATCTGGGCCAGGATCCAGCCAGATCTATCTGACTTCAGAGGCCAGAGCCCCCACAATTCACCACTATACATCCAAGCCGAACCAAATCTAGAAGGCATGTGTTCAGTAAGGGTTAAGTTTAATGTTGCTGCTGAATAGAAAGGGGAAGAGGGGAAGCTTTATGAGATGCAGTAAAGAGGCTGCTTTATACCTATAGTCTTTGCTTCTTTTCTATAACTTCATCATAAATAGCTTAATTAGAAGTTTGTTTTAGAAAATTCAGACTAAACATCTTCTTACACTCTAACCCTACTTTGACTCATTAACCTCTATTTACTGTAAGATGAGAGAGAGTGTGTGTGCTGTTCTGGTTGTCTGCCACCAAAGAGTCACAGTGAAACTTTTTGGTAATGGTTAATATTTGATTTTTCATTCCTGATAGCAATATGTCAGAATATATGGCAAGAGGTGTGAATAATTTGAAGTATTTATTGTTTTTATCTCTGTGTTTTATTTCAGGGTTGATTGTGAAAGAAATTGGGTCTTCCACCTCGAGCTCTTCAGAAACAGTTGTTAAGCTTCGTGGCCAGAGTACTGATTCTCTTCCACAGGTATTAAAGGAATTGAAAAATATCAGTTAGGAAACTGAAGTTATAGAAAATTTTAAGTAGTAACTTACATTTATACAAATGAGCAAAAATTAAAAACCCTAAGGAAATGATCCTTCCTAGATACGTACATTCTAGCTTTATTCTGAATTTATTTCCATCTTATTTGCTAGTTCTGCTTATCTTTGAGTTGATTTTTACTTAGATAAGTTATAGATTTTGCTTCACATTTTATATGGTTGGGAAGCCTCTGTTCTTCAGGCTTCAGGCGAACCACGTGTGCACATGCATGTGTCTGTGTGTGTTGCTTGTCCTCAACCTGGGAGAATAATATTTTTTGTCAGTGTGTTCTGGCAGAAATGTTTCCACACTCTGGTTATTCCATTCAGATTGAATTTTCAAAGTATGCTGAGCCTAGAGCATTTGACAACCTGTGATCATTGGTTAAACTATTAAATGTCCAGCAATATAGATAAAATACTCTGAAACTCATGGTTTCAGCATTTGGATGTAATGTATGACTAATGGCCCTAATTCCTGAGCACTTCCTCCCTCCTCCTGCCTTTCTTTCTTGGGCTCTCTTTGTGTCTTGTTTTTTTCCCTTCTGTGTGTGTTTCTCTTTTTTCATTTGCATTCTGGCTCTCCTTGTCCCTACTTTTCTCTTCCTCTTTCCTCCCTTTTTTCTCATTTGTCTTTTCTTTCTCTTACTTGCGTTGAAGTAACCATAATGTGAAAATGATGTTTATGAAATATTTTCCTGAAAACTGCAATGAGTAATCTACTCTTAAGAGATGTTTCTGGGGCACAGCTGATAGTCAGATTCCACACCTACACTATGGGGAGAACTTTGTGTGCCTTCCTTGAGAGTTTGTGGGGATGACCAAATGATTCTATGTGTGAAATCCTGTTGGAGTCTGGGAAGACAGCATCAGCACAAGGGATCACTCGGATGTGACACTTCCTAGTAAAACATGCTTCTGGAACTTTTGCCTCTAGCAAAAATTGTATCTTATTCTAACAGGGTTGTCCTTTGTGGTGGGAAGCAGCAAAATTTAAAGATATAATACCTGGTTTCCTTAAATAACCCATTGCATATCTTCCATTCATATAATTATCAGAATCATTTTTAACCTATTTCTAATACCACCTCTTGGGATAATAAAAAAAAGTCTGCCCCCTGCTGTGTACAGCATTTGGCGGAACCCCCCCACCCCCGACTCGTGTTCGGGAACTTAGTCCTGGTGCCTGCCTCCCAGCCTCTTCAACACCAAGAACACCCTATATCCTACCCAGCACCAAGAACACTTTATATTCAACCCAAGAATTCTGGCCTTTTAAAGAGAAAAACTGTGTTTCTTGGTAATAATTGGTTTATTTTCCTATTTCTTAATAAAATAATAACAGACCTTGGCCTAAAAGGTCTGAATTGCCATATCCTACTGAAAAAAAAAAAGGAAGCCATGTCTTTACCTATATGACCTTATTTCAAGATAATTACTTGATTTCTGAAATGCTAGGGATAGTTGGATTCCTGTTGTATTTGCACCTCTGTGCTTTGGATTATTTGTAAAATGAGGAGAATGATAGTGCCTGCTTCCTAGGACTGTTAGGAAGATTAAATGAGTTAATGCATGCCGAGTATTTAGGTCAGGGCCTGGCACATAGTAATTGCTCGGTAAATGTTAGCTGCTATTATTACTGATGGAGGTGGTGTTGATGATATATTTCCCCATACAGCCCAGAAACCACAGATTGGAAACCACTTTCTAACATGTAAGGATTACTTAACCTTTTGTGGTTCTGTAGCATCTCTCTTTACAAGGCAAATATTCTAACCTTTCACTTTAAAGTTGTTTCATCCTTCCCTTATCTTGCAGACTATATGTCGGAAACCAAAGACCTCCACTGATCGACACAGCTTGAGCCTCGATGACATCAGACTTTACCAGAAAGACTTCCTGCGCATTGCAGGTCTGTGTCAGGACACTGCTCAGAGTTACACCTTTGGATGTGGCCATGAACTGGATGAGGAAGGCCTCTATTGCAACAGTTGCTTGGCCCAGCAGTGCATCAACATCCAAGATGCTTTTCCAGTCAAAAGAACCAGCAAATACTTTTCTCTGGATCTCACTCATGATGAAGTTCCAGAGTTTGTTGTGTAAAGTCCGTCTGTGTGCAGCTGTACAGGCAGCTTACTGTTTGCTAGAGGATGCGAAAGTCATAAGTTCTTTACATATTACTTGTGCCATATCTTCTTCACCCTAAACATAGCTCTTTCTTTATAATATTTGTGATGATGGAAACAAAAGCCTTGGAACAATTGCACTTTAAGTATTACACAGAAGTAAAAGAACTACAGAAAATGTACAGCAAGACAAGTGCCCGGAAGTTCACTGATCCTTCAGAAGGAAATGCGCTTTACTGATTGCAAAGCCTTCAGAATATTGGAGTGTGGTGTGTTTGCTCATCTGATGCTTTTTAGTTCAGTTACATGTAACATCACATTTTTTTATCACGTGAAAGATGTTAGATTTGTTTGCTTATAAATTTTTTACCACTCCCACATAAAATGCTCATAGTTTGGGAGAGGAAAGAGGGAAGATTCTCTCTTCTTTTAACAGAGAGATGATTGCTCTGTATACCCATTGCTTCCTCCCTGAGGCTGTCCCAAAGTGAACACTGATGGAGTGGTCAAAATCATAAGGTTGTAGCAAGCCAAAGATACGTATGTGACAGAAGCACATAAGCAATAAGCAGAAAACCAGAAGTGCATGCTGTGATGCCTGTGACTCCTTCATCCCGCTCAGTGCCATGTCCTCTTTTGTGATCTTCCAGAAAGCTCCAGGATTCATTTGAGTTCCACATCCAAGTAACAGATGAATTATATTCATGTTGTAATGCATTTTGTGGAGTTTACAAAACCAGTGTCTGTTAAAACTTTGGAAAATGTCTTAGAAAACGTTGGTGCTTGGTGATGCTTTATTTGTTTAATTATCAAGAACAAATTATGGCAATGCTAGTTTCTGCTTAACCAAAATACTCTGTGTATATATTATACATATATAAATACATGGGATTGTGTATGTCTATATGTGTTTAAAGCTTACTATGTCTTCATTTTGGCTTCCATGACTATCTTTTATACATGGAATTCCTTAAGATTGAGAATATGTCACTGAGTGAATGATACCTGCAGACAGTCAGTTGATATATGTAGAGTTCAGAATGACTGTTTTCTCATGTGCCTTTGGCCATGATTCTCAACACTGATTGTATAACAGAATTTTGGGGGGAGCTTTTAAAAAATAATGACTGAGTCTCCCACCAGACCGATTACATCATTCTCTTGTGGCGGGACCCAAGTAGAATTGCCTTTTCTTTTAAAGTTCTCCAGATGGAGCTAATATGCAACAAAGTTGAAAACCACTGATCCTGGGGGTGTCTTGTTAATTTTGAAGTAAAAGTGTACAGAAGACGTAGTGTATGAGAAAGGGCCATTTTTAAGACAGTTACCTGTTGTGCTGCTGTTACAATATATAATGAAACCAAGTCAGGGGAGTGAATTTATCAATCTTTTGATGTAAAGTAAAAACGTAGTTCACACTTCAGGAGAGAACTTCATAGCACAATGTCTTTCTATAAGATATTTTTAATGATTTAGTATTTTACAACATTTGTTTACCATATTTTGATATACCATTTTTTTCTATCTGCCCAGTTTTATTAAAAAAACTATATATTATTTTCTAAAGAAACAATCATATTTTTATACAAAATTATGTTTTCAGGTAACGAAATAGATGTAGGGTACAGTGGAACATAAGCAGTGTTACCCCTGGCTGGGAGTCAGTATTATACAACAAATGGTGAGCTGGAACATGCCCTGTCTGTGCTGTCCCTCCTGTGCTGGGTCGCGGATGTGTAGGCAACATTGCCTTATCACGCTAGGTTCACCTGACACTTTAAAAGGAAAAAAAGTTCCATAGAGTTCTGTGGTCACAAAATTGTTTTGCTTTTATCAAATACTTTAATAGAACCAAAGTTGCAGATATTGGAATGTATGGAAGTATCTCAGTCTCTGCATAAGAGGATTAAAGTATGAAAGGATCATTTAATGACTGTTTTACTTATAAGTCATTAAGTAATCCACCATTTCTTATGGATGATGCTTAAGCCTGGTGAGGTTTGTACTCTAAGGAGCCCAGATCATAATGCAGTGCATTTCCTTAGCCCTTAGAGTTTCTTGCAAACATTTAAAAAAAGACATATTTAAGAAAGAAAGATAAAGAAAAAACATATTTAATTACTGTAAACAGGTACTGCTTTATGTTTATTTTCTCTCTACTTCAACCAAAATCAGATCTTTGAGGTTTTGCTGACATTGTTGGTGGTTTTGCACATGTTCTTTCTAATTGGATTTATGAATAGTTCTATGGGTTTTCAAAGATGAATCATGCTAAGAACACTTCTGCTTTTTGATCCACTGTTTGCAGCAGAATTATATATATGTATAGGAAAAATCCACTTTGAATAATCCATGTTTTGTATTTGGAAATTGTTTTTAAAAATAAAAAGGAAAGGAAATATATAAAGCTGTTATTTATTCTGCATTTCTTACATATCTATCGCTTGTCAGTATACCCGTTTTGGTATATATTGCCTCTGCACATCTACATTTGTATATGCAACAGTGAGCTTTATATCTACATAAACTGTAAATAATCCTTTCTGTGAAAGGATCATCATATCAAGATGATACCAAAAGTATGTAAAAAGAAACCTGCATTATTTTGTAATTATTTCTTATAGATATTTCATGGTAAGATTAGCAGTCAATAAAGTTACTTTTTTGCCTTTAAATTGCCTTTTTGATTATTAGAGCTCTCAAGCGAGAAGCATTAAGGAGTGACAGTGTTTTCTTCATGTTCTTTGCTGTAATGGAGCACAGTAAAGGACAACAAGGTTCCATGTGATAGAATTCCAAGTAAAACAGTCCTGGTGGTGACGATGGTAATAACTGATGCTGAGTACTACCATGTGCCAGACCCAGTTTCACATGTATTCAGATTTCATGTGTTCAGTCATTTAATCCTCATATCCCCAGAAGGCAGGTACTATTATTATTCTTAGTTGCAGATGTGAAGGAATCAAGCTTCCAGGAGTTTGTGGTAGTCAGCCACTGTTGAGTTCAAATTATGGAGCTGAAAAAAACTCTCCTTTAAAAGGAAATATTTTAACCAAAATAAGTAACTTAAACCTGAAAACCGTCATCATTGGACTGTTGGTTTAATTATAAAATAAACAAATGGTTGCATTTAAAAGCATGCATTCACAAAGCTGAACGTGAGGGCAGCATGGCATTAAGGAAAGAGCCCAGAGTTGAGAGTCAACAGCATTCCGAAAAGCCCCAGCTCTTTTTCTGAAGGGAAATCCATTACCTTCTCTTTGCGCCACTTCTCTTGGCCAAAAAATGGAGTTAATAATTTAAAGGACTGTTTGGAGAATTAGATAAGGTAATGGTTGAGTATGCCCCTGATGACTAGGTGGGAAAAGGAGGGCTGTCAAATCTGACATTTAACTTTTGTGAAACAGAGCCATTTGGATTCACACGGTCCAAAACAAGTTTTCTAGTCAAGTGTTACGAATTTTGCAGTGTCTGATAAATTGTGATTTGGAGTCCAGGAAAGAAAATACTTGGTACCTACTATGCATCTAATAGTACAAACACCGTGTCTAATCCTCACAACCCTTCAAGGAGTTGTCTGTCACTCGCATTTCACAGCTGAGGAAACAGTTAAACTTGCCCACGACTCTACAGCTAGTGAGTGGTAAAGCAGAGTTTTAAACCCAAACTTTTCTCCAAAAGCCTTGCTTTTTTTTTTTATACTGTATACAGTTGTTACCCACTGCCCTTAAAGAAAGATCAGAGCCTAATAGGGAAGACAGACTCCAATTTTGATAGCGGATAAATGAAATTTATTTGCTAACTTCGTAATTTTTTTGAGCATCTACTGTGTGCCAGACTATATAGAGGGCTTATATAGGCATTGCTTTGGCCAAGAGGCAGTAAAGACCTGGGAGGTGGGGAATGGGAGGCAGGAAGATCAGAGAAGCTTTTACTGGAAAGGCAATTTTATTTGCATGGGGACTTCTGGCAGGATGGAGTAAGGGGCAAACTATCCAGGCAAAAGCTTAGAAGGTGGAGATAACAGTGGTCAGTCAAGGGACCTGCAAGAACCTCAAGGGGCCTTTTGGCTTGAGTAATCATGCTCCAATCTAGCCATGAAAGCCTTGGACGCCCAAATGAGGACACTGAGTTTTTTCTGGACAGAACGGAGCTATAAAAGGAAGAGACGTGTGTTTGGGGCTTGAGAGAAATAATGAGAGCCATGCTAACAAAAGGTGGGGAGACAGTTGGAAGGTGATGAGGGTCTGAACTGAGGGTGTTGTAGCAAAGAAAAAAGGAAAACATTCAAAAGCAGAACCAAGGGACTGTGTTACACACAAACAGAAGGTTGTCATCTCCTAAACTAAATACAACCAGAGAAGTAGGCAATCTTCCCTTACTTGGCAAAGTCCTTGGGAAGACTAGAGTTAAGTACTACTTTATAATATGAATTAAAATCCACTCGATAAATTTGTTGAGTGTTAAAAATTGGCACAATGGCTACAACTGCTCTAGTCTATGGCAGTGGTTCTCAAACCTGACTGCATGTTAGAATGACCTAGAGAGTTTAAAACAGTATAGTCTGGGTCCCAGCCCAAAGCTTCTGATATATTTGGTCTCAGGGTAGTTCCACAAGTGATGCTAATGTGCATCAGGGTTGCAACCCATGGGTCTATAACATGAGCCCGAGCCATATAGACCAGGCAGGCTATCTGCTCCTGAACTGGTATGATCTACAGTTAGGATGGATCGGGTCTCCAGAGTGTCTGGGTATATTGCATTTTGTTAGAATGACGTTTTCTTTTGCCAATAAAGCTGTCAGAGAGTGGACCAGTGTTTGAGTGGGGCAGTCAACTCACCATTTCAGAAAGTCTGAATACACCCACATTCT